>NC_000003.12:65161515-65464545 GCF_000001405.40 Homo sapiens | reverse complement strand
TGAATTAGAAGCAAACTAAACAACATACTTTTAAATAATCTATGGGTCAAAGAGGAAGTCTCAAGGGAAATTAAAGATAAGCAAATAAATTGAACTGAATGAAAATGTAAATACAGCACATTAAAATAGGTGGGACACAGCCAAGGCAGTGATGAGAGGTAAATTTACAGCACTAAACATATATATGAGAAAAGAGGAAAAGTCTCAAATTAACAATCTAAACTCCCAGTGCAAGAACCTGGGAAGAGAAGAATAACTTAAGCTCAAAAAGATGGAAGGAAATAATAAAGGTAAGAGGAGAAATTGTCAAGAGCTGAAAAACAATAGATAAAAATCAATGAAAGAAATAGCTGATTCTTCAAAAGGATTAAAAAAATTGAAGAACCTCTAATAAGATTGACAAAGAAAAAAATGAGAGCAGACCAAATTGTCAATATTAGGAATTAAGTAAGGAGTCACTATGGACCCTAAAGTCATTCAAGATAATAAGAGGTGGAGATTCCTCCTCTCTGGCCAGGGCATCCCTGAAAGAGAGAAGAATAGAATAAACACAATAAAAAATGATAAAGGGGATATCACCACTGATCCTACAGAAATACAAACTACCATCAGAGAATAGTATAAATACCTCTATGCAAATAAACTAGAAAATCTAGAAGAAATGGATAAATTCCTGGACACATACACCCACCCAAGACTAAACCAGGAAGAAGTTGCATCCCTGAATAGACCAATAACAAGTTCTGAAATTGAGGCAGTAATTAATAACCTACCAACCAAAAAAAGCCCAGAACCAGATGGATTCACAGCCAAATACTACCAGAGTTATACAGAGGAGCTGGTACCATTCTTTCTGAAACTATTCCAAGCAATAGAAAAAGAGGGTCTCCACCCTAACTCTTTTTGTGAGGCCAGCATCATCCTGATACCAAAACCTGGCAGACACACACACACACACACACACACACACACACACACACACACACATTTCAGGCCAATATCCCTGATGAACATCGATGTGAAAATCCTTAATAAAATACTGGCAAACCGAATCCAGCAGCACTTTAAAAAGCTTATCCACCACGATCAAGTCAGCTTCATCCCTGGGCTGCAAGGCTGGTTCAACATATGCAAATCAATAAACATAATCCATCACATAAACAGAACCAATGACAAAAACCACATGATTATCTCAACAGTTTCAGAAAAGGCCTTCAATAATATTCAACACCCTTTCATGGTAAAAACACTCAATAAACTAGGTATTGTTGGAACATATCTCAAAATGAGAAGAGCTATTTATGACAAACCCACAGCCAATATCATACTGAATGGGCAAAAGCTGGAAGCATTCCCGTTGAAACTGGCACAAGACAAGGATACCCTCTCTTACCACCTGGAAGTTCTGGCTAGGGCAATCAGGCAAGAGAAAGAAATAAAGCATATTCAGATAGGAAGAGAGGAAGTCAAATTATCTCTGTTTGCAGATGACATGATTATATATTTAGAAAACCCCATCATCTCAGCCTAAAAACTCCTTAAGCTGGTAAACAATTTCAGGAAAGTTTCAGGCTACAAAATCAATGTGCAAAAAATCACAAGCATTCCTATACACCAATAGTAGACAAACAGAGAGCCAAATCATGAGTGAACTCCCATTCACAATGGCTACAAAGAGAATAAAATACCCAGGAATACAACTTACAAGGGATGTGAAGCAGCTCTTCAAGGAGAACTACGCACCACTGCTCAAGGAGATAAGAGAGGACACAAATAAATGGAAAAACATTCCATGCTCATGGATAGGAAGAATTAATATTGTGAAAATGGCCATACTGCCCAAAGTAATTTATAGATTCAATGCTATCCCCATCAAGCTACCATTGACTTTCTTCACAGAATTAGAAAAAACTACTTTAAATTTCATATAGAACCAGAAAAAGAGCATGTAGCCAAGACAATCCTAAGCAAAAAGAACAAAGCTGGAGGCATCATGCTATCTGACTTTAAACTATACTACAAGGCTACAGTAACCGAAACAGCATAGTATCAGTAGCAAAACAGATATATAGACCAATGGAACAGAACAGAGGCCTCAGAAATAACACCACATATCTACAACCATATGATCTTTGACAAACCTGACAAAAACAAGCAATGGGGAAAGGATTCCCTATTTAATAAATGGTGTTGGAAAAACTGGCTAGCCATATGCAGAAAACTGAAACTGGATCTCTTACTTACACCTTATACAAAAATTAACTCAAGATGGATTAAAGACTTAAACATAAGACCTAAAACCATAAAAACCCTAGAAGAAAATCTAGGCAATACCTTTCCGGACATAGGCATGGGCAAAGACTTCATGACTAAAACACCAAAAGCAATGGCAACAAAAGCCAAAATTGACAAATGGGATCTAGTTAAGCTAAAGAGCTTCTGCACAGCAAAAGAAACTATCATCATAGTGAATGGGCAACCTACAGAATGGGAGAACATGTTTGGAATCTATCCATTCAAAGGGCTAACATCCAGCATCTACAAGGAACTTAAACAAATTTACAAGAAAAAAACAACCCTATCAAAAAGTGGGCAAAGGATATGAACAGACACTTTTCAAAAGAAGACATTTATGTGGCCAACAAATATGTGAAAAAAAGCTCATCATCACTAGTCATTAGAGGAATGCAAATCAAAACCACAATGAGATACCATCTCATGCCAGTTAGAATGGCAATCATTAAAAAGTCAAGAAACAGGCTGGACGTGGTGGCTCACGCCTGTATTCCCAGTACTTTGGGAGGCTGAGGCAGGTGGATCATGAGGTCAGGAGATCGAGACCATCCTGGCTAATACGGTGAAACCCCATCTGTACTAAAAATACAGAAAATTAGCCAGGCGTGGTGGCGGGCGCCTGTAGTCCCAGCTACTCGGGAGGCTGAGGCAGGAGAATGGCGTGAACCCGGGAGGCGGAGCTTGCAGTGAGCCAAGATCACGCCACCACTCTCCAGCCTGGGCGACAGAGTGAGACTCTGTCTTAAAAAAAAAAAAAAAAAAAGTCAAGAAACATTGGGAGGCCAAGATGGGCGGATCATGAGGTCAGGAGATCGAGACCATCCTGCCTAACGTGGTGAAACACCATCTCTACTAAAAATACAAAAAACTAGGCGGGTGTATTGGCACGAGCCTATAGTTCCAGCTACTCAGGAGACTGAGGCAGGAGAATTGCTTGAACCTGGGAGGTGGAGGTTGCAGTGAGCCGAGATCGTGTCACTGCACACCAGCCTGGGCGACAGAGCAAGACTCCATCGCAAAAAATAAATAAATAAATAAATAAAAAGTCAAGAAACAACAGATGCCAGAGAGATGCTTTTACACTGTTGGTGGGAGTGTAAATTAGTTCAACCATTGTGGAAGACGGTGTGGCAATTCCTCCAGGATATACAACTAGAAATACCATTTGACCCAGCAATTCCATTACTGGGTATATACCCAAAGGATTATAAATCATTCTACTATAAATATACATGCACACGTATGTTTATTGCAGCCCTATTCACAATAGCAAAGACTTGGAACCAACCCAAATGCCCATCAATGATAGACTGGATAAAGAAAATGTGGCACATATATACCATGTAATACTATGCAGCCATAAGAAAGAATGAGTTCATGTCCTTTGCAGGGACATGGATGAAGCTGGAAACCCTCATTCTCAGCAAACTAATATAGGAACAGAAAACCAAACACCCCATGTTCTCACTTATAAGTGGGAGTTGAACAATGAGGACATATGGGCACAGGGAGGGGAACATCACACACTAGGGGACCTGTTGGAGGGTGGTGGGTAAGGGGAGGCACAGCATTAGGAGTAATACCTAATGTAGATGACAGGTTGATGGGTGCAGCAAACCACCATGGCACATGTATACCTGTGTAACAAATCTGCATGTTCTGCACATGTATCCCTGAACTTAAGTATAATTTTTTTAAAAAAGAAGAAGAAATAAGTAATGCAAGTAGTATTCCCAGGCTTAAATGAGGAGTCACTCATCACAAAAAAAAAAGATAATGAGGGATGAATTTGTATATTTAAGAACTCCTGAAAAAGGAATATTGAACTATTACACTATTTCTACATAATGTCTTCCAGAAAATAAAAGAGGAAGAACACTCTACAGTTATTTTTATGAAGCTAATATTACCTTGATAACAAAACTAAACACAGTACAAAAAAGGCATAAATGCAAAAATCTTTAACAAAATTTAGTAAGTAGTAATCAGCAATTTCCCATGATCAAGTGGGAATTGTTCTAGTGCTTCAAGGCTTTCTCAGTATTCAAATAAATCAATCAGTGTAACCCACCATGTTAACAGGCTAAAGAATCAATGCTCATATGAATCGATGCAGAAAAAGCATTTGACAAAATTCAGCAGTCTTCACATGGGAAAATAGGAATTAAGGGAAATTTCTTTGACTTGTTAAAGAGCATCTACAGAAAACCAATGACCAACGTTATACTTAATAGTGAAAAGATGAAATGCCTTCCCTGCAAGTGTGAAAACAAGCCAAGGATGTCAGTTGTCCCCACTCTTTTTTCTTTTTTTCTTTTTTTTCTTGAGACAGGGTCTCACTCCTGTTGCCCATGTTGGAGTGCAGTGGTGTTAACGCAGCTCACTGCAGTCTTAACTTCTCTGAGCTCAGGTGATTCTCCCACCTCAGCCTCCCAAGTAGCTGGGACTACAGGTACATGCCACTACACCCAGCTAATTTTTTGTAGTTTTTATAGAGACAGGGTTTTTCTGTGTTGCCCAGGCTGGTCTCCAACTCCTGGGCTCAAGAAATCTACCTGCCTCAGCCACCCAAAGTGCTGAGCTGTTCCCGTGGTTATTCAACATCATGCTGGAATTTCTAGCCAGGGTTATAGTTCAAGATAAAGAAGTAAAAGCCATACAGATTGAAAAGGAAGAAATAAAACTACTCCTGTTTGCAGATTATATGGTTATCTTAGTAGAAAATCATGAGAAACGTACAAAGAAAATTTTATAATAAGCGAGTTCAGCAAGGTTGCAAGATAAAAGATAAGCATATAAATAGCAGTTGTATTCCGTGTTCATGGATTGGAAGAATCAATATTGTTAAAATGTCCATACTACTCAAAGAAGTCTACACATTCAATGCAATCCCTATCAATATACCAAAGATATTCCTCACAGAAATATAAAAAACAATTCTAAAATTTATATGGAACCACGAAAGACCCAGAATAGCCAAATATATCCTGAGTCAAAGAATAAAACTGGAGGAAGTACATTACCTGACTTCAAATAATAGTACAGAGATGTAGTAACCAAAGCAGCACAGTACTGGCATAAAAGCAGACACATAGACCAATGGAACAGAATAGAGAACCAGAAACAAATCCATACATCTACGGTGAACTCATTTTAGACAAAGGTGCCAAGCACACACATTGGGGAAAGGATGGTCTCTTCAATAAATGGTGTTGGGAAAACTGGATATCCATATACAGATGAATGAAACTATCCCATATCTCTCTCCATATACTAAAGTCAAATCAAAATGGATTAAAGGCTTTAGTCTAAGACCTCCAACTATGAAACTACCGAAACAAAACATTGAGGAAGCTCTCCAGGACATGAGAGTGGGCAAAGATTTCTTGAGTAATACCCCATAAGCACAGGCAACCAAAGCAAAATGGACAAATGGGATCACATCAAGTTAAAAAGCTTCTGCACAGAAAAGGAAACAAAGTGAGGAGACAACCCACAGAATGGGAGAAAATATTTGCAAACTGTCCATCTGACAAGGGATTAATAACGAGAATATATATAGGGAGCTCAAGCAACTCTATGGAAAAATCTAGTAGTCTGATTGAAAAATGGGGGAAAGATCTGAGTGGACATTTCTCAAAAGAAGACTCCAGATGGCAGACAGATATGTGAAAAGGTGCTCAACATCACTGATCATCAGAGAAATGCAAATCAAAGCTACAATGAGTTATCTTACCCCAGTTAAAATGGGTTTTATCCAAAAGACAGGCAATAACAAATGCTGGCGAGGATGTGGAGAAAAGGAAACCTTCTCACACTGTTATTGGGAATGTAAATTAGTATAATCACTATGGGAAACGGTTTGGGGGTTCCTCCAAAAAAAAAAAACAAACAAACAGAAAAACTAAAAATAGAGCTATCACATGATCCAGCTAGGTATGTACCCATACCTAAAGGAAATCAGTATATTGAAGAGATACCTGCACTCCCATGTTTATTGCAGGACTATTCGCCATAGTCATGATTTGGAAACAACCTGAATGTTCATCAACAGATAAATGGATAAAGAAAGTGGAGTCCATATACCCAATGAAGTACTGTTCTGCCATAAAAAAGAATGAGAACTAGTCATTTGCGACAACCTTTGTGGAACTGGAGGTCATTATGTTAAGTGAAATAAGCCAGGCACTGAAAGGCAAGCTTCACATGTTCTCACTTATTTGTGGAACTAAAAATTAAAGCAATTGAACCCATGGAGGTAGAGTAGAATGATGGTTACCAGAGGCTGGGAAGGGTGGTGGAGTGGTGGTAAGGGGAAGTGGAGATGGTTAATGGCTACAAAAAAATAGAAAGAATGAATAAGATTTAGTATTTGATAGCACAGCAGGGTGACTGTAGTCAATAATAATGTAATTGTACATTTAAAAATAATTAAATGAATATAATTGAATTGTTTGTAACATAGAATAAATGCTTGAGGGAGATGGTCACTTCATTTACCCTGATGTGATCATTACACATTGTATGTCTGTATCGAAGTATCTTCTACACCTCATAAATATGTGCACCTACCATGTACCCACAAAAATTTAAAATTTAATAAATAGCAAGTGTATATCTATATACTAGAATACTTGGTTACCAAAATCAAAAATAAAATATAATTTAAGGTTGCTCAAAAAAATAATACAGGTGTCAATCTAACAAACCATATATTGGATCTTATATACTGTAAACTATAAAATGCTAATGAAAGAGGTCAAAGAAGTTCCTTATAAATGGAGAGATATACTTAAACATGTACATGAATTTTTATAGTAAATTTGTCCAAATAGCCAAAAACTAGAAATGATCCAGATGTCTTTGAGTGGTTAGACAGGCTGTGTGATACATTAATTTCATGGAATACTACTCAGCAATAGAAGAAATTGATTATTGATATATACAGCAATCTTGATGAGAATTATGCTGAGGGGAAAAGCCAATCATAAAGTATTACATACAATGATTCCATTTATATAACATTCTTTTTAAAATTATTTTTATTTTTATTTTATTTTGAGACAATGTCTCGTGGACATACAGGAAGACTCAGAATTGATAGAGATGTCAGTGCTCCCCAAATGGATATACAGGTTTAATGTAATTTCTGTCAAAATCTCAGTCTTTTTGTAGATACAGACAAGTTTATTCTAAAATATAAATGGAAAGGCAAAGGAAAGAGAATAGCTAAAACAATTACAAAAAGGAAGAATGAAGTCATAGTAATTAGTCTGCTTGATATCAAATGTACTAATTTACATATTGTGACTTTATTATATAGTCACAATAATAAAGACTGTGTGTTATTGGTGAAGGAATAGACTCATAACCTAATGGGACAGAAGGCAGAACCAGAGATAGATCCATAAGTGTGCCCAACTGATTTTTTACAAAAGCAATTCAATTTGAAAGCATTCCAATGGAGGGCAGATAGCCTTTTCAGTAAATGGTCCAAGAGCAAGTGGACGACCAGAGGCATGTAAGCTAACCTCCACCTAAACCCCACACTTCATACCAAAAAATTAACCCCAAATAATTCAGACTCTGAAATGTAAAACATAAAACAATAAAACTTTTAGGGAACCAAAAAACCAGAAAATTTTTGAAATACAGGGCTAGGCAAAGAGACATCAAAAGCAAGATCCCTGAGAAAGAAAAAATGATAAATTTGACATCATTAAAATGAAAATTTTTTGATTTGTGGAAGAGTCTGATAGAGGATGAAAGGACAAACTACAGAGAAAATGTTTACAGACTCCACACCTAAAAAAGGACTGGTATGTAGAATATACAAAGGACTCTCAAAACTCCGGAGTGAAAAAAAAAAAATATCAAACCATTCATTGAGAATGTGAACTAAAGAGAGGGACAGAGGGACAGACATTTCACTGAAAAGGGTATATAGATGGAAGATATGCACATGAAATATTAGTTCAGCCCTAGGGAAAAAATTAGTTAGCTCTAGGGAAATGGAAATGAAAACCACAATGAGATGTCATTTGCTTATTAAGATGGCTAAAGTAAAAAATAGTGACAACACTAAGTGATGGTAAAAATTCAGTGAAACTGGATCTCTCATCCATTGCTGGTGGGATTGTCTGGCATTCTAGAAAACAGTTCCTAAGAAACTAAGCATGCAGCTCATACCATTTGGCAACGACACACGTGATCATTTATCCCAGAGAAGTGAACACTTAAATTCACACAAAAACATGTACATGAATGTTTATAACAAATTTGTCCAAATAGCCAAAAACTAGAAATGATCCAGATGTCTTTGAGTGGTTAGACAGGCTGTGATACATTCATTCCATGGAATACTACTCAGCAATGAAAAGAATTGATTATTGATATATACAACAATCTTGATGAGAATTATGCTGAGGGGAAAAGCCAGTCATAAAGTAAGACATACAATGATTCCATTTACATAACATTCTTTTTAAAATTATTTTTATTTTTATTTTATTTTGAGACAGCATCTCACTCTGTCGCCCAGGCTAGAGTACAGTGGCACAGTCTCTGCTCACTGCAACCTCTGCCTCCTGGGCTCAGGTGATCCTGCTACCTCAGCCTCTCCAGTAGCTAGGACCACAGGTGCGCACCACCACACCTGGCTAGTGTGTGCCACCACACCTGGCTAATTTTTTTGTATTTTTTTGTAGAGATGGCATTTCACCACATTGTCCAGGCTGGTTTTGAACTCCTGAGCTCAAGCAATCCACCTGGCTTGACATTCCAAAGTGCTGGAGTTACAGGCATGTACCACCCCGCCCAGCGCTATATAACCTTCTTGAAATGACAAAATTATAGAAATAGAGGACAGATTCGTAGTTACCAGGGATTAAGAAGAGGGTTGGGGGGAATGGTTGGAAGGTAACCAGTTGTGACTATAAAAGAGCAACGTGAGGGACCCCTGTGATGATGAAAATGTTTTGTATGTTGACTGTGTCAGTATCAGTATCCTAGTTGTCACGGTATACTATAGTTTTGCAGGATGTTATTATTGATGGGTTCTAGGTAAAGGGTGTGTGGGATCTCTCTTCTTTCTTTTAACTGAATGTGAATCTACAGTTATTTTTGTTTTAAACACAGTTTTTTTCTTAATCCTGCATAATCTCCTCTCCTAACAATGATCCTTGTTATTATCTTACTGTGTAGGAGTAGTGCAGACTGTGGATTCTAGTGCAAAACTTTCTGGGTTTAATTCCCAGTTCTGTGATGTCTCAGCAGGGTGTCCTTAGACAAATTGCTTTACCTTTCTATTATCAGTTTTCTCATTTGTAATATGGGGAGCAATAATTTTAATGCTAATAATACTTCTCTCATAGGGTTATTGTAAGAACAGATTCTGGCAGTCATACGTGGTGGTGATGGTGGTGGTTGCTATATTACCTTTTGTTATTTTTATTTTAACACAGTTGATATGACGTGTATACATTCGCAGATTCTGTTTTTCTCTTAAGCCATATGTTTTTTTTTTTGACAATTAATAAGATTTGAATCAAAAATAAAAAACTTTGGCAAACCCTCTTCCCTGCCAACTCCCAAATTTACAACCGAAATGTCACAGTTCAAAAAAAGTTTTAAGTTACTGCCTGAACTTAATTTTTAAAAAAACTTCTTTTTTTTTTGTAAAACAAGTATTTTTTTATTATTATTATTATTATTATTATTATTATACTTTCAGTTTTAGGGTACATGTGCACAATGTGCAGGTTAGTTACATATGTATACATGTGCCATGCTGGTGCGCTGCACCCACTAACTTGTCATCTAGCATTAGGAATATCTCCCAATGCTATCCCTCTCCCCTCCCCCAACCCCACAACAGTCCCCAGAGTGTGATGTTCCCCTTCCTGTGTCCATGTGTTCTCATTGTTCAGTTCCCACCTATGAGTGAGAATATGCGGTGTTTGGTTTTTTGTTCTTGCAATAGTTTACTGAGAATGATGATTTCCAATTTGTTTTCATGTCTAGTTTGTAGCCAGAACTACTGGACTGGAGTTGTTTGCCCCACCCACTTAGCTGCATGGTGCCCTGGGGGCTCAAGCAGAACTTTGTCCCAGCCACTGCTTTGGGAAGCACAAAAGCTGAATGCTTCCAACCATTCTGGTGACATTTCTAATATGATTGAATGGCGATATCTTTGGGAATGTGTCTCTACACTTTCAAATCTGCAGGGCCCCAGTCACCATCTGTTGAAATACTTCATCTAGAATTGAACTTTATCCCTTAAAAGGCAGTTGAGTGACATGTTTAGCCTCTCCAAGCTTATCCTTGGTCCAGATTCTATTTATGACGAGTAATTTGGGGCTGCCTTCATTATGTCCAAAGCATAATTTAGGACATTGTGATTTAATGATGTGTATTGGTAGTTTTGAGTCATTTATGTGAATTAAGGTAGTTTCATGCTGTCATGAGAATTCTTATGTAATATAATGAATGAAATAGCAGCCCTCTTTGTGAGTTTCAGCATCCAAGACTCAAGTCATAGATATACTTAAAATAAATGGAAGTTTTCTCTGTGGCAAATGCAAAGCCTAAAATAATCTAGACAAGGGTAGATGGTATACGCAAGGGGTATCATTTGTAACTTATTTTTCAAAAATAAAACTGGTATTATTTTTTAAGCTTTCAGTAATTGAATAATCATATGTTAGGTAAGTAAAAAGCCTACCTAAGACCCTCCCCAAGCCATTTTATAATTGTAAACTCAGGCTCTCTTCTGGTTTGGATTTGCTGTTGGAAAGCATCTTTGTTGTAGTTAAGGAAGAAATATTCAAGAGTGTGTAATTCCGTCATTGGGCTTCTTGCTTTTTTTTTTTTTTTTCAAACAAATTTCTTATTTTTGTTTCTGGATTGCAGCCATAACACGAAAACAACATCTTGGTTAGACCCTCGGTGCCTAAACAAGCAGCAGAAGCCACTGGAAGAGTGTGAAGATGATGGTAAGGGGCCAGGCAGGTCTTGGGTTAAGTGAATTGGGGGCACTGTTCACATGTGCAAATTTTAAAGAGTCGTAGCCAGGTCAGTCGGGTCTTATGTTGAGTTTTTAAAAGGTAATCCAATTTCTGCTAAATGGACTGTGGTTTACAAAAGCAGGAAGAAAGTCAGAGTTGTTTCAAGAGAAGAATTTGTTTACACATAAAGACAGATGCTTACTAATATCTCCATTAGAAGCAGAACAGTCAGAAACTGTTCAAATGAAGATACGTCCTCTGTCTTCAGGAACTTAGAGTAAATTCTAGAAAGTCTCTAGGAATAAAGAAACCAAAGACGGTCTGGTCAGTCACACATTCTCAGGTTTAACCCTATCTTATAAAAGTCTTAGGGGGAAAAGTTGGGAGTTTTTCTTGAACTGTACATATTTCACATACTTCCCTAGTCTTGGAGGTAGGGGAAACAGATCTAGACATGTTTGAGAATCTCTGTGTAACTTAGAGTATACCCACAATATGTAGTAAGTGTATTCTTTTGAGACAGAGGTTGAGGTGTTACCTAGAGCACCACTCTCCCTGTTAATCTTGGAAATGAACTAACTGGCTGTAAGAGCTTTTGTTGAAAAAGTTCATTTCAAGGCTTTGGGTTTTCTAATTACTTCTCCAAAATGAAAAAAAAAAAAAATTGAAACAGAGCTAGTGTGTCCCTTTTCAGTACACCAACGTCTATCCCAAGTTCTACCAAAATTATTTTTTGATGTGGAAGAATGAAAAGGGAAATGGTTTGCTTCGCTCTGCTTTGCTACTCATTATTCAATTCTGGCATGTGAATTAGTAGTATAATTATTAAATATGTATTTTACTGTAAGATAACAGAACTTTATTATTCGTCCTATAGTGCAGAATGGTTGTATATATAAACTTGAAGATTTTTTGAAAATGCAAGGCAGTATTTTATAGTATAATACTGTGAAAACCTTGCACTCCATGATCCTTCTATTATACATGGTTTGCAGATTACGTTAAATGACATAGACTATTGTGTTGGTATTTATCTGAGTTACTTCAAATGGAAACAAAAGTCCTTCTAACTTAGGAGGCATGACCAAGATGTTTGTTTTATCTTGGTTGCTTTGTTTTATCTTGGTTGCTTTGTTTGATTCCTGAAGAAGGAATAGAACAGGTTCATTCAGCTCTGGTATTTTGCATGCTTGGGAGATAATAGACTATACTGATTATTTCAGTATTCTGTTTAACATGTAATACTGGTTAAGTATCCCTGATCCCAAAATTTGAAGTCCAAAATGCTCCAAAACTGGCCAGGCATGGTGTGGCTCATACCTGTAATCTCAGCACTTTGGGAGGCTGAGGCAGGAGGATCACTTGAGCCAAGGAGTTCAAGACCAGCCTGGGCAATGTAGTGAGACCTTGACTCTACAAATAATAAAACAAAAATTAGCTAGGCGTGTTGGCATGCGCCTGTGGTCCCAGCTACTTGGGAGGCTGAGGCAGAAGGATCACCTGAGCCCAAGAGTAGGAGGCTGCAGAGAGCTGTGATTGTGCCACTACATTCCAGCCTTGGTGACAGAGAGAGACCCTGTCTTAAAAGAAACAAACAAAGCAACAACAGGCTCCAAAATCCAAAACTTTCTGAGTGTCACCATGATGCTCAGAGGAAATGTTCACTGGAGCATTTTGGATCTTGGATTTTCGGATTAGGAATGCTGAGCCAGTAAGTATATTACACAAGTATCTCCAATCTGAAAATATGCAAAATCTGAAACCCTTTTGATTCTAACCATTTTGGATAATGACTACTCAACCTGAACATAAATAACCAGTTTTCAAAGATCATAGCATAAAACACATTCAACCCTAAAATTTCATGGAACAATAATCATTATTTGATGCCTTATGATTTTGAAAGCAATTTAGGCACTTATTACCATAGGGTCTTCAATGTCAATATCCCTTTTGTAATTATTCTGGGAATGTATGAAAATGCTTGTTAATACAATATTATAAGTGATAGAATACTGCAATAGCTTTTACTGAGAAAAACTGTACATAGAGTGAAAGTATTGAATGGAATTGGCATTTTTGTTACCAAATCTAGTAATTTTTAATTCTTAAAATTCTTATCTTTTTGTGTTAATGTTATTTCCTTTGGAACAAGAATGTATTCATACCAAATGCAGTTAGTTTATAATTATCTCTTTAATATTAGAATTCATATATTCTGTTTCTAGTAGAAATTCTATGTATATCTGTGTGCCTGTACACACAAACAGTATAAATATATAATCAGATTATGGTAAGTATCAGTTTGCATTTTCTGTTGCCAGTTAACGCAAAGCTGCCTTGTTATTATTTATAACACAAAGCAGAAAAACATATTGGTTGCAAATATTGTCCCTGTATTTCTTTCTGTTCTCTGTAGGTCATACATATGAGGTGTAACAGTATAGCATCATACTTAATTATTATAAAGATTTAATATGTTCTATTTCCTATCTCAGAAAATCGAGAAACTGGTTTGAGATTTTGATGTTAGTGAATGACTCCTTCTGTCACTGCTGTGTCCAGTTCAGTTAGAAGCCCTCAGTGTTGCCTTTGAACTCCAGACCAATATTGTAATCCATGTGATTGATAATGTCAACGATTGTCTCAAAGATACTTCGACTTAGTCGTATTAAAACCATTAAAACTGATGATCTTTCCCCCCAAATTACGTAATATACAAAGTGTTTCCTGTCTCCATTCATGGTAAATTTATGCATACTCAAAATTCCCCCTTGATATGTCACTTTTCTTCACACCTATTTCTAACCCGTGAACCAGCTGAATTCAGTTGGCATCCTAAATATCTCTTGGATCCATTCACTATTTTTTTCACCGCATCTTCCATTCTCATCTGGGATCATGCTCATCTCCCATACAGACTCTTTTCACTCTCCTTTTTATGTTGTACTCGGAGAAATCTTTTAAAATGTAAATGTGATGATGTTATCGCTGACAACCTCCACAGGGTCTGCTTAGGAAATGCCAGGTCCATAGCTTGCTACTCTGAGCCCTGTGTGGTCAGCCTCTCTAGGTTTTCTCACACTATTTCTCTGCTCTCTGCTCTTCATCCCCACTAGTCCTCATTGAGTTCCTGCCTCATGTCAGTTAAATGTGCATTTCTCTCTTAGAATACGCTTACATTTCACTATACTCTTATATTTCACAATAGTTATTGAATAATTTCTGTATGTCACGTGCATCCTAGGTATTCGAATGTGTCAATGAATACAACAGACATTAAACTTTGCATATCCTTCAGGTTATACTTCAGGGAATTTTTCCATGACTTTGCCCCCAAAAATATGATTAGGTCACTCATGTATCTTACTCTGTTGAGAACTTATCATGGTTTTAATTTTAGTTTTATTTGTGTGAGCCTTGGATTTGTCTCCTGTTCTGGAAAAGTAGAGATGTCTGATTCTGTTTTTTGAGATGGAGTCTCGCCCTGTTACCCAGGCTGGAGTGTGGTGGCATGATCTCTGCTCACTGCAACCTTTGCCTCCCTGTTCAAGCGATTCTCCTGCCTCAGCCTCCCGAGTGGCTGGGATTACAGGTGAGCGCCACCTGCCTGACTAATTTTTTTGTATTTTTAATAGAGTCGGGGTTTCACCATGTTGGCCAGGCTGGTCTCGAACTCCCAACCTCAGGTGATCCACCCACTTTGGCCTCCCAAAGTGCTAGGATTACAGGCATGAGACACCACGCCTGGCCCCTGATTGTGTTCATTTTGATATGTCACCTAGCACAGTGACTGGCACATCATAGGTCTTGATAAATAACTACTGAAGAAGTGAACAAATGCTCCCAAAGACATTAGATAATATCCAAATGGGCATTTTCACAGATGACTTTGTGTAAATTAGATTCTCCTTTTAAGAAACGGTGCCAATCAAAACTTACCGCTGGCAGTGGGATCATTTTTTTATTATTATTATACTTTAAGTTCTAGGGTATATATGCACAACGTGCAGGTTTGTTACATATGTATACATGTGCCATGTTGGTGTGCTGCATCCATTAACTCGTCATTTACATTAGGTATTTCTCCTAATGCTATCCCTCCTCCCTCCCCCCACCCCACAACAAATCAAGAGTTTACAAGGTGTCTAGGCCCATGTTGGTTATTTAAGTCAATCATTGATTGATTGGTTCATTCATTCATTCATCAAGAAATATTTAGTACCTAACATGTGCAGAAGGCTACACTGGGCACTGAGCGTATTGTGGTACTGAAAACAGGCTCAATTCCTGTGTTTGTGAAGCTTATAGGAGCCACTTGCCCTGACCCTGGGGAAACATTATGTATGAAATGATTTTTGTGTGTTCTCCCATGTTTTCTTCTCAACAATAAGAAAATGTTGTACTGACAGCAAGAGGACGAGGTCAAGAACAGAAAGGATTTGGACTTGTTTTGCTCCCTGAAATTTTTGAGGACATTTTAATTCTAATATTTCTGAGCTCCTTGACTTAGAAAGTGTGTGTGTGTGTGTGTGTGTGTGTGTGTGTATGTGTTTTCTCACAAAACCAGTTAAATGCCTCCCAACACTCCTTCAGGGCAGTTTTCAAGGCTTTCTTCTTTGATATATTTTATCTTGACGTAATTCATCTTTCCAGCTCCTTTTTGAAAGACATCAAAGTTAGCTCATTATACAGTCTGCACTTTCAATTTGACCTCACCTTCCATTTTTCAAGCAGCACTGTTACTTGTAAGTTAAATAATGCTTTAATTGTGAGTATAATTGCCTCACTGATTAGAGGATTATTGAAGGATTAAAAGGACTGATAATGAAAGGTCTAACAGCTTTGTTTACTCCCAATAAGGTCTGTAATAAGTGACTTCCCACTTAAGAACATTGAAACCGCAAAGGTATTTGTCATCTTTTACAACCAATCAAATCCTATTTTGACATGCAAGGAAATGAGCCATGTAATTATTTTGCCAATATCAGCTCTTCCCGTTTTGTGATTTACACTGAGGTCGCAAGTTTACTATCCAAGCCAATGAAATAAGCCACAATGCAGGTAAGGATGAACTAGAGTGATGTGTTTGCTGCTGTTTTCCTGAGGAGATTTCCTTTCTTGGTGCTGGTGTCTGAATTTTGCTTTCTCTCTTTTCTGTCTCATTCCTGCTATTCCTTTGGAGAAGAAGGGGTACACACCGAGGAGCTGGACAGTGAACTAGGTAAACCCTCCCTGCCTGCTGCTGCTGCATGACACGTGCATGACATGGCCTGCATGGTTTTCTTCCCCAGTGAATTGCTTAATCCCTGTTTCTTTAGTTTGCACTCCTCCAATTATGATTTTCATTCTAGCTTATCCAGGAAAGGTCAGTCTTACAACCTGCGTGTCTGCCTGCAGGCATCACGCGGAGTTGTAGTACATTATGTTTACAAAGAAAATGTCTGACTGAACAGAGACTAGAACGAGAGTTAGCAAATTGGTAATGGGTAGTCTTGTAAAGTGAGGATTGGGAAAGAACCGAAGAGATGCTCGCTGTGTCCCTTGAACTTTGGCATAACCTGTCTCAGTCTTATTTCTTTATTTGTTTAGTACGGATGGTTATTTGGGTAATACAAAAAAGCCAAGCAGGACAAACAAAAATCAATTAAGACTAGTTTAAGGAACATTATAGGAGCACTTGCAATAAAAGAAGGTCACTGAGGAATTGAATAGTTAAGTCTTAGGATTGTGTTGTTATTACGTCCCAGACCACGTGTTGTTGACCTTGCCATTGTAGTGAGTGGTTGTTTATATAGTGATGCAGCATCTGTATGTACTGTTTGCCTTAGAGTTGTGTCAATGCAAATCAAGTCTTGACTACTCTAGTTATTGTTGTTTAGGAATAATTTATACTAGCAGATGATGCCAAATTCTTGTTTCTTTGCTATTGGAATATATTGAATTACGTTTGCTATTACGTTCAGTCCTTTATGTTCAACCTTGAACAACATTAAAATTAGTTTGCATTCCGTCTGATACATTTGCTGATGGATACATAGGAAAGCATAAGTTTCAGCTAAATTGCTGATGAAAGCCTCGGCTGATGGAAGATTCTTTAGCAATTGAAGATTGTTTAAGTAGAAGATTGTTTAACATCAGTATGAGTGGAACTGTACTAAGATTATTGAATCTGCCTGGCATTTTTGAGATTGCCTAAAGACCTGAAAATATAAGTCTATTTAGTATAGATTATTGCATTCATTTGGTTTTCTTTATTTTTGTTACGTGAGATAAAGATAATCAGTCATGGTTGGCTAGAATTATGATAGAATAGAACCAAGCTCTGTTTTTCTTAACATTTGGAACCTGTCTGTTGTAATTGATGCACATGCCAACAATGGTCAATAACTATTGATGGATCTATTTTTAAAGATGTTTAATAAGTTGTCTTTGTGGTCATTGTGAGAGGGATGACTTAAGGTTCACCCTGAATGATAGAACAATTTGAAACTAATTTGATCAAAAAAAGAATTTGTCAATCCAATGATATTAGATAAAGTAAATGAAAGAGACAGAAATAGGTTTTCCAGACACAAAATGAGTGTCTTAATCATTTGTTCAGCCAATTTCAACCACTCTTGCTACCTAAGTAATAGGTGTGACAGATCACTCTGCTGTCTGCTGGCAGCCAGTGGAGATAGCACAGCTGTGTACAGGAGCACAACCTTATTTGCTTCTCTGGAAATTTGAATTTGAAATTTTCAGGAAAGAAGTTTCTGCATTTTACCCACATGTAACTGTGATATCGTGGTGACTTGCTTGTGCTGTTAAAGACTCTAAACATGAGTTCTCTTGGCTTTCTCTGGGTTCAGATCAAACTGTGTGGCTCCCCTGCTTACTGGCTATGCAAACTTAGACAAGCTATTCACCTTCTTTTAGCTTCCCTTTCCTTATCCATAAAGAGGGGCCAAAAGAGTAGCTCCCATGGTGCTTATGAGGTGACTTAATGAAAGCGTGTTTTAATATTTGTCCCTGTGATCAGCACATTCTATTAGCTATTTGCAGTGTTGTTATTTATTACCTAATTCCCTCTTCTTGGATTTTTCAGTACTTTCTTATGGTACTTTTTTCCATTAACACAGCACAAGGGAGGAATGTGTTCTATATTATAGAAATGGCCCAAATGTGTTCTTGTAGGAAGGGTAGAGATAAAACCTTTGATTTTTGCCTGCACATGTCCACTGTGTAAAGAGTAGCACACGTGCACACACACTGTTTTCTGTTGCATTCACTCCAGATTCTGTTGACAAGCTCACTGCTCATTTTCTTAATAAGAGGGTCCTAATTTCAAACAATAGCAACTGTCAGGTTTTCAGTGAACAATGTAATTCCAGATGTGACAAGGAAACCCTCTTTGTAATCGGCCTCTGAGAGGCGTGGGCAGTTGGCTTGGGTATTGGACACAGATCATTTGATTATAGAGTTGTCATTTCTGAACTCTGTTGTTTGAGCTGGGTCAGTTGCTCCATTATGTACTTTGGTTTGCAGAATTTATCACGTCCTCTGCAGACATCTCCCCAGAATTAAAAAGCACCTGCAGAACCTTCTTTTGGAATTATAGGGTATCCATGTGGTGAAACCAACTAGGGGAGATAGAGCCAAGAAAGTAAGTTCTCCTCCCACCCAAAACTAAGTCACAGTTTTGAAATGTATCTCTGATTTTGAACATGATTTTCAATCTATATACAGAGAAATCTCTTTGAAAAGAACTTAGAACCTTTGACTGCTCAATGTTTGCTCTTTGGAGACAAAATAGTGCAGCATGAGATTTTCAGAGGCAGGAGTAGCAAGTACACAGGCCACAGACATCTGTCCTATTCCTTTTGTGCTTTCCTGGAACAGCTGCCATTTGTTGGACACTTTCTATGTGCCAGGAACTGTGCTAAGTGTTCAGAAGTATCTTTGTTTAATCCACCATTGACTTTTGAGGTAAATCCAGGAGAAAGATGTGGTTCAGAGATGTTAAGTAAGTAGCCCAAGGCCACAGAGTAGTAGAGATAAATGAAAGAATTAAGGCTCAATCTTATATCTGGGCAATGCCAAAAGGATCTTAGCCACTTCAAATCTCTGTGATAGGTTGTACTGTCTAATCTGCTCCCTGACTGTGGTTAGTCATACGAGGATTCCTTTTTAAGAGTCTTTAGAGTGTTTGCTTAAAAAATTATAATGTCATTCTGGACTTAAATATTTTCTGCCTTTTTCAGTCTTTTAGAACCAAATGGCAAATTCTAGGACAACCATCTTCCTATTTAAAATCGATGACCCATTTCTATTTTAAGCATTAGGAGACTAATTTCTATGATTAAGTTAATGACCACATTGGAAGTGAGAAACTATCTTTTCAATTTCTGGAGTTTGCTCATCTGTTCCAAAAGATGTGTTTAAACTGACAAATGTCCAGATATGCCAGTTGACTGGACCCATTTTTCAACTCTAGAATATTAAGTTGTTGACTAGGCACTAGAAAAGAAGTCACGGGTACCTTCTTTTCTAGTACCCTCCTCGGCCCTCCATCAAAGCACATACCACGTGGCTGAATTTTCTGCTTAGATGATGCACTTGCGTTTGTCTTTGTGTCCCTGGTGCCTAACACACCCTCGGGCAAAAAGTAGGCATTCAACAAATGTTTGTCAAATTAATAACTGAGTAACTTAAAAGCTTAGTATTTCCCCTGTTTTATCTAAAGATAATCAGGCCACATATCTCAGTTTGCAGATTTTGAAAAGAGATGGCGTTTCTATGAAACTTAATGCGGTCTCCTCACATCCACCCACCCTTCTGCCCTATACAAATGTATGACTGTGCACCAATTTGCATTTTTTTAATCTTCGATTTCCCAACTCTTTGGTAATATTTTCCTGGTTCATTTTCATTTAAATGGTAATTTCCAGCTTTGTAAGGGGAAAGCATTTCCTAGGCATTCAATTTGCATCGGTCCGCAAGACTCAGTATATACAAATGCCAAGTTGTATCAACATCTGCAAATTGGACCTGTCTTGCATTTTAGTAGCTTATGTCTCCTACAAGTCAAAGACTTCTTTAAAACTTGCTAAATGTTTTTTCTTTTTGATTTAGAAGAAAAGGGGGGAAAACCTGTCTCTTTGTTTGCAAACAAGTAACATGTGGAGCAAAAACTATGAAATTAATGTCTCTTGATGTGCAGCCAAATCTGAACAAAACATAAACTTTGAGTAATTAGCCTGTATGTGTTTGTGTGCATGTGCATGCCTCTACCTCAGTCTGGAACTGTTTGTGGTATATGTAAGCCTTCTGCCCTGATGACATCATTATTTAAATTAGTGACCACATGATTCCTTGAATTAAACAAAAATCTATTTCAAATATTTCAAGTTTGTAGTATTCTATCAAAGTTGGTCTTAATAGCTACTTCTAGGACTAATTATTCACTTTAGAGTGTGGTGTTACATAAGTTTGCCTTGACTACGTGTATCAGGGAAGCTTTAAAATTAAGTTGAATAACTGTTGTTCTGCCTGAAAGGATTGTTTAATGACAAAAAAAACCCACAACCTAGTCCCTTCTTTCACCAAGTAAAATAATATGGTGCAGTGGGCCTTTCCACAACAGATTCTTGTTCAGACAGAACTATTACCTGTTTAATAAAGTTTTGGCCTTTGATATGAAACCTTAGGAAGTTCTGTAGAGCATGGTTGAGTTTTCAGAAAGGCACATACATCCCCCAGTGCCATTGTACCACCACATTTAAAGAAATAAAATCATCCGCCTTAGATAGTGAGCTCTTAGGGATCAGGAGCTGTGTTACTGCTTTCACAGGTTAAGTGCTGAGAAAGATGGGCCAGCCCAGAGATAGCAATTGAGTGATAGTTGTGTGCAGTTCAAAAACCCAACTGCATTTTCATTAGGAACAAGGAGAAGATAACATGCAGATTTTATTTTATTTCAAGGAGAGCAAAACAACACTATTGTACTGAAAATGAAACATTAATTTTCATCCATTTTTGCTTGTGTAATAAGATGGCCTAGGAACAAAATGAGAAAACCGTAAACATTTAAGATAGGAACTAGGCATTCAAGGCAAGTTTAACCTATATTTTCACTAAAATCTAATTTAATAGTGATTTAGAATAAAGGCTGCATTTTGTTAAGTTTTATTTTCTTGCATAAAATACCAGTAGATAAAGAAATGCTGTTCATGTAGAAAAATACACTTATAAAATAATAGATACTTTTTTTTTTTTGGTTAGGATATACAGTTTTAATTGGATTTAAAGCATTTTTATGAGTCTTTCTCTTTTTGCCTAACTCAGTTGTTGAAAACACCCAGGCTCTTCAAGAATATGCTCTTCTTGCCCTAAATGTTCTTTTATTTTTCAGAACTGCCTGCTGGTTGGGAAAAGATTGAAGACCCTGTCTATGGTATCTACTATGTAGAGTAAGTGCCCATTCACAATCCACACATTAGTTTATACCTCTCTATAATTATGTACATTTGTGTTAAGTACAGCCTGACATCATTATAAGGCACAAACCAATTAACAATATTAATTTTATGATGAAAATATGTATGCATATATTAATGAATGAGAAAATATTCAATAAATCTGAAAATAGCAAATCATATTATTAAATTCACATGGGCAGGATCCATGTCTTTTGTTCACCACTGCATCACAAAGGCCCAACATCGTCCTGGTATATGGCAGGTACTTAATGAGTATTAGTTGAATGAATGAATGAATGAGAAAAGCCAGGATTCAGTAGACCAGATGAAGAGGGATTGTTTATCTTTACAAGGAGTATCTGATTCGTCTACTTTTTGCTCTACCCAGATCTGAACTCCTTAGCAATTACTTCTTTATTCATTCATACATTTCAAAAGGTTCAGCCACGGTAATTTATGAAATGTTGCCAGGATTGAGGAGAAAATGGAGAACTAGCCTAGGATGCAGACTTTGTGTGTTTCTTTGTTTCTCTCTTGCCTGAGGTTCTGGTTTCCCATTTTTAAAAGTCTAAAACCCTCGTGACTTTACTGTGTGCCTTATTCTAGCATTGGGCTCCCACTTTTTCCTTTCATCAAAACTGTTGATGGATAGGATGATATTAAAAGAAACCCAAAGGTTAGGACATTGAAAAAAAAAAAAAGCTTTGTATTATGTAGTTTCCTCAGAGAAAAATGAGAGGTAACTAATAAAAGTCCCTTCAAAAGAAGCAAATGCCATATAAATGTTGTAGAAACATAATCGTACCTGCCACACTGAAGATGTAACTGTCATATTTTCTTTCCTTTATGCTGCTGGTGATGAAAAGTCATTTGTATAATACCCTGGTGATATGAACACAAGATGAAAAAAGTGCCAGGCCATAAAATAGATGCCCAGCATCTTACTGTAGAAATTATGAGTTCAATATAGCAAGTGTCCTTGGCCAGTACTAACTTTTACCTCCACTTTGCCTAACAAGAGGGATTGGTAATATGGGGCATCAGAGAGGCAAACTTGGCTGCCCCTCTGACCCTCAGAAAATAAATTTCTTTTGTGTGCCCCAAAGATCATCTTTCTCACAGATGTACTGTGGGGTTTTTGCTATTTGAAGCTCATTTTGAATTGTCCCTCAACTAGTTTATGCATTAAGAGAGAGCAGGAACAGATGACAAAAGCTTTTATGGGTGAAGACACTAGTTTGAGGGGCAAGTTATTATCTTACCACACACTTCTCCATCTGTCTTTTCAGATTCATGTGCCTGTTAATGGTAGACCATTTCTTAGAATGAAATTGCTACAAGAATTAGGAAATAAACATGTAGGCCTTTAATAGAAATTAAGAGCAATCAGTCTATCCTTTCTATTGATAAACCTGCTTAAAAAAATAAAGCCTAGCTTTTTAAAAAACTTAGAGTTCTAAATAATCACAATACTATGCTCCTAAATTTCTAATAAACTATTATTTTGAATTAAGAAAAATAAGTTCAGGCATGGTGGCTCATGCCTGTAATCACAGCATTTGGGGAGACCAAAGCAGGTGGATCACTTGAGGTCAGGAGTTCGAGACCAGCCTGGCCTACATGGTGAAACGCCATTTCTACTGAAAATACAAAAATTAGCCGGGTATGGTGATGCACGCTTGAAATCCCAGCTACTCAGGAGGCTGAGGCAGGAGAATTGGTTGAACCTAGGAGGCAGAAGTTGCAGTGAGCCAAGATCGCACCACTGCACTCCAGCCTGGGTGACAGAGAGAGACTGTCTCAAAAAACAATAAATAATGTATATTTATACGTATATGCTTGTGTGTGTGTATATGTGTGTGTGTGTATATATATATACACACATATGTACCATATATATGTACATATATGTGTATACATATATATGTATACATATGTATATATGTATATGTATACATGTACACATATACATATGTATACATATATATGTGTATATATATAATTAGTTTTGTAGCCATCTAAGTGTTTGGATCTTTGTCATTTTGAGCACATCACATCTACTTAGGTTAACTTTATTTGGATTCTCTCTGCCTAAGGCCTGTACTTTTAATTGTGCCTCTATGTTTAGTGATCAAAATAGTTAACAGATGTGAGTGGAGTTCTTTGTTTAACTTCATTGTTTGGATGAATGCTTATGCTTCTGTGAACCCTACTGCAGACAGTTACACAGCAGTTCTGGCATTGTATGTTACAGACAATGTCACATAGCCACTTTAATCTTATGTCTCAATAATTCCTTAATCTACTTCTTATTGAATTAAAGCAGCTTCCCCTGTCAGGTGGTATCTTGGACATTTGGAGTGGGGTCAGTGGTTAAAATCCTGGGATTTGAAAGCAGGCAACCCTGAGCTTGCATGCCTGTTTCCTGCTTACTAGCTATATTATGCTAGATGAAGTATTTAACTGCCCAGACACTTACTTTCCTTATTCATAAGATATGAATAAAAATAGGACTTACCTCCTGGCATTTACTGAGGACTTTTAAATAAAATGCATATAAAACTGGTAGCCCAGTGCTTAGTGCATATAAGCAGTCAGTAATGGAAACTTCATTTTTATTTCCTCTTTCTAACTGAGCATTTTAACACACGAGGGTTAGCATCTCAGACCACCTGCTCTGCTCAGTTTGATTCCAGGGACTTGGTCTGATTGGCATTTTGCTGGTGGGATGAACTGTTTCAAGCTGAATACTATTTGCTATCTTCCCCAGCCACATCAACAGGAAGACACAATATGAGAACCCGGTTCTAGAAGCCAAACGGAAGAAGCAGCTTGAGCAGCAGCAGCAGCAGCAACAGCAGCAGCAACAGCAGCAGCAGCAGCAGCAGCAGCAGCAGACAGAAGGTTGGCCTCTTTCCTCTAGGCTTTTTCTTGATCAGGGGAGCATGGGGTGAAATCTGAGCGCTGACACCCTCGTGTGGTCAGAACTGGCCTCGATGATTGAGTCCTCTCTTGCCACACTGAAGAGCTGATGTCCTGTGGGGAGGAAGAGAACCCCCTCTCCATGTTCCTCTGGATGGCCAAAGTGGAGATCCTAATTCAAAGTCACTCAAATCTCCATTTTAATTTAGAAAGGAGCATCATTAGATCAGAGAACTTTCTGATGGGGGAGGAAATTTCTTGCCCCCGCAGTATTTGCATTGCAACTGGTAGCTAAATCCAAACCACTTTTAGCATTTTTACTTTAAGTGGAGTTACTGGGCATGAAACTAACTTTTAATTTTAGGAACATTACATGTAAAGAATCAGAAAGAGCTGGTAGTTTTGGGTGCTTTTAAAAATTACAGACTAATTCATGCTCTTTGTAAAAATATGGGCAATTCGGGAGTATAGAACATTAAATTCTCCCCTGGTTGCCCCCTTCCCATTCTCAGAGATAAGCCCTGTGCAGAAATTTTCTAGGGATATAGATATACGCATATTTTAACAAAAATCTGATAATAATTTATACGTATATAGTATGTATGTGAGACCTGTTTTCTCACTTTTTATTTCTTGCACATATTACTAAGTTGGCTAATATAGATTTAGCTTATACTTTTTAATGGTGACGTAATATTCCATTTCATGAATGCCTCTGCTTTATTTAGCCATTTGTTTATTACTAGATACTCTGGCTTTCCCCAGTTTTTCATTGTGATCTTTTAGAATCATAGGCTTAATACTCCCATCAATATAATATGTGAATATCAAATAGAATATCAAGTATAATGCTTCTGTTACTATAATATTGAATATAACAAATGTAAACCATAGACTACAGGTTGGCAAACTTTTTCTCTAAACAGCCAGATAATAAAGATTTTAGGCTTCGTGATTTAAACAGTCAATCTCTGTTAGAACTACTCACCTCAGCCATTGTAGTATGCAAATAGCTGTAGACATTATGTAAATGAATAGGTGTAGCTGTGTTCAAATAAAACTTTATGGGCACTGTAATTTCAACTTCATGTAATTTTCATATGTCACAAAGTATTCTCCTTTTTATTACTTTTCAACCATTTGAGAATAAAAGTTATTCTTGGCTCACAGGCTGTATCCAAACAGGAATTGGCCCCAGTTTGGCTAGTGGGCCATAGTTTGCCAACCACTGCCCTGGACTGTACAATTTAGAGAGAGTAGGTATGTATGTCTGTGTACATTCACCCATTGAAATGTTATCTACCTTAGTCTCTTTTCTAGCTAAAAAGAACTCTTCTCATATACATTTAGTGGGTACAAGTGCAGCTTTTGACACATGGGTATATTAAGTGGTGGTGAAGTGTGGACTTTTAGTGTAACCATTACCCAAATAGTATACATTGTACCCATTAAGTAATTTATCATCCTTCATCCCCCTCCAACCCTTCCGAGTTGCCATGGTCTGTTATTCCACACTTCATGTCCGTAAGTACACATTATTTAGCTCCCACTCAGAAGTGAGAACATGTGGTGTTTCACTTTCTGTTTCTGAGTTGTTTCACTTAAGGTAATGGTCTCTAGTTCCATTCATGTTGCCGCAAAAGACATAATTTTATTCTCTTTTTTATGGCTGAACAGTATTCCATGGCATACATACCACATTTTCTTTATCCAGTTATCCACTGATGGACACTTAGGTTGATTCTGTATCTTTGCTGTTGTGAGTAGTGCTGCAGTAAACATACAAGTGTAGGTATCATTCTGATAGAATAATTTCTTTTTCTTCAGATACCCAGTAGTGGGACTGCTGGATTGTATGGTGGTTCTATAGAGGTTGCAGTAATTTACATTCTCATCGACAGTGTATAAGCATTCCCTTTTCTCTACATCCTTATCAACATCTGTTATTTTTTGTCTAAAAATTTTTTAATGTATCTTTCCTGAGCTGATGAAACTTGGTAGTGTTAGAAAGTGCAGTTTGCAAATGAGAATGTACAATTGAATATGTTAGCTGAGCTGGAAGTGATTCTGGGGTGCCATCTCAAGGGTCACTCACTGTGAGTTATGTCTGGCCTTCCAAGGTGAATAAGACTACAATTAGGACCCAGGAGTATTTGTAATAGGTCTCATTTGGATTCAGAGATAACAGAAGAGCACACCCTTAGCAAACTGCTGAAATCTACCTTCATCTTCCTCCCTACCTAAGACAAGCTGGCCTCAGCAGCCCAGCTCATGTCTGAATCAGATTAGAGAAATTTCTCCCTTATACAGCTGCCATTAGTTGACTGTATGTCTTTCCTGACATTTTTTAACTGACTTCACTTTGGACTTTCCAGCCAGAGAGAACTGGAGTTCTTATTCATTATATCGTAATATTTCTTTCCCAAAACGTCTTAGACAAGAAAAAAAAAAAAAAAGAGCTTCATAGAATGAGGTCAGATAACAACTTCTTTTTAATCTAAGCTATCTGCCCTTGGTTTATTGCCTTGAGTATTATTAATAATAAGGTGAATCATAAGTAACTCAATGAGCCATTTGAAGGAAAAATAGGAAACTTTCTTTTCTTTTTCATAGAATGGACAGAAGATCACTCAGCCCTTGTGCCTCCTGTTATTCCAAACCACCCTCCAAGCAATCCAGAGCCAGCCAGAGAAGTTCCACTTCAGGGTAAAGTACTTGTCTTTCTAATTGTGTCATGGTTTTAGCTCAAAATCTAATTTTTTTTAAGGTATTTTGAAAAGTGGAATCTCGTAACTCCCAAGTCATTCCTTTGATAGTGAAAACCATAAATAATGAAAACAATGATAAATGTATTGTTAGACTTGTCAAGAAAAATTAGGAATCTTCCTGAATAATTTTTTTCCAACTATTTGTAATATTTTAAAAATAAAGACTACTTGTTAAATGATCATTCAAACCAACGTTTCTCAATCTCAGCACCATTGCCATTTTGGGGTAAGTAATTCTTTGTTGTGTGGGTTTGTCCTGGGCATTGTGAGATGTCCCCTGGCCACTAGATGCCAGTAGCACACAGCCCACCTCTCATTGTGACAAGGAAATTGTCCCCAGACATTGCCAGATGTCTCTGGGGAGCAAACCCATCCCAGAGATAGGAATCACTGACTTAGAGACCACAGATATTTAATAGTATGTTAAAAAAGATAAATCTGAAACTCAGCATTAGATATTTCAAGAGTCTAGCCAACATATTAGGTTTTGTCTAAGACTTTCCTATAAATGAAAATGGTTTGATATTGTGTTTTCAGTTCTCATTCCCTATTCTTGCTGCAGTTTTGGTATTTATGCATGTTTACAACGTTTCAATAGGTCTTGTTTGTTTACATTCACACATAGGATGAGGCCTTTATAGAGGATTATTCTTGAAAATTGGAAGCTCCAGAACCTTGCAACTTTCAGGCCTCATTACTCTTAAATTATAGAAAATATTTGTGTTTAGTTTTCTTTTTCTTTTAAACAAGCATCATGTTTGACAGAGTTGGGGGATGTTTGTGGTACAGAAACAATAAAAATACTATAAAATTTGTCTTCCTTTCTATATTTTAAAAGATTTAATTGTGTTACATATAAAAAGATAAGTAGAATAATAATTCATTTCTTTAATTTTAATTCATTATAATTTTCATAAGAAAGAAATTGTTTCTCTGCTAGCTGACATTGTCACTAGATTAGAATTAGTATCAATTTATGTAAAATAATTTCTTCTGGCATGAATGCACTTTTTAATGGTGATAATGGCTTTAATAAAGATGGGATATAGTAGATAATAATGTTGATTAGTATCAACATGACTGTGGAGTCCTCAGTTTTGTGGGGTTTTTTGTAAACATAAAATTCCTTCTGTAGGCTCATGCCTTCTTACCTTCCCCTCTCTCACAGTAAGTTAGCCTCCTTTCAGTTCTTTTAACCAGCAAAACTGTGAACCGCTTCTGAGCCTTTGCAGAGGCTGTTCCTTCTGTTTGCAGTGGCTGTTCCTTCTGTTTGCAGTTGTCTTTTCCTCCTACTTCTTACTCTGCTAACTCCTGTTCACCTCAGGTCTTTGCTAGATTCCCCTACCATGTTTACTCTTAACCATCCTGTACTTCACATTTATGAAATTTAACCATTATAACTAGTGTTCATTTGTGTGCTATTATTTAACAATAGTTTCCTCATTAGACTTTAAATCCCATGGAGGCAAGAGACTATGATTCTCTGTTTTTTGTTTTTTCACTGTGAGATAATCCCAAACTAGGCATAATCCCTTGATATACATTTTCTGATGACATTATTATTGAGTGAAACAGTATCCATCCATCTTCCATCCATCCATCCATCCATCCATCCATCCATCCACATATACATATAGAATAGCCAACCAGACTTTCTTACATAATTATCTTAGAAATTAAATAAATTAAAGCTGTAAAGGTTCAGGTTCTGAGTGCCAAATGCTTAGTGCACCAACTAAGACTTGAGACGGTATTTGTCTGTATTAGACACTTCATCTCAGATTCTTACTTTTCTTTAACTCAGCCTTTTTTTCTTTTTCTTTTTTTCTCTTCTTCCTTATTTCCTTATATCTCTTCCTTCTTTCTTTAGTCATCTAATGATTGACTAAGACATCCACTGGTTCTTCATTCAGGCTGCTATAACAAGTTGCCATAGACTAGGTGGCTTAAACACCAAACATTTATCTATCAGTTCTGGAGACTGGGAAGTCAAAGATCAAAGTGCTGGCAGATCGAGTGTCCAATGAGGGTCCACTTCGTGGTTTATAGACGGCCATTTTCTCACTGTATCCTCATGTGGTGCAGAGTAGAGAGAGAAAGTACTAGTTCTCTTCCTCTTGTAAGAATTAGCCCATCATGTGGGCTCCACTCTCATGGTATAATCACCTCCCAAAGGCCCCACTTCCAAATACCATTCAATAGTGTCTGAAGGTTCAGGCTCACTGAACTCTCCTTGAGATTGACTCGTTTATTCTTACCACCCTTCTACTGTGTAGTCTCTCTGTTGATCCACACGTTTCAAGCACTTTTATAATCTTTGGAATATAACTGATACCAAAGAAACCAGTTAAAATCCATACCATTTGGCTCCAAGCTGTGATTTCAATAAACATTAACCTAGACTTTAGCCTCATTGGTTATAACTCTGGGTTACCTGCCTACCGGTTAAGTGTCTTGATTAGCCATCTAGTGTCTAGTGTCTTGTATCTTGGGCAGTATCTAGTGTTGATAGACTGTCAGGAAGAAGCCATATAGCTAATTTGGTTAGATTGTTTGGTAGTAATTTTGCCAAGTTCACAGGCCAACTAAATTCTCCCCTGATCAAGAGTGTACTTCTAATCTTAGCAAGTGATAATTTGGAGATTTGCTCTTATGAAAACTCTCCAGCTTCAAGCTTATGCTTGGAGAGAGATTTTTGCAGCTACCCCTCCACCACACTCACTCTATCACCACCGCCATCAAAACAATAACTCACTTATTGAGCTCTTATTATGTGCCAGGTACCTTCCCAGGCACTTTACCTACATTATCTGCCATGGTTGTTTCTCACAACTATCATGTGAAATAGGTATCATCATTACCTCCATTTATACTTGTGATACTCAGGCAGAGAGGTTTAGTAACTTGCCCAAGGCCATATAGCCACTAAGTAGCAGAGCACAGATTTGAACACTATACATGAGGAATAGTTTAACTTCTGTTTGAAAGGTTTTTGGTTGTTTTAGTTTTTGTGGGATACCTCATTTGTGTAGTCTAAATCTATGCTGTTCGGTATGGAAGCCAATGGTTACATGTTGCCATTTAAATTTAAATGAATTACAGTTAAAAAATCAAAAAATTAAGTTTTTCTGTCTCACTAGCCATATTTCAAGGGCTCAGTGGCTACATGTGACTAGTGGCTGCCATATTGAACAGTGCAGGTGCAGAGCATTTCCATCATCACGGAAAGTGCCATTAGACGGTACTGGTCTAGGGTATTTAAACACTAGTGTCAAGAAGTGACATTTCTTTCCCCTCCCCCCATCCTGGCAGGGAAACATGCACCTAAGGTTCATTCAGGTGCAGAGTTTTGGGCCAAGACCCAGAACATCCTGATCAGTGAGTCTAAGGAAGGAAGTGAAAATGAGTACATTTTAAAAAGCTACCCAGGGGATTTTCCCTGGGTAAGACACAACCAAGTCTTACCGCTGGTGACTGGTAAACAGAGGTTAGGATCTTAGAAAATTACATGTACCACAGGGCTGCAGCTGAGAGCTCCAAATTCCACTGCTTATGGGGTGAAAAGCGTTTCTTTCCAAAAGCTACATTAACTAATGATCCACCCATACGTAAAAAATAATAAAATGTGCATAAATGTGAAACCCTCTGATTTTCCTTCCCTTGTTAAACATTGGAAAAGGAAGTCAGTCGTATAATTTCAAAGCTCTGCTCATGTCTTTATTAAGTTAACATTCTCAGCACAAAATATGCTAATGTATTTTTTTTTAAGTAGATAAACTGCCAGGCACATTTTCACGTTTTCTAACTTAGCCTATAATAAGAGTGAAAAGCTCCAACAACCAAACACCTCTTTTCAGCCTTCTCAAAGACATGATAAATATCATTTCTGTGTGCTTTTATTTGTTCATTCATTCTCTCACTCAACAGAAATTTTTGGAGCACATAAAATGTACCAGACAATATTCTAGATACTTGATATACGTATAAAAATCCTCATGGAGCTAACATTCTAGTGGTTTTATGTACCTGCATATCAATGCCACTCATGCATGGGAGTTGGGGATAGTAAGAAAACCAAAGCAATAAGTAAGATGTATATTCTTTTGGAAGGTGGTAAATGCTAAGGACAAAAATAAAGCAGGAAAAAGGGATTGGGAATGTTGGAGGTACTGCAATTTTTAGTAAGGTGGTTAGGGAAGGTCTTGCTGCGAAGGTAATGGCTGTTGATGTCTCTGCATAACTGAAATGTGTTTCCCTTCAGGGCCCTGGAATGCCCTAGCAGCACCTGCTACAAGAGTGTAGGCCAGTCACCCTCCTCCCCCTAAAGTAAACTTTGGGGGTTATCTTACCTCACCTCAATTTCCATCTGATAATTGTCTTGGCAGCTGTCTCCCCAAAGCTCTTGGTGCAAGTGACACCACCCTCCCAACGCCTTGGCAGATGACTTTGCGTGGCGAATCCTTGTAAGTCTTGCCTTTCTTTAGCCACTATGACAGGGCTGTAGTTTGTCAACCTTCCAATAAGCTTTGGGACTGCGCTAGAGAGCAGGTTAGCGAAAGGACCTCTGATTGCAGGCAATTTAAAAGAGCCTTCTTTGCAAGAGCCAGAAACTTTTAAAATATGCAATTAAAAATTGTATGCATGCCCAGAGACCTTTTAAACTCTTTTAGATATAACTAACCAAAAATAACTTTCTTTCCTAGGTGCCAGGCTCCTAGTACAGGGGTGTAGGGGACTAATGTCTCCCTCTTTCTCTCTCTCTTTTTGTTTTGGATAACATTTTTGATAGAAAAGAAACAGGGCAGATGGAGAAGCTGTGTGTGGCAAGGACAGGGTATAAGAAGTAAGTAAAGTTAGAAGAGATGAAAGAAGCTGCTCATGAAATTAGGTCTACTACTTGGGATAATCAGAGAAGTTCCAGTAAGTTTCTCAATTACAGAGAAGTGCCTAGTAAAACCCAAAAGAAAACGTTTTGGTTTATGTTCAAAATGTTATTTGTGAATGTATCAAGAAAACTCAATAAAACCTTAGGTAGCATGTTTGGAAATAATTTAGCGATACCTCTATCTGTAAATTTATTTTATTTTTATTATTTTTTTGAGACAGAGTTTTGCTCTTGTTGCCCAGGCTGGAGTGCAATGGCGCAATCTCAGCTCACTGCAACCTCTACCTCCTGGATTCAAGTGATTGTCCTGCCTCAGCCTCCCAAGTAGCTGGGATTACAGGCATCCACCACCTCATCTGGCTAATTTTTGTATTTTTTTTTTTTAGTAGAGACAGGATTTCACTATGTTGGCCAGGTTGGTTTTGAACTCCTGACCTCAGTGCTCCACCTGACTCAGCCTCCCAAAGTGCTAGGATTACAGGCATGAGCCACCACACCCCCAGCCTAATTTATTTTAAATAAGACAGCTGAATTTGGAGCTGTGTGGCTACTGTTAGTAACTACTTAGTTTAGGGATTTTGTGTGTGTGTGTTGTGGGGGGGGTTTCTTTGTTTGTTTTTTTGGTTTGTGTTTTTTAAACAAATATCCTAAACTTGTTTTAAACAGTAATTCTTAGCCCTAGGCATGCGTTGGCTATATCACAAATTTAATAAAAGATCAGATAAATAGGAAAAAATCAGTTGAATTTAGAATTCAATTCAAAGTAATGACCCTTAATTTTGAAAATAGTCATTCTACATTTTTGTCAAATTATTATTTGTGACTATAATATGTTTTCTGGTATTATCTGTGCATTTTCAGCCTGGATTTTCCGTTTGATTAGTTCTGTTGGTTTTTCAAGTGGAAGCCAGGCCCAAAGCAGCACATCAGAAGCCATATAGCAAAATAAAATTAAAACAAAACAAAAGACATAAAACAGACCAGTTCCATTTTCTGTGAAGGGGTTTGTGGCAGCTCAATTCCTGTCAAAGTGCATGAATGGAAACCAAGAAGTGTGTCACCTGACAGGGACTAGTTTCATCCCTCTCTTGTAGTTTCTTTTGGACCCTGGAGTTGACATACTCAATGCTTTACCTCCCTCCATCAACACTGGGGCCTAGGAACATCCTTATTCCTCAAATTAAGAGAGGACTTTCTTAAGATGCTATATGCCCAAAGGCTCTAGGGCATAAGCGTGAAGAATTATCTATATGTTGTCTCAAATCTTGTTTAATTCTCCTTTTCACCAGTGGTGACATTCCTTATGCGTTTCTTATTTTAATCCAGGCAAACCCTTTTTTACACGAAACCCTTCTGAGTTGAAAGGCAAGTTCATTCACACAAAGCTGCGGAAAAGCAGTCGTGGCTTTGGCTTCACGGTGGTTGGAGGGGATGAACCTGATGAGTTTCTCCAGATCAAGAGCTTGGTCCTAGATGGTCCTGCTGCATTGGATGGCAAGATGGAAACAGGTAGCGTCAACATGGCCTTAGTGTGTTCTGTGTGGTGAGACTCCAATCCAGGAGATAAACATGTGCAATCATGATGTTGTTTGTTTGAGCAAGACCAAGCAACGTCATGATTGCACATGTTTACAGCTTTAAACACCTTGAGAATGAGCCAGGTCTCCACATTACATAAATTCATCCCTTGGGACAGATTAAAACCTGTGAAGTCATTTTAAGTTTGGGAAACTGTTTGAGTACAGTAAAGCAATGAGTTACTAAAACTGTAGATCCCCATTTAAATAAATGAATTCTAAACTTGGATTTCTGCAGTGAGATTTTTTTTTAGGAGAAAGCTCCAATGTTCTGTGAGTGATTATTACATTCTCATTAGCAGGGAAGACACTAGGTGCTGAAAGAACACTTTATTAGCTGTTAAAATCAGTAATAGAAGCACTTTATACCCTATAGTATCACACCCACATGCAGTTTCAGTTCAGCTTTATGTTAGTGGGAGATATTATAATACTGATGACAATTTTCTGGGTGCTGTTTTCTTAACCCCCACACTCTTGCCTTCTACAGGGGATGTGATTGTAAGTGTGAATGACACCTGTGTTTTGGGACACACACATGCTCAAGTTGTGAAGATCTTCCAGTCCATCCCCATTGGTGCCAGCGTGGACCTTGAACTCTGCCGAGGTTATCCATTGCCTTTTGATCCAGATGACCCCAATACAAGTTTAGTGACCTCGGTAGCCATTTTGGATAAAGAACCAATTATTGTGAATGGGCAAGAGACCTATGATTCACCAGCTAGCCACAGTAGTAAAACAGGCAAAGTCAATGGCATGAAGGATGCCAGGCCAAGCAGCCCAGCGGACGTGGCTTCAAATAGTTCTCATGGTTATCCTAATGACACTGTTTCTTTGGCTTCCTCCATAGCCACTCAGCCAGAACTCATAACTGTTCATATTGTCAAAGGGCCAATGGGCTTTGGTTTTACTATCGCAGACAGTCCTGGTGGGGGTGGCCAAAGAGTGAAACAGATTGTTGACAGCCCAAGGTGCCGAGGCCTGAAAGAAGGGGATCTCATAGTGGAAGTTAATAAGAAGAACGTGCAGGCCCTAACTCACAACCAAGTGGTGGATATGCTGGTTGAGTGTCCTAAGGGAAGTGAGGTCACATTGTTGGTGCAACGAGGAGGTAAGTAGGGTTGTTTTGTTCTTTGAATTTTTTTTTTATCCCAAATTCATTGCTTAACTTACTCATCTTCAGATGACCACTGGGGGCTTTTTAAATTTATTTAAATGTTTCAAAATGCCTACTGATTTCTCCAAATACTAACCTCTTTAGCATAAAAATTGTGGTTTATACATTATGACAGACATATGCAGTTAGAATGATACCTTAAAACAGAAATCAGATTTTGCCTTTTTAAAATGTTAAGATTTAAAAACCTAAGTTGGGTGTGGTGGTACCCACCTGTAGTCCTGGCTGCTTGAGAGGCTGAGGCAGGAAGATCACTTGAGCCCAGGCATTTGAGTCCAGACTGGGCAACATATTGAGACCCCATTCTCTAAAAAGTTTTTTTATATATATATAAAAAATAATAACCTTTATCCTTTAAATCTCCTGAACTTGGCCTGCATAGCCTGCAAAATGTGGCTATGGTCACTCCAAACTTGTCTCATGTTCCTCTCCTCCATCTGATGGTGCTTTAGCCACACTGGCTGCTTTTATGGAGCTCCTTTAATGCTTCAAGCCTTTTCTTGCCTCAGGCCCTTTGTATTTACTGTCCGTTCTGCCTGGAATGGTCCTTTCCCAGCTCTTCCCAGCTGGCTCAGTCCCATTCAGGTCTCCTTATGAGAGAGGGCTTCTCCCATCACTTTATCTAAAGTAGCTCCCAACACTTCCATATAATCTTTATCACAGTTTTTCATAACCTTGATCATCATCACCTTTTTAGCACAAGACGTTATTTCATGCTTTTATTTATTTTTCATTATTTGTCTTTCATTAGAATATAAAGCTCCATAAAGCCAGGGCCCATGTGTGCATGTGGACAGCTGTTATCCCCAGCATTTAACACAACACCTGACTCCTTTTAGGTATTTATGAATGAATAGGTATTAAGTGAATAGGTATGTGATTATTTCTATTTGGCAGAAACAAGAGGTCTGCTAATCATATTAAACACTTCCCTCCACATGCTCGCGTTTAGTAGTTTAGGATCTCAGAGATCTGGGTTATTCTAAATCTCGAGGCATTAAGCTTCCTCCTTTCTCCTTGAGTCCGTATCCCACCCTCTGCCTCACCAGAAAACACAGGACGTCACACTGAGCAATACTTTCCACCATATTGAAGTGTCTTGCTCCTGGAATATATACTTATATGTGATTAGTCGTGACTGATAGTTTTACACAGTGGGCCTGAGAATGGCTGTTTCCCTGATCCTTGCTACCATGATTTGTTTCATGAACAACATATTCAGGCCTTTTGAAAAGAGATCAAGAACCAGACTTTGACTTCCTTTTGGTTTGTTGCAACAGGAGAGCTCATTTGTGTCACAGCAGCCAGATTCTCATGTTTTCATGAACCTGTGTGTTCTGCGATCAGAATGGCTGGGGTCATTTGAAGGAAACCCAAAATACAGAGTAGCTGTCTATGTGAATTGAAATGCTCAATGAGCCTGGCTTAGGCAGTTATAAAAGGCATTGTGCAAATTTTATTTTTTTTAAAATGTCATTTCCACCAACTAATTTTCAAGTCTCTTCTTGTACCTAGATCACTTGACTGCTCAGAGAACTGGTTTTAAACAGTAGCCAAGATGTATGTAGTAGGAAATGACTTGGGTATAAGAACGATTATGACAATAATGATGATGGTGATGATGAAACCTGGCACTTATAGAAGAATCAGTGATACACAAAGCACTTTCATACCTGCACGTGCCTCTCCACTGATATTTGTCACTTCCCTGTGAGGTAGGAAGGTGCCACCCCACAGTAGTTCTGAGCTGTTCACCCTGGCTCTGTGGTTTCCAGTCCAATGTTCTGCCCTACTTAACTGAATAACACTGATTTTTGTATAGTTGCTTAATACTGAGGCTGACAGCCTGGAAACTTTCAAATAATTCTTGGTACATCAGGTGCACCTCTGATTCAGCCACTGCTCATTTGACAGACACAAACCACCTTGTTCTCCTAACTCATCTATCCTCTTTCTCATTTCTGTTATTGATGTGGTTTATTATCCCATTAGATTCACTTCTAAGGAGACCAAACATAAAGTTTCATTATAGCCAACTAACTTACACATGTATTAGAACCATATTGTAATGAATTCGCCTAAGCCAGCAAACAACTGATTATAGAAACGTACTCCTTGATTTTATTTTTTATTTTTATTTTTGAGACAGGGTCTCACTTTGTCACCCAGGCTGGAGTGCAGTGGTGCCATCTCAGCTCACTGCAGCCTCAACCTCCTAGTTTCAAGCGATCTTCCTGCCTTAGCCCCCCAAGTAGCTGAGACTATAGGTGCATGCCACCACTCCCGGCTGATTTTTGTATTTTCAGTAGAAATGATTTCTCCATGTTACCCATGCTGGTCTCGAACTCCCGCGCTCAAGGGATCCACCTGCCTCGGCCTCCCGAAGTGCTAGGATTACAGGCATGAGCCACCACACCTGACTATACTCCTTGATTTTAAATATGTTTGCATTCTCTCTTCTTAATTCCCAATGCCATCTTCTCATTAATGGTGTTACATTTTATAACATTTATATGAAAAATCCGGAATATATTGCCATATTCATCAACATCTACATGGTTTATTTCAGAACATGAGTAATTTAAAATCACTGTGACATCAGCAGTCTTTAAAATACACCATATGTCTTGTGTATGATTTATGTATAGGATAGAAAGTTTGTACATCTGCAGTTGGCAGGCTAGCACTAGATACTATTAATCTTTCTGGAAGGCATATAAATATATCTGTTTCTGCCATACATTAGTTGCTTGAATCAGGGCTGACATTTAATCATCTCTTCTGTATAGTGGGGATGTAATGAGAAGGCTTGATGAAGGTGCTTCAAGACAACAGCTAGGTTCAATGAGAAAGTAAATGCCCACTTTACCGATTCTTTCTAATGAATCTAGTTTATTTTGTAACTGCTAGTAAGATGACTGATAAACTCATCTACACTGTTCCATGAGTCTCAGGAATTCCTGTCGTGAGGTTGTGGCTTTCTATGCTTTAAAGAACGGGCCATTTTTACTTTGGGACAGAACTGGCTGCTATGTTTGTAGCACCCATTTTAATTCCTCATCTCTAGAGCTCGTTTTTGACATTTGTTCTTGTCAAGATCTAATACATTTCATTTTTAGTAGTTTTAGTCCATCCCCCTTCCCTCATCTGGAAATCGAGCTGAAGGTTGAAATATCATTTGTAAATGTCCAGGGTCAGACAGTTTCCTGAGTCAGGCTTAGAGCTGCTGTGCAGTGTTCATCCATACTCCCAAGTAGCCGGGACCAGTCCTGATTTGCTTACAAATCTCCTCTTCATCAACATCTCCCTGCTTGCCAGTCGATCACTCAGGTTTTTAAAGGGCAGTTCTTCTCTGTGTCTGGCTCCCCTCTTCCAATTGTGTGTCCTTACTCCTTCTCCCTCTGCTGTCCAGTCAGGAAAGTGCTTTTTACCCTTCTATTTTGAACATAGCATCTGCATTCAGAAATCCTGTCACCTGACATCAGTGTGCATCTAGAGACTTCTTTGAAGTGTTTGGAAAATCAAACTAGTTTGTGGATTTTTATTTTTAATTTGTAAAAGCTATCGAACTTGTCCCATAAGGATTTTTTACTTTTTTTAAAAAAGGCTCATGTAGATAGCGTAACTACCTGTGCCCCTCTGTGTCAAATATTTTGGATATTCGGCAAATTCACACCTATCAGTAGGTGTGACACTCTTTAAAATGTAATTTCATGTTGAGTCACAACACTCCGTTTCAAGAAAAGATTTGGCAGCACTGTATGCAAGTGAAGATCCTATGTTTTACTTTTGAGAGAAGGCATGTATTAAAAAGAAAACTGAACTTGGGATACCAGGAGCTGACCTTGAGTACAAACTCTGCCCGTAAGCTTCTGCATATGCTTCAGAAGGGTACTACTTCTACCCTGACACTTATTTTTTTAATCTAAAAGATGAATGTTTTGAGCTAGAGAATCTTTCAGGCACTCCATTCTGGCTCAAATTTTATGCAAGGGATGACCTTATTGTTGTATAGAGGAAAGACCACAGGACTGTGGAGACAGAGGATGCAAGTTTAAATCCTGGCTTCTGCTCTACTTGCATTGTGACTTTAGGCAAGTCACTTGCCTTCTCTGAGCTTAGTTAGACTTCTGAAAAAAATGGGCATGATGTACATAGATTAAATAAGGTAGCATTTGTGCCAATTCCTGACGTAGTAGTCATCACATGATAAAGCAATAGTGGCAATTGGGTGGGGAAGCATTAATATTTTATTTTTTATAAAAAGTTCTAGCTGGGCCGTACAGATTGTATGATGTTTAGGCATGTGTGTTTTTTTTTGTTTTTTTTTTTTTTTTTTTTTTTTAGAAGTTCTACTGGTAGGTTTTTTTTTTCTTCTTCTCTTGATACAGGGTCCTGCTCTTTTGCCCAGGCTGGAGTGCATGATCATGGCCCATCACAACCTCAAACTCCTGGGCTTAAATGAACCTCCTGCCTTAGCCTCCTGAATAGCTAGGACTACAGGCATGTGCCATCTTGTGAGGCTAATCTCTTTTAAAAAATTGTTTTGTAGAGACAGGGTCTCACTGTGTTGCCCAGGTACCACTGGTGATTCTGATATACAACCAGAGTTGCAAAAAATGTTAGGCTTCTGCCTCTACGGTCCCTTCTAGTTTTGATTCTTTGACCTATAAGTTGGATGAAAATAAGTTTATAAAGCTTATTTTAATATTTTCGTTTCTGAGTAATGTTCAACTTTTAAAGTCTGTTTTGTAAGTGACAGACTTTTCAGTCTTCCCTAAGGTCCATTTCAGCTCCCACATTCTACATTTTTCTACTTCCAAGGAGAATAGAAAGGGGACTTGCTATTGGAGATGCTCATTTAGAGTGCCATCTCCCACTGGCTTTTGCTGATCACAACAGTAATGGAAGTGAAATTGTCCTTTCTAGTTTGCACAGACCATATACTGAATACTTTGGTCAGGCCGCTAAATAATTTCAGGGTCTGATTATACATTCATGAAATGTTAAAATTCCTAGAGAGCAGTAATGTGTTTGACTCTTACTCTTGTGTCTCTGGCACTTCCTGGGGAACCTGGCAAGTGATAAGGTCTCAGTAAGTCATAGCTGAATAAATTAAACTTGATCCACCAGTCACAATGGAAGATTAATCCTCTAGCTTTATAAGCACACTTTGTAACTCTAGAAAAATGATAATGAGAGTTAAAAGGCAAAACTTAGATAAGAAAATGGTGGTGGTGATGGTAATGATAATGTCACTACTGTCATTTCCTGAGTACTTACTATGTTCAAGCTGTGTTACCATGATACATGCAATACACATACATACATTCATGCACACACACATGCCCAAGAAGGTAAATAAAACCTTTCAAGACTTCATTGTTGCAACCACATTGAAACTGCCACCAATTTGCAATGTGATGATGGGTTGGATCCTTGTGAAATGAAGGCAGTGATTGTTAGCTTCTATGCTAGGACAAAATACAAGAAGGAGTTGTTTTTGTTTTCCCACAGCTTAATTTGGTATAAATTAGTATAAAGCAAAGGAGAAAATTCTGTTTTAGTTGGGAAAACCTGCATAAGATTTGGAATGAAAACAATAAATGCTTCTACAGTGTGCCAGGCATGCTTCTAGACATTTTACATATCATAATTCATAAGAGTCCTCTGAAGTAAATACAGTCTTAGCTCCATTTTGGAGAAGAGGAAGCTGAGGCCCAGGGAGTTTCTGTGGTTTACCCAAATTAGCTGGTTAGTGGCAAAGCTAGGATTGGAACCTAGGAAGACTGGCTCCAGACAGTGCTTAAACACTCTGCCCAAAAGCCTCCTGCCTTACAGGCAAGAAATTGCTCCAGTACCATAATTATTGAAGACTATATCTTATGCATAAAGAAATGAGTAAAGCCTGAAGTCTGTGGGCAAAGTAATGCCTCTTAATTCTCATCAAAATTTACTGATGATATTTAGTTCATTAAATCGTCATTGATCCAAACAGAGAAAGCAGTATCTAATCTCGTTAGCTAAGTGCATCATTAGCATTAGCTCTTCTCTGTGTGTGTGTGTGTGCGCGTGTGTGCACGCACGTGTGTTTTTCTGAAATGATACAAAACCATCATAATTAGAACCACGGTAAGCCATGCACAGAGAGTTAAACCCAAGTGATCAGGCACTTCTCCTCTTTGCCCTCTGGTCTTGGACCAGAGAATGAATTGTACATTGTACTGCTTAAGTGCTTGACTGCCACAATGTCTCAGATTGAGCTGTAGGGCCCCAGAAAGGGGAATTCAGGTTGTGTATAGAGTGATATCTTAATAATGTTGGGGTCCTATATGTTCCCATCAGCAAATACTGCCAGTTCTCCCTTCTCAGTGTACTCAAACTTGGTTTACATCTCACCCCATCCCTGGCCTTTACCACCCATTGTAGGGCACCTGGCCTTGCAGTGGCCTCGCAACAGGTCTCAGTGCTTCCTCCAGTCTGCCCTCCAGCTACAGTGCTTTAAAGTACATCAGATCAAGGCAGTTCCTCATGTCAGAATAGCTTCCCATCATTAAGCGTGAACTCCAAAGTCCTGTGTCAGGGCCCTAGCACTTACATCTCCTTCTGTCTGTATTTTTCTTCTCCCAGGTAGCCACAGGACCTCCTCACTCACATCTTTCAGGCCTCGGCTCGGAGGTTATTTCATCCCCTTTCATCTGAGGAGTCTGCCGTGACCATTCCTCATAAATCAAGCAGCATCTCCCACGATCACTGTCTGTTCTCGTGATCTTTCTTATGTACTATACCTACCTGTGATCCCCCTCAGATAAGGGACTTGGTTGCAATCACTACTTTATCCCTGCTGCCTAAAATGGTGCCTAGTCCATTATAGGTATTCAGAAAATCATCTGCATTGAATGAAAAGATGAGTTAATGCAGGACCCTTTGATTTCATAAGTGCTAATCCTGAGAGAACTTTCTGAGGTTGTGAGCATTATAATAGACTGACCACCCCCCAGTCACACAGCTAAAAAGTGACAGATCCTGACTCTGAACCCGGGTCTGTTTGTTTGCCATAGCTGTGTGCTCTGTTCACAGGCTGCCCTAAACAGCTAGTAGATGCATTGTTCATTGTGTCCATAGGCCAAGATGTGGGAGCTTCATGTCAGTGAATCATGTTGGTTCCAAAGCCTGTTCTCCAGCATCTTGTCAAGTAGCCACTATCTCATGATTAAAATTATGTAAGATTTAAATTTCAGTTTCTCAGTCCATCTGTCCGCACTTCAAGAGCTCCATAGCCACATGTGGCGAGTGGCTACGATATAGGACAGTGTAGACAGAGAACATTTCCACCATTGCAGGAAGTACTGTTACGCAGCACAGTTCTAGAGATTTTAATTATTGCACCCTCAGAAGTGAGAAGCTGGATATCCTTTATTTTACCCTTTCTTTTGTTTTTATACATTTGAATAGAAGAAAAATATGAAATTGAAGGCACGTGCATAGTTAATGGATTTATTTTTATGCAGAGAGTGATAAACATAGGTCCTGTTTATTACATCATTTCCATGTTTAGTAACTGCTCTGAGTTCTTTATATGTGTTAACTGGATGTTAGGGGATGCAAGGAATTCACACTCAGAGGATTTAAGACTTGTAAAGTATAAGTGCTTGGGGGCAATCTCCACTTTCTCAATCCTGGCATGGTGTCATCAAGTTTATAAGCGGGTTACAGGACCTCCACCTGGCTGGGAAGCATCTCAGCTTTTATACTAGACTGATGTTATTTAAGGAGCTTAAATTAAATTATTTCATTAAAGTACCTTTAATCTAAAAAATGGAAGAAACCTCAAAACACGAGAAAAACTCAACTAAAATTTTTATATATCAAATATGTATAATCTGCCATATGAGCTATCAGCAAGTTACAATTTGTCAGAAGTCTGTTTTAAAGGGGAGACTTTGAAGTCTCCTTGGTGTATTTATCTGATTCATTGATTCAGTATCTCAAACTCATTGACCTCACTCACCACTATCTGTGGTGCTTGTATTTTCTAATAATTTTGTAAGTTGAGTCCTCTTGTCACATCCAACGTGCTGCCTAACATCTTCTAGCTGTTAAAAGTTGTTCAAGTTAAAATTAGCAAATTTTCTAGCACTTCCACCATGCTAAACAGGATGGCATTCCAATTTGGTATTAAAGGAGCCTTCTGGCCTTTATTCATAATGCAGTTTTAAGTTGCTATTTTGATTTATTGCCATGGTTTAAAGTTATCAGGGATTTTATTTGAGAATTCTTTGTAGAGTGACAGGTCACATTTATATTTGAGATGACTTACAGCAAGAGATGAGATAAATATAAAAATGTTTCTATTTTGATTCTGTCTTTCATTATATAATGCTTAAAAATTATTCCTCACTTTCACATCTTAAGGAATTCTGGTTTCTTTACGGATTTTTGATCTCATGGTTTTTAAACTTAAGCAAGCTTTACTTATTTAACATTTGTATGCAACTCAGACTTTATTGGATGATTTGAGTTTTATTTCTGTTATATTCACAATGCAAAGTGGTTGGCACACCTAAAACTTTTACTTTTGTTCTACAAAGCAATGTCTCATTCTCCTTGAAGGTAAACTTAATGCATTGAGTTACTTACTTATATGCATTATTTATTACAAATGTGTTCGTGTGTGATTTATAGTTCTCATTAAGGTGTGGTGTCATCCCTTCCCCTTTCTGGAAGAGTGGTAGAATTTCATTCCCTTGGCTGGCAGGCTGTAGAATTATTGTTCTGTGCTTTTATTTAAGTGTGGAATTTGAATATAAAGAAGTTGCTTTGTTGTCTCTTTTTGGGGGACAAATTCATTAACATCACGTGCCTGTCATCGTCTAGGCACTGGGAATAGAGCAGCGTCATCTGCAAATGAAACAAACAGGCTCCTGATTTCATGAGGCATTTATTCTAGGGGAAGGGGAGAAAGGGCAAAAATAAACAAATGAACAAAATCATGCCAGCCAAAGAAAAGTGCTGTGAAGCAAATCAGAGCAGGTAAAGTGAACAGGTGTGGCAGGCCTGGCAGTGAGGGGGCTCTTGTAGATTAGAGGTGAAACTTGAGTGACCACAGAGAAGGAAACGGTATTCCAGCAGGAAGGGACAGTTAGTGCAAAGACCCTAAGAAAGAATTGGAACAGAGACCTGTGTGCCTGGAGAAAGGGGAGCAGGGGATGGGGATGGCTGAAGTCAGAGACTGGAGGCCAGGACCTGGAGTTCGAATTCCATTTGCAGTGTGAGGTCCAGATTCACACGGTGAAGGGACAGGCTCTCAGTAACGTGTTCAGATAGTCCCTGTGGCATATATATGAAGAATGTATTTTAGGGGAACAGGAGGGGAAGGGGAGACCTGTGAGGGCTTTTGCAGTAGTTCAAGCAAGAGTGTTAGCAACTTGGACTGTAGGGCAGACAGAGGATCACGGCAGTGGGGGACTTGGGACACCTAAAGAATAGTCAGCAGGACTCCACAGGTTGACTGTAAAGTGGGGGGACACACTTTTTCTATAAAGAGACAAAGGGTAGACATGTTAGGCTTTGTGGGCCCTACAGTCTCTGTCCCCACTACTCTACTCTGCCCTTGTAGCAGGCGATATGTAAAGGAACGGGTTGGTTGTGTTCCAAGAAAACTGTATGTGTCCCATGGGCTGTATTTGCTGACCCCAACTGAAGGAAAGGAAAAGGGAGGGAGCCAAAATGACCCCAGAATTTTTGACCTGGGAGGAATCTTTGCTGAGATGTGGATCCTAGGGTAGAAACAGGTAGGACTTGAGCTGTAAAATCAAGGGTTTCTTCTCACACTTGTTAATTGTGAAAGCCCATTTGACATCCAAATGAAACAGAAATGTAGGCAGTTGTCTGGAATCTGGGGTTTGGTGGTTGTGAGGTTAGGTCAGGAAAAATACGCATTTATGAGCCATTATTGTCTCAATGAGTATTCTATAAACTGTGGGCTGTGACCTATTACTGGGCTGTGAAATCAATGTATTGGGCTACACCCAGTGTTTTTCTTGGAAGTGAAACAGAAAACATTAGAGTGTATCACACTCACTGAAGATAAGTCCTTTTTTATGAAATATTTACTGTGTGTGTATACCCACGCATGCATACATGCATACACACACACACACATTTCATAAAATGGGAAATACAATTTGTAACACATTCATACACTTGTGTGTGTGTGTGTGTGTGTGTGTATGAATGTGTTATAAAATGTATTTCCCATTGTGGAACATAGTCACATAAGTTTGTAAAAGATAGAATCAGAGGTTATTTAGAGCCATGGGGCTGAATGAGATTACTGAGGGAAAGAGCAGGAAGGAGGGAGAAAAAGTGCAAGACAGAACCCTGAGGCACATCACCATTCAAGGGTCAGACTGAGCAGGAGGCCCCAGTAAAGATGGAGCCGCCAGCGCAGATAGAAGAAAGAACAGGAAAGCGTTGTATCACAGAACCCAAGAGAAGACAGTGTCACAAGACCATTGTAGCAGCACTCATGGGTCAAGAGGTGGAGGCCTGCAGGGGTGAAAACACTGCCTGTGGCATAACGTCCCCTGAGGGCAGGACCCATGAAGTGTGGCTACTAATGCAGTCGGGCTGGAGAGGCTGGAGAGGGGAGGAGGTGGGATAGGGATTGGGGTAAGCTGTTCGAGAAGATCTGCTGTGCAGTGGAACAAGTCCTGGAGACGGGTGTGGAGTCAAAGGAGAGGGCTTTGTTTTGTTTTGAAGATGAGAGATACCACAGCGTTCTTGTGTATGGATAGGGATGACTCAAAAGACAGGAAGAAAGTAATGATTGGAGGAGAAAGGAGGATTCATTGCACTCCCTCTTTGCAGGAGTGAAGTATTTAAGAAGGGGAAGAAGATGGGATGCAACATAGGTGAGAAGGGGTAGGCCTTGGGGTTAGTCTGTGTAAACTGTGCAGAAGATGGAACTAGATTTGATCATTCTTTTTCCCTCTAAAAGCAAACTATTGAAATTTCTATTTATTTGAGGCTTTCCTATTTAATTTCATAGTCCTAGTAGTAATAGCCACAAGCCTCTTTCCATTTGACCCATTCTTGTTCTTCATGAAGGACTGAGGATATTGTTTGTGCACAGTTCTGAAATAAGGAGAAAATAGTACTCACAATCTAGTTAGGGAGGCAAGACTAACAAGTGAGCTTTACCGTCAGTAATATGTAGTCTGAGTCTGTGCCATACATATTTGGATAATAGGTGAATGGTGGGGTACGGAGGATGGACAACAGTCTGCTGGAACTGGAGCAGAGTGCCCCAGCCTCCACAGTTTGTCATTTTGGGCCAGACAGTTATCTGTTGCGGGAACTCCTCCTGTGCATTGTAGGATGTTTAACAGCATCCCTGGTCTCTACTGAGTAGGTACCTGTCACATACCTGCCCCCTTTCTCCAACGGTGACAGTCAAAAACATCTCCAGACAATGACAGATGTCCCCTAAGGGGCAAAATCGCCCTCTGCTAAGAACAGCTGGACTAAAGCAGTGCTTTGAAATATAGGAAGGATTTAAAGTTACCAACTGGTCCATGGGCAGTATTTGACATGACTCATCATGTATTTTTTAATCAGTCTTAAAAAAAATATTTTCAGATCTGAATGCATTTAGCTGGAGCCAACAATTCCAGCTTCCCCCTGGCCTGCTGTTTCTTACATCTGTCCTTACTCTTGCCCATTGTGTGCCTGTGGCCCACAAATCACCTGAGTTTGAGACCCAAAGACAGCATACACAAAAACATCAAGAAAGGCAATGATATCATACATGAATGTGCAGGCCTGTTGTGGATCCATTTCCTAGGACTTTCTTTTCACCATCATCTCAAAATCCCAGTAACTGGCAACTTTTCTTTTCTTTTTGGTTTAATTTATGCTTTAAAAAAAAAAAAGAAACCATATATCATCAGACATTTCCCCCCTTAACTTTGGAGTTTGTTTCCTACCCTTACTTTGGTTCCATGTGAAAATTAGTTGATTAGTTGTCAGCAACTTTGGATAATGTTTCCCATTTGAAAAGTCTTTGCTATGAGGAATATTATTATGATTAGCATCCTCCATTATATCAGTCTTTTTTTCCCAACTTTAAGTTCAGGGGTACATGTGCAGGATGTGCAGATTTGTTCCATAGGTAAATGTGTGCCATGGTGGTTTGCTGCAGATCATCCCATCACCTAAGTATTAAGCCTAGCATTCATTAGCTATTCTTCCTGATGCTGTCACTACCCCTGCCGCCCTCCGACAGGCCCCAGTGTGTGCTTGCAGCCTCACTTTGTTGAACTTCTCTTTATTGCAAGAGATATCATCCTACTTCTATCGGAAGCATTTTTCAGTTCTGAGCATTTTCGAAACCGTTATCTGAGACAGAGTTTACCATGTGTAAAATGTTCCCACCTTCCTTCATTTCCCTCAAATGAAATCACACGTTCTTTACCACCATCTGGAGGGAAGTATTTGCCATGGTGCTTACTGAGTCTGTCTTTGCAGTGTCACCTGTAAAGTTAAAACTTCTACCTTACCTGGTATTTCCTTTGTTTGTATTTCTGCTTAAATATTAATCATGTCCCCTATTTGTGAACATAATCCTTTTTGGTTCAAACATCTTGCAGGTAGAATCTTAATGTCTTCAAAAATAGCCTGGAGCCCTTAGGAGTAATATGATTCCACTGGCAACGTGGAAAATGCCCTTTATTGTTTGCCAAGTTGTTACCTGGGCTTATTTCAGACTCTTGTTAATAGTGTTCCTTTTTGCATTTCTAATGTTCTCAACATTTTTGGTTCCTCACCATATGCAATAAGTGTCATTCATTCATTCATTCATTCAACAAACTTTAGCACCGTGCTATTCTCTCATTATAGAGGAGTGCCGTGAAGGAAACATCAAAAATACAGTGTGGTTAATCACAGCTTCCCCATTGTCTCATGCCTAATGCTTTTTCTAGAAATCTCATTTGGTGTATTACCTTTGCCATGAAAAATTCTAATAGACCCTTTTTGTGATCTTTGTATTTGTTGCAAGGTTGTTTAAAGGTCCTTTTCCACTGTGTCATAGAATAGCAGTCATAATAACTATGAAGCTGCAACATGGACCAGCTATGACTTTGTGATGGAGGGAATCCCTTTCTTTCCCTAGCATTGGCTGTTGACTCCACTCATTCAGCAACCTGAGTTTTTAATTAGGCTTTTATTTTTGCAATCGGTATGCAAAAGGGGTCTTGGCATGATGAACCTGTGTAAAAGCTATGTTTTAAAAAGCTTTCTTATAGTTACATAAACATGAATTTGTTTTCAAAAATCGCTTGGAAATAGTTGGAATTAGGTCTACACGCTCTTAGGTATTTTTGTTTTTTCTAAATTTAAAAATGGCTTGCATTCTGTGTAGTTACTTTTGCCATAGAGACCACTTACCAAAATGGCAGATGATTGCATTGAAAAAATAACAGCACTGCCCATGAATTAATGGGATTCTATGTTTATATAGTTTGTCTGCATCTGCAAATCAACTTTCACGTAGACTTTGGTAACTAAAGGAGGAAGAGAAGGCTGTTTTATAACCTAGCACTAGCTGCCGGTAGCACCCCCGTCTCCCCAGTTTTAACAACCAATAATGTCTTCAGACAGGGCCAAATGTCCTTTAAAGAGCAAAATTAGATGTGCTTGAGAACCACTGCTTTAACCCCTTCAACACCCATTTGGTTTTGCTTCTTAGAAACTCTGTGTTCTGTTTGTTTAGGTACAAATGAAATCCACTTCTGGGTTATTTTTTGTTGAATATGGATTGAAGAAATTTTATTGGAGAATTCCCCACTTCTTCTTAGTGTTGCCTCTGCATCTCCTCAGTAACGGAGTGGCAGTGTAGTCAGCTGTGAGGGTCTCCAGCGTGATCTCTGCTGTCACCCAGCAGTGCAGCCTGAGCCAGCCCTGGGCTGTGTCCATGAGCCTCCAGATTATCATCTGAAGTATGGGTAGGACTGCACCCTTCTCAGCACTGTCATGACGATGGAATAAGAAGAGGGCCTGTTACACCTTCAGCGCTGCCCTGTTCTGATGAAGAGTTTCTTATTTTCTGGCCCCTTGCTCTGTCATATTGAATGGAGCTTAAGAGAAAAGAGGTGGAGGAGAGGCTGAAGCAGACCTCCTGTTTTCAGTACCTTTGACTTAGTTGTCTGGAGTAGAGAAAAGGTTAGGGAAGGTGAAAAGGAAGAGCCTGGAAGGAAAGGTGGTAGGAGATGTGTTCCTTTTGGTCTGTGACAGCACGTTCCTTCAGTAAACAATAATGAGAAAAACCAGGATGGAGTAGTAGGTTTTTCATGAAGTGAAGATTTTCCAATATGAAAGATTCTTCTTTATAGGTAATGATGTTCTTCTTCTTCTGTTTTTTTTTTTTTTGTTTTTTTTTTTTTCCCAGGCTGGAGTGCAATGGCATGATCTCGGCTCACCACAACCTCTGCCTCCCGGGTTCAAGCGATTATCTTGCCTCAGCCTCCCGAGTAGCTGGGATTGCAGGCATGCACCACCACACCCGGCTAATTTTGTATTTTTTTTTTTTTTTTTAGTAGAGACGGGGTTTCTCCATGTTGATCTGGCTGGTCAGGTGATCTGCCTGCCTCGGCCTCCCAAGGTACTGGGATTACAGGCGTGAACCACCACACCCAGTGCCTCTTTTTTTTCTTATGAAAAGGTTGTTATCATTTATCTCCTCCTTTTTAATGTTCTTAGTTCACAAAAGAAAGAATTGGCAACTTAGGATCAATTGCTCAGTTCTATGTTTTCAAAATCTGCTGGCTTATGAAATGTAAAATCCAGGAATCACTGCTCTAGGGAAAGGCCCACAGGAGGTTGAGAATAGAACAGGATACGAAAGCAGAGCTGCCGAAGTAATGTGTGAGTGGGGCTCTGGCATCCAAACCTCGGGAAGAGCAAATGGGAGCTCCCCTCTTTCTTTGATCATTGCTTCCCCTAGATCTTCATTCAGGAAGAAAGCGTTCGGATTCAAGGCCGGGGTTATATTCGTCACTCTTATGTAACGCAACATCTATAACATCTATTAGTCACGCCCTTTTATGAAACTCTTTTGTCCTATATAAGTTATCGGGGTAACCCAGAGAAGTGAAATCCAAAAGCAAGACAAAAATGGGGTGAACCGAGCACCTTTAGTGTGCTCGAGGGCACCCCAAAATATCCATAGCTGGTTTCTTGTATGTAAAAAGCAGTCTCAGAAACTTTATGACAGCTTTCAAAAATTCCTTTCAAGTTGTGTTTGCTTGCATTAAGATCACCATCTGCATTGACTCAAAGCCTGATTAGAGCTTCATTTACCAAGAAATAAATAAACAGTAGGAAATAGCCAGAATCAGACAAGAGAGAAAGCAAAAGGATCTTGGCATTTATTTTCCACAGTGAGAAAGTTGTTGACTTGAGTGCTTACTGGGTCAGCATGTATTTCGTTTCCATTGTACTTACTCTTCCCTGCCATAAATGCAATGCTTTGTTACACATCTTGTTCCCAACTAAAATATTTCATTAAACGGCCTCACAGTTCTTGCATTTTCCTGCATCTCCAATGTACTGGACCTATAAAAGTTACTTCTAATTGAGGCTTGTCCTAACTGGGATAGTGTGTGGGTTGGGGTGTATGTGGGTGAAACTGATTCCTGTACTCAGCCTTTAAGCAAATCCAATTGGTACAGTGAGCACTGCCTCACCGAAACCTGAAATCTAATAGCTGAACAAAGCCCAAGCGTCTCCTGCCCTTCATAGCTATATGGGGCAGCAATTCATTAGAAATTGACATAGTCAAGGAAACAGCTTTTTTCCCTCTAAGTCACATAATCACTTAGACCAGTTCAGATACTCTTTCAGCAAGAGGATTTTGAAGACATTTAATATCTCCATGGGAGATGAATGGGGCTGCTCACTGTATGTCCATGCTCTTTGGAAAACCTGACCCCTCAGTAAATGACTTCTTTAGGTCTGACTTGCAGACACTTTGAATAATGCAGTGCGGCAGGACTTGAAGCCCGATCGCCTTGCTGTTGTTAACCATGACCTGTGTTTTCTAAGGCTTATATGATTTCTTAAATTTAAGATATTGGAGTAAAGCTTGATATGGTACCAGGCATGGCCTCTGTTGCAATTAAGCAGTTTGGGAATAAAGCTAATTGAAATTGCCAAACAATGTACCCCCCTCCAGAGCAAGCTGGAAAATTTTCCTATTTTGCAGAAGTATCTTGTGACAAAAAGTGACCATCACATCAATCAGTCTGTTGAAACTGCTCAAGAGATTCATGGATTTGCCCTAAGAAAAGGATCTGAGATTTTTTTTCATCAGCATGTGTTCGCTTTTTGTAGGGAAGAGTGAGGCATTGAGAGGCATTGAACCCAGTGCTGTAATAAAAGTTTGCTTTAGTAAGTAAGGATATGAAGCTATCCTTACCTGAAGATTTAGATCTCAAAGAATCCTTGAGAACATATCCATTTGCTGGAGTGGGGAGCTTATAGGGTTTGGTGTTTCCCTCTGAGCTTTCAGTTTGTTCTGAGACCAAAGCTCATCTGTGGTGATGGGAAGTCAGGACACCAGGTGGCACAGCGGAACCTTGTTCTCTGTGCTGAGTGAGGCAGTTGTGAGTTGAGCCGAACCTGGCAGCTCACCAATAAATCAAGGAACAGACCAAGGATCAAGAGCTGTTAAACAGTCACTGCAGCAATGATGGCTATAAAAAGAAAGGCCAAGCAGCTCCTCCCCTTTGCCTCATCAGCTCTTCCTGCAGCTTTCAAGGTGTAAACTCATTTCATGAGCTCTGCACATTCATACATGCATTTGAGAGATACAGGTGTTTATTGAACTGTTGACCAGATACTGTTCTAGGGATAGACCGATAAAATAGAATAGGTCCCTGAAATAGAGACAATCAATAAGTAAACAATAAACAATATAAATAATAGACAAGTAAACAAGGTCATTTTAGAGAGTGATAGGCTCAATGAAAACAAAGACACTGGGTTGTGTGAATAAAGTGGGTCAGAAAAGGGCCACTTCAGATCTGCTGGTAGCCTGCCTGGATCTCTGGTTGGCTCTCTGAAGGAGTCACCTTTGAGGAGGGTCCTGAGTGAAAGGCAGGAGCCACCCACACATAGATCTGCAGGCATAGAGTTCCAGGCAGAGGGAGCAGCCAGAGAAAATGCCCAGAGAATTGCAAGGAGGCAGTTCCGCAGTGGAGGGTGCCAACCTGGCTGGAGTGTGTGTCCAGGAGGAGGAAGTAAAGAGATAGGAGGGGTCACATCCAGGAGGGCTTAGTGGGACACTGAACAAAGAGTTTGTCTTTAATTGAAATGGTTTTGGGAAGCCATAGGGACATGGAGCCAGGAGACAGTACAATCTGATTTCTGCCGTTTAAAGTTGTCTCTGGCCTCGGTGCGGATAATAAAGAGGATAAACCATAAAGCAGAGACCAGTTTCTGGACTCATGTGGTCATCTAGGCAAGAGAAGGTAGTGGCAGTGGAGATGAACTTGGATGGATTCAGAATGCGTTTGGAGACGGATATGGTGGGAGAGAGAAAAAGAAGCCTCAGGCAGGGTCTTAGGTTTCAGGGGTTTGGTGTCCTATAAGGTTAAAAGCCCGGATATTATTCTGGGTTTCTATCTTGGTCCTGAGCCTAACTTACATTACTAAAAATAAGCAGTTGGGATAAGAAACAACCTAAAAGTCAGCAATGCAAAAGAAAAGGGCCCCAGCGTGTATTTTTTAACCTACAAGCTTCTCAGCACCAATTACAGTGATAGGTTTTCCTTTGGGGCCGGTGACCTTAAAATAAGGGCCCACACAGCATCCTGTTTTTCCAACCCAGAAAAGGAATCCTTATCAGTGTTTTCTTTTGGTGAGCTATTTTGAGCTATTGTTTCATAATCCCCCCGTACATCCTATGTAGTTAAAAATCACCCTCTCAAATTTGTAGGAACTGCATGGGGCTATCAGGCCACCATAGTTTCACCTATCTTAGGGAGACCTCTGTGAATGAGCTGTTGATAAGAGGAATGGGTTACATGGTCAACCCTTAAGTATTTGCATAAAAAGCAATTCAAATTTGAAATATAGGTACTAGAAGCCTCAAGTTGTCGGTATGGTAGTTAAGGAGTCTTCCTTAGAGGTAGAAGCATTTTTAGATGAAGACAAGACCCGACTTCTAAATGCCACAATTACAAATATTTTTAACTTACATAAAGTTAGAGAGCTTTCCTAGAACCATATGAGAAACTAGCTTAATTCTACCCTTAAAAAGTAGATCTTGGTAGGAATATTACCTAGGGTAGAAAGATTGACCTCGTGGTAGGTACATCTTGACAAATTAGTGGTTGTTTTAAGTTAACGGTTCTTTTTCTTTCCTTTCTGGAGAGAAGATGCCATAGTTCACTCCACTTCTGACTCATTCCATATCTTTTCTCTAAGCCCATTAATAAAAAAGAAATTTTGTTATTAGGTAGCGTCAGGAAACATTTGCAAGCTAGAAAAAGCTCCTGCCCACTTTGAAACTGAGTTTTTGTGGCCAGTCAACCTGTTAGTTGTGTAGCTTTAAAGACATGCTTCATTGTCCCAAATCAGAGACTGATCTCGTTGTATTTTTAGCATGTGTAGCCTTGAATGACCAGTGATTTAGGTACTGAGACTTGGAGTAAAATATCAGGGATGTGTTAAGAAATTGATTGACTGTGCATACACTCTTCGGCTATCTGTAGAAAAGAACTGTCTTCCCAAATGCATGTCGCAGTTATGAGCCCTAGATACCTTGACCCCGTTGACCTAGCAGTTGTCAGTGGTAGGTCCATGTATTTCATAAAGCTATATTAAAAATTTTCTGTAAATGCATTTGGTATGTATGAATGGCTATAGGATTAATCTTATCGTAGTAGACTCTAAACCAAAATAATTAAGGAACCTTTGAATGACAGCATATAGTTTAAAAGCACAGGCTTGGTTTTAGACCAAGTATCCCCAGCTATTCACCTGACTGTGTGACATTGGCCATGTTACTTGACCATCAGTGTCTTGGTTTTCTCTTCTGCAGAATGAGAAGATATTAGTACTTAGAGTGCAGGTACGAAGAATAAATTTATGTCAAAGACAGGCTCTGAATACTTTTTAGTTATTTTTGCACTAAGCTTTCAACCTTTAGGCATACTTCACATGTTTTCAAGAGTAGCAACAATAGGATCATCCATATCATTTCAATGACACCTTCTCTGGAGTGACCATTTATTTCTCAGGAATTGCATGGAGACAATTCATCCATCTTACCCAGGTCTTTGAGCAGTCCAAGGTATTTATGACTTTAGGTCTTTCTTACCTGTGCCAGGTCAAGGCTTGTGACTTTGAGGTGAAAGGCTCTGTAAGCCATCAGGAATCACCAGCTTTGCAAGCCATTTATTTCTACTGGGACATATTTATTAGACTATGTGTACTGTGTAATTGAAGCAGACTTCTCTGTAGCTGTAAAACCAGTACAACTATGTTCTTAATCTTCTTCACAAAATGCCAGCTGACACTGCCTTGGGAGCTACTTATTTCAGACATCTGAAGTCCAACTATCTCTCTAAATTATGATGGTCAAAATACTTCATAATGACCATTATTAAGTCCCCAAAGGAAAGAATGTCTTCATCTTTTTGGAGACATTGGGTCTGATACTTATGTTCTTGGCAGCTGGTATCATATTTGTATTGAAAAATTATGCTACGGGGTTATGATGGTATTTAGCCAGAAGAAGGAGAAAAAAAAAATGAAACATGTTCAAACTGGGATCGTTTTTTCATTCCTTTTTATGGATTCAATTTTGTGATATATAGTGTTTATAAAGTCCTTCAGTGAAAATGTACTCTGGTTTCAGCTTGGCCTTGAGTTTATGCTGGTACACTGATTTAGCTAAAACAAAACAACAACAAGAAAAGCTTATCATCATTATTCACTCAAGCATCAATCATTGCATGTGCTTCCACCCACTCCCCCACCCCACGATTAAATGCTAGCCATTCTTCACTTCAGCTCCTCCCTCTGCCCCCTTCTTCATATCGGATTAGATTTCTCTTCCCTGTATTCCTGAAAGCAACAGTGCTCCCTTCTCTCCTGGCATGTAACACTTACCACTGTGAATTATAAAACGGTTGCTTTGCTTTTTCTCTTTTAAAATAGACTATGAGCTCCTCCAGGGCAGGGGCCATGTCTGATTTACTTTTATCTCTTAGTGATGCTTTGCTAGGCATATGGCAGAGCTCAATAAATCTTGTATGAATGAATGGTCTCATGACTGGTTCCTTCTCATACTTCAGCTCTTAGCTCAAATACGGTCTCTTCAAGAAAGGCTTGCATGATCACCCAACATAAAGTAGTTGTGCATCCCCGGCACAGCCTGTTCCATTGTCCTGCGTCATTTTCATCACAGAAGTTACCACTCTCTGAAATTGTTTGCTAAGTTGTTTATTCTGTCTCCCCACAGAATGTGAGCGCTGTGAAAGCAGGACCCTGTAGGTCTTGCCCATTGCTTTATTTCATGCCAGTTCCTAGGCTGTCAGCACAGTTTGGTTACATGAGTGAGTGAATTTTCCCTGTTTTCCTTCCTACCCTCAGTGGAAACTGTGAAGGCTGAATGTACCTTTTCCTGTTTTCTGGACTGTCGTTAGCTTTTTATTGGTACAGAGAGAACAGTTTAAATTTATTTCATGGCTTATATATTCTCTATTAAACAAAGAAAACAAAAAACTGGTTGGCAGGAAATGATGCAGATGGCTTTTTTTTAGAAGGGTTGCCGGCCATTGATGTTCATTGTTTAGAACCACTGGATTGCAGTCAAATAATCATCAATTCTGATTGGCTGGGGAAGTCTCAGATTGTTCTCAATTTGTCTTTCCTGCACCCCATTGTGACTTTGCCTCGATAATCTCTTACTGTTTTGACTCATCAACCTACTACCCCCAACAAATAAAAGCATGGCCTAGGAGGCACATTCCTTTTACCAGGGAGCAGCACTTTTGCTGAAAATTACCTGTGTTCTTTAATACAGTTCCTCTCCTCATAATTTTTTCAGATGTGTCTTTTAAATCTTTCCAAGAAAGAAGGCGAAGTAAGCAATGCAAGTTTTACCTTTCTGTTTGATCCTTCCCATTGGCCCCTCTACTTATATGCTGCTCTTACTGAAAATAAAAGCTAAGCTAAAGTAAATCTCACCCTAGGAATTGCTTCTAATGCTATAGCCATATACTTGGACAAGGATGATTTAACTTAAGGACTATAGGCCCCAATAGAGTGGGTTTCTGAGGGTCACTAGTGAAGGTTTCAAAGACTCCCTGAAATTATATGCAAAATTATGTGCTTCTGTGCAGCTTTGCTTGAGAGGGGCTATAACAGCTTTGTGTCACATTTTTCAATCAAGGCCATGACCCAGTAATTTAGGAGCATAAACACTTGAGTAGAATGGTAGTAAGTCATTGAGCCAAAGGAGAGATAGAACAAACTCCAGTTGTTTTTTAATCTAGCACTGCGCTAAGGCCAGTATGTGCCATTGTCCAGGCATGCTACATATTGGCTGCAGTACTGATCCTGTTGATGATTATTGCCACATTATGTGTAAAATCCAGCAATCTTTGAAAATACTGAAAATAAGAATATGAATTACTTATTAATCCTAGTGTTTAGAAAAATATTTTAGTGCATTTCCTTTAGTCTTTGGGTATATGATGTGTGTGAATATATATGTATATCCACTTTTTAACAATGAGTTTATATATTCTATGCACAGTTTTTACCCTGCTGTTCATGTCTTATATCATTATTATTTCCCCCAATCACTGAATATTCTTTGTTGTGCTCATTTTTAATGGTTTCATAATTTTTCATCGTATTGATATAACACATCTCTCTACTCAGTCCTCCGCTCTTGGAAGTTCAGATTGTTTCCTTTTTTTTTTTTTTTTGAGACGGAGTCTCACTCTGTCGCCCAAGCTGGAGTGCAGTGGTGTGATCTTGGCTCACTGCAGCCTCCGCCTCCCAGGTTCAAGTGATTCTCCTGTCTCAGCCTCCCGAGTAGCTGGGATTACAGGTACCTGCCACCACACCCAGCTAATTTTTGTATTTTTAGTAGAGATAGGGTTTCGCCATGTTGGCCAGGCTGGTCTCAAACTCTTGACCTCAGGTGATCCACTTGCCTCAGCCTCCCAAAGTGCTGGGATTACAGGAATGAGCCTCCGCGCCCTGCCTGTTTCCATTTTTTATCATCTTAAAATAGTGCTGTGTCGACCATCTTTTTATAGGAATTTTTGCAAGACTGATTATTTCCTTAATACAAACTCCTAATGATCAGTTTACTGAGTTAAAATTAATTGTAAATTTAAAGTCCTACATTTAGAATTATGCATTGATAGGTTTTCGAATAACAGAGAAGGCTCATGTGGTCTGAGATTGTGCTCAGAAGTACTTTTATCTTCTTTGGTATCTAAGACCAGCCCTTGACCAAGACCTCACAGTCATTTTCTTTCAGTGGCTTTCAGTGGTCCCTGATGACTCCCTCTCTAGCTCCTACTCTCTCTGTCTCTCTCCCCCTCGATATATATATATAGAGAGAGAGAGATCTATAACTGTGTGTGTATGTGTGTATACATATATATACACACACACAGTTCCCTGCCCCTTGCACACTGTATTACCTAATCCAACTCCAGGACAGTTTTTCAGTTTTTATTGCAACATTTGCCTTGCGAAACTGTAAGGTATCCCATGTGTTCAGTGACATGTGGATTAGTGACACAGCATTTGTTGGAATGCTTAGGAGGAAAGCAAAATGTTTCCACTAAAATGCTGAAGTCGGGAGACCCAAATGCAGAGGGGAATGAATATCACAATGAAAAAATGTAAATTGATGACAAAAATAGTACATTTTTCTTATGCGTAGATCCATTTTGTATGTGACAGACACTTTAGGATTCACCCTTTCAAAGCCTCTTTGTGCAGTTTTTCTTGATTCATTCAGTTAGTGAGGTTGGTTGGCATTCCCACTTCCTTTAAACCTGGAGGAAATTAGGTCCAGAGAGGTCCACTCTCTTTCCCAGCAACTCAGGTTTTGTTTGTCTCAGTGCTGAAATGGCAATGCTCGGCTTCTGCTTGGTTTCCCCAACAGCCCAGCTGAGCTCTCCTACTTCTTCCGTATTTACATTTAATCAGTAGGACAAGCACAGGTCCTAATCTATGAGGGTTCTTTAATAAAACTATATGTATGCATTCATTTTGGGGAAAAGTAAGCAACTCTTGGAGGATATAGAGATCAATGATGCTCAAGGGATTTTAAAATGCAACAAAATGTTCTGAAATATGCTGCATTTATCTTAAAAAGCAGTATAGAGGCCGGGCGTGGCGGCTCACGCCTGTAATCCCAGCACTTTGGGAGGCTGAGGTGGGTGGATCATGAGGTCAGGAGTTCGAGAGCAGCCTTACCAACATGGTGAAACCCCATCTCTACTAAAAATAGAAAAACTAGCCAGGCGTGGTGACGTGCATCTGTAATCCCAGCACGTTGGGAGGCTGAGGTGGGTGGATCATGAGGTCAGGAGTTTGAGAGCAGCCTTACCAACATGGTGAAACCCCGTCTCTACTAAAAATACAAAAATTAGCCAGGCATGGTGACGTGCACCTGTAATCCCAGCTACTCAGGAGGCTGAGGCAGGAGAATTGCTTGAACCCGGGAGGCGGAGGTTGCAGTGAGGCAAGATCACACCATTGTACTCCAGCCTGGGCAACAGAAGGAGACTCTGTCCAAAAAAAAAAAGAAGCAGTATAGAGTTTTGTTTATTGTGGTATCTGTGGATATGTATGTGTGTATTTATAAATAAATAAAGCTTTTCTTGATGTAGAGATACTAAAAATAGTTAATAAAGCCACGCATAATCCCATGAGCCAAAGAAAATACTGTTTTCGCACATAACCTTCTAGCCTTTCTTTGCAAAATGGTATGTATTCTGTTACAGCTTTACTTTTTTCATATAAATTATTTGTGTACAAGCATTATAAAATTTCACCAACTATGACATTCTGCCATTTAGTTATAGTTTATGGCCTTGATATTTAGAGGAAAACAGATTTCTCCTCCTTACATTAGTTGGTCAGGTCCCAGTCACTAGCAAAGAATTTGCCATTCGTTTTTTCCAAAATGACACCATTTTAATAGAGAACTTTAGATACTCAAGTCCCAAGCTTTTCTCGCTCCTGCAGATCACACTTTGAACATACACTTCCCTGGAATAGTTTTCTGGGATCCCTTAGAAGTAATATTTGCTGCCTTCTAAGGCCCTAAGAGCGGATGCTGCCATCCATAAACTCTTTCTTCTGCCTCTTCTGAGAGTTCCCCTTCCTTACCCTGAATGGACCAGACAAGCCCATTAAGACAGGTGCCGTATGCCTTATATGTATGCCTTATATGTGATATGTGACATGATTTGTAGAACACAGACTTCCTGCTGCCACAAGGCATACAAAGTGTTTGCTTGTCTAGGGAAGACCACTGGTATGCCATGAAGTATGGGATGATGTTGCTTCCTATGGCCTGGCTGGTAGGGATATGTCTGCAGTTAACCAGTTACATACTCGCTATCTCCTTTGATAGGTCTTGGAGCATTCTGTCTTGGCAAGCAGTGACCTTTTGAGTCTTTTCTGTTAGGTCTCCCAGCTGTTTTCAATCCATCTGAATAGTTTGGGCTAAAATAAATTATAAACTAGTAAGGTTTTTCCAGCATTCATATGTATTAGATTTTAAGATTTAATGACCATGTGGGCCTAAAACAAATCTTTGAGTTCTTTTTTTAAAAAGCAATCAAGTGGAGTCTCTTGATTTTGACTATTTAAATATTAATTTGTGGTCGTAACCTGCTTTTGGGCTGCTGTAAAAGGTGTGGCTTTTTAAAATGAAGGTTTTCAGCAACTAGCCGGCAAAGAGGAACAAATGCCTCTTTAAACAAAGGTTTTCTTATTTGTTGTAATATACGGTTTGTTGTGTCAGTTGAGCTGGGATCTTCTGGAATATTCCATGGACTACTTCCTCAGAGGAAACAGACCTCAACTGGTTACCCCCATATCCTTCAGACTGGTTGGCTTTGTGTAGTTAACAATGAAGGGGCCATTAATTAATTAATATTTATTTTTGAATTAGTATTTTATTGCATCAGTGATATGTGAAAATGCTGGTCTTAAAAAAGAATTCTAAATAAGGCTAAAGTCTCCTTAAATGAGTCCCTCTGATCCTTGCCCCTCCTTGCCACTATTGAACATATCCCCATTATCCATTTGATGTGGACGTTCATGGAAGGCAAAAGCCACACATGTGTTTGAGTGTGTGGAACACCTGTCTCCTGCTGTGCCTGCCATTCTGCAGTGTGGCATTTTACTGAACATTATGTTTTAAAGACTATGTTGTTACCTGTAGAGATAGCTCATTCCTTTTAACCTAGCTTTGTAGGTTGGCTGCCCCACAGTTTTTTAGAATTTCCAGTTGTTTCCAGTTCTCTTTTCTACCAACAATATTGCACTGAACATCGTTGTGAATGCACCTTTGAATGTGCATTGCTAGAGAATGAAAAATGCCCTTTATTTTATATATGAAGCTCTTAAGAGAAGGGATTTGAAGATCAGCCAGAGTCTTACAAATGATTAGCAGAGTATAGATTGAAACCATTTTCCCTGACTCTACTTACCTAATGGGGGATTGTTTCCAAATTTTCATGTAGGTCATTGGGATCCTGGGCAGAGTCAAGTGCAGTAAAAGATAACTATGGTGAAACCTTGCTGATTCCAATTAACTAAGAAGGTCTCTCTGAATTAGGAGAAAATATGAATTTAAAGATGTCATCTTATATAATTTTGAAGTTTATACAGTGACCCACACTTATACAACCTAATAAAATTTCTTAAGGGAATCATATTAATAAGCCAAAAAAAGCACTTAATCGTTATTTTAAAAAATAAAGACATATCAAAATTGTTCAACACAGTTATTTGTATCCATAGGTAAAATATTTTCTCCTATAATCTTTTTTATATTTTAATATGCTTAGCAGATGATTTTTCTCTAGTTAGTGCAAGATAACTATACCACTTCCTTTCTGAATGATGTAAATTAGCTAAGGAGGGTGAAAAGGTGTAGACATTTGAGTAACTCCTCTGTGCCAGGTAGGAGGCTTTTAAACATTTTCTCTTGTTTCATTATCTTAATAATCTTGTGAAGTGAGTCTTACTATTTTCCCTTTATAAATGGAGAAACTGAGACAGAGAGGGCCCCAAAGCACTTTGTTAAAGGATGCCTATCTGAGTTTGCCTGATTTGAAAGAGTAATACTCTACCATATCAGAGTTTCCTTAAATATGGTCCTCAGATTCTCTGTATCAGAATCTCCTGGAATTTTTGTTAATACTGCAGATTCCTCGGCCCCCAGTGGTGGGACCTGGGCTGCTGCATTTCTGACAAACTACTGAGTGTGCCTTATGCCCTCTGAGGTCTGGGAGCCAGGCTTCCATGGTGACCTCATTTTGGTGATGCAAGGAACCTTGCCAGAGAGTGCCCTCATGCCTCCCACGACGAGTAATCCTCATCATGCCTCACTCCCAGTGGGCACTCTGCCGGCTCATCTGGGCTGCTTCCTCCTTACTCACCCACTTGCCTTGCCTCGCCTCATATTACTTGTGCTGAACTCAGCATGGCTCATGGTTTGACAAGTCACTTCCAAAAGAGTTGAGATCGTCACACTCCCTAGGAATCACTTTGAAAAACAGGTTGAAATCTCCGGTGCAGCATCACCAGATCCCAAGCATCTCTTGTGTGCTTTATACAGATAGAATCTGTATTTTGCATTCTAACTCCTGCCCAAAGAAAAAAATCAAAAGAGGCAACAGCTTGCAGAAATGATTACTTTTGAAACACCAGTGTACGCTTTATTTTCCTTTCTCGCCTGTCTTTCGCACCCTTCCCTGGTGGTAGATTTCCCATAAGTCTGCCCCCAATTGCTCCTGACTTCCCTAGAATTGAGGAGATCACTTGTCCCTTCCAGCTCCAGCCCTCCCACTAAGGACAGGGTTTTGGAAGAGCCAGCTGGATTCAATGACCACCTTTGCCTTTCTTTCTCCATTATTATCTTTTTCTTTCAGCTTTGTGCAATTTTTCTTTTTCACTCCCAAATGACATGCTTTCCCTCCTGAGGGCTAATCCTGCTCCATTCCTTTCCAACAAGCTGTGAGTAGGAGGTTGCTTGGATGACTGGCAGACGTTGAGACAGACATGTGCTGATGATCCAGAGGGGACCCTAGAGCAACTTGGATTTGTGTTCATTTGTTAGCATTCTGTGTTGGCAAAAGAGCATCCGTCTTTGTTTTGGTATTGAGCTCATCCAAATAAAGAAAGCATTTCCTCTTCCGAAAGGCAGAGGAAAAAAAAAGAAAAGACCAAAAAAATTTTTTTAATTTTAACCATGTACTCCTTTGAAACTAAATATATACCCTTTCCTCTGTCCTGATTGGTCCGTTTCAATTGACAAGTGGATCGTGTGGAAAGGAAATAACCTGGACTTAATTGTAAGTTAAGTCTCTCTTAATCCAGAAGAGCATTTGAGATTCTGTCCAAGTGTTCAATTTCCCAGGCCGCTGAGGTCTGTGAATTTCTTTTCCCAGCCTCCAGGCTGCTGCAGTACAAGTCAGCATAGCTAATGCAGATAGATCTCCTGCCTCTCGCTCTCCTCCTCCCTCTGCTTTGATTCGATATGAACAGCCTGGTAACTCCGATGCTGGGGAGAAATCTGACATAACTCTGCAGATGGCTAGGTTGCCATGGAACACCTGGGGATTGTTCTTTAAGGAAAAGGTAACATTTATATGCTAATGATTTCTTCCCCCCTCCCCTCCTTGTTGCATTTTTTCCAGGGCTGCCAGTTCCCAAGAAGAGCCCAAAGTCGGTAAGGACTTGTCAGTTACTTGGTGCTTGTTGGGGCTGGGGTGGATGGTGGGGGGCTGGAGGTGGGAGGGTACTCTGTGTGGCTTCACTTCACTAAATGTGTTTTACAGTGGATGGGGGAGACAGGAGCCGGGGCTCATTTTCTTAAGTTCTGGGGATCTGTTTGTTATACAAGGTATTTGGGCTTGTCTTTAACTGTATAGTGATTTGTGGGCAGGCTGCAGGAGCCAGGATAAAGAATGCATGTTTGAAATCTTCTCTATACAAATGCATCCACACTCTCCTTCAAAGGGATGAGTTTCTTAGCCGTTTTCACTTGATACAAATGCTATTGTTTCCTTTGGAAGGAGAGAAAAAAAGAAAGCTCCACCTGCTCCGTGAGTAGCATTGCTCTCAACTGGTGTTCCCAGCCGTTCACATGTCTACCCATTCTCTCCCTTAGCTTTCTTAGGCGCCGGAGGATGAATTATTTACAAAATAAAAAGCCTGTAGGTTTAAGGAAGAATTGCTTTGCCCCATATATGTGACCATGCTCAGATGGAACAATGTTCACTGCCCCAGCACTGAGAATAGGACATTTCCTTGCTGTAGAAATGTCCTTTGTTGTTTTGCCAGCTTTAGCAGCATTATGCTGCAGGTATAGGATTCTTAAAAAAAAAAAAAAAAAAAAAAAAAAAAAAAAAAAAAAATCAATGTTTTGCTGTCCTTTCCAATCTGGTTTCCCTGAAGATGCATTACCTAGTTGACATGTTAGCTAATAGCTTAGAGGCTATAGTGTTTTGCTTGGTGGTATGGGTTTATGCTCCCGGGGCACTAATGACAAATTAAAATGCTGCTTAACTCAACATCTGGAACTCCAGTGCCTGTGAAATTGATCTGGGTGGAAGGGGCTTCCCAATTCATTAACATTAGGATAAAGAGGGATGTTTCCATGTGGTTTAGAAGATTTGGGGGAGGGAAAATGTACAGCCTCGTGCCATCCAGGAAGGGAGAACCTTGAAAACTTTGCGGCTTACGGCGCTGCAGCTGAATTCTTTCCACCTGTCTCCAAGCCTGGCAGCATGAGGCAGAAGTTTATTAAGGAGATGAGAGAGGGAGCTTCCTGCATTTTAAACCTCACTCCTAAGTTCTCCAAAGAGAAAAACCTGCAATAATTGATGTGATTCCGATGGCATAGTGCCGTGGTGATTGGAACTTTGACTTCAGGGCTGGTTTCCTTGTCAGTGTGTGTTAACGTCCAGGCAGAAAAGTGCTGGTTGGTGCCCACATTGGAACCACAAAGATGCCAAAGTGTGTGCATGTGCGCATGTGTGTCTCCCTGTCCCTTGGTCATAGCCAGTAACCCATCCGCCTTCAGAGAAATGGAAGGAAATCCAGAAGATGTGTCTCATAAGCTTGAGTTAGCACGAACCCTCCTTTTTTCTCCCCAACCCCAGCCATGCTATGTTGATACATGGGCTTATTTTACACACCCTACATGGAATGGAGTCTTAACAAGGAGTGTGCTGAGGGAGACATAGTAGTTTTGCACAGGTAGCATGACGTCAAGTAGCAAGGTGTTCTTTTCCATTTTGCATTCCATTTAAATTTAGTGTGCAAAGGATTTTTGTAATTCATTTGCATTTCTGTTTCCCCCAAGTGTTTTGGAATTACCTGGTGAACCCAAAGGCTATCAAATAGGTATTGAACCTGCATTCACCAAGTCAGTTAAGAGAATTCCCTATGACAGTTAATTTTTGCAGAAGCCATATCATTAGCAAGCAGCAAGCCAATTACTTGGGCTGCATTCCTAAGAAAGAAGCTCTCAACTGCTTTACCCATAGTCTGCTGGTTCTTAATTACCACAAGCTAAGAGAGTGATGTGTTGCTGGGTTAGAAAATAATAAGCCCCCAGCTTGGGGCTTGTCCTTACCTGATTTCTGTGCCAGGACAGGGTTGAGGGTTTTCACAGCATTGCTGGCACACACTGGCAGTTGCTGTACAAAATTTGGGAGCTGTCGGCCAAGGGCTGCTGTTGGATGTAAAGTGCTGCTAACATCTGTGATCAGTGAGAGTTCTGTACAGGTGGCTTGAAAGTGGTTTCCCTTTCCCAGTTTGAATTTTGATGATGTCCTGCCAGGGAGACAGATGATTATGGGATTTTTCTGGTGGGGTCAGAGGGAATTCACAGGGAAGCTGGATGTCCTGGTACCAGAAAGCCATTCAAGTAATGACACATAAGGTCAATTATGCAGGATGCATAATTAAAAGCACACTGATTGTACCTGGGTTGTGACTCACTTAGATTTGGCAATAGCTCTGTGCATATGTGCACAGTGGTCTTAGCTCAGGACCATTGTGTTGTGGTTGTTTTGTTTATTTTATTAGAGGCTCCTGACAATGTTGGCTTGCTCATGTGATTGGCAGCTTCCTTTTGCCCTCATACCTTTTTTTTTTCTTAAGATTTTCAATAATTAAGTAGTTGAGTTTTTATTAGAACAGAAGGACTTATCTTTTTTTATCTTGTTTCTTCTCCTGGATAGTCCCTGTAGCTTACTCTTAATAAGCAATTTCACCTTCAAGATTTAGTTTAAATGTTGAAATTGTGGTTTATATACTCATTGGGGACAATGGCAGTATCTTAATAAAAATTTATTAATTTAATACCTGGACTTTCATAACATCAGGGATTTTTCTGCCAAATAGCAGAGACAAAAACAAGACATATTTTCTGTCAGGTTTTAGACCTCTCTGGGAAACTGATTCTGTGGCCCAACTTAATCATCCTGACTGAAAACTCATTTCACTGAGACTCTCAGTCTAAATCACCCACAAGGATGTTGTGTATGAGAATTTAAAACTAAATATCACACCAAACCCTGAATTTTAAGTCAGTATCCACCGTTTTCGTATGAATTCATTTCCCAACTCTTCTCCCTTAATCTGTCCCCTCTTTTTTTTTGAGATGAGGTCTCACTTTGTCATCAAGGCTGAGTGCAGTGGCACAGTCATAGCTCACTGCAGCCTCGAACTTCTGGGCCCAAGCAATCTCTTGCCTTAGCCTTCCAAGTAGCTGGGACTGTAGGTATGCACCACCATGCCTGGCTAATTTTTATATTTTTTGTAGAGGCGGGAGTCTCACCATCTTGCCCAGGCTGGTCTCAAGTGCTCCTCCTATCTTGGCCTCCCAATGTGCTGGGATTACAGTCATGTGCCACCACACCTAGCTATCATCTTCTATTTATCCATCTGTTGCTCCACCTACATATTCATCTTTCATCCATTCATTCATCCATTATTCAGAAAACTAGTATTTAGAACCCATTAAATAACAGGTTTGGTGTGAAGCACTGGAAATACTATAATAAATAAGGTGGTCATGGCACCTCTCTTCTTGCAGTTTGCAAACAAACCGTGTATTGATTGCTCCTTGCAAAAAAAAAAAGATTAATTGCCACAAATTTCCAAAATGTTTATGCAGTCATTTCATCAATAAGTATTTATTATTTTATGTGTGCCAGACCCAGTGCCAATATTGGATAAGAATTAATCAGAAAACATCCCTGCCCTCATGGAAATGGGGAGGGAGAAATAATAACCACATTAACAGGCAGATCTACAAAGATCCTCACCTCATAGGGATTAAAGTGTGATGAGCATTAATAAAGCAGAAATATAACATGGAAGCAAGTACGCACATAATGTAATCATTCCACTCTTAATTATAATAACTTATAAGTCATCATAAAATGCCAACACCCACGATTGAATAAGTGCTGTGATTGAGCTGTGGAGTACTTTGGAGTTCCCCAGCAGCCTAGGCAACATAGGAAACCACATTCTTTACTTAGCTATTATTGTCAGATGAAAGAAAGTGTACCATATTCACTAAAGAGACAAGAGTTTCCTGTTCACTAAAAAAAAAAAAAAATCCTACAAAAAGTTTTTATATAGAGGACCCTGGATGGTGGGCAAAGCATCCAGTGCCCATCCGCATTGAAGAAGCAGTCTCTTCAACAGCCTCTTTAGAGCAGACATAGCAAGCTGTCGGCAGGGTAGCCACAGTGATAGGTTTTTGTTCCACTATCCTCTCTGTCCCTTTCCCCTGCAAGAGATGCTAAAGGAAATTGCTGAAAACTAGTCATTAAGAGATGTGAGGGAGAGACTCCTTTTACACACACACACTAAGTGACCCTGGCCTAGATCATTCCGTTTTATGTACCCTGCCTCTTTCTCAGACTCACACAGTTGTGTGGCACCTGTCTTCCTTTTCCCTGATGCCACTTGTGTGACAACCAGCATGATGATTGATCCCATCAAAGCTTCTACAGCCTACAAGAAGAAACAGTGAGAGTAGTAGATGGGTGAAGGCATAGGATCACTTCAGTCAGTCTCCTTGCCTCTCACTTCCCGTGGCAACTCCCCTTCTCTGCCTTTTGGAGCCCTGGAAGATGGACTTTGCCATTGTATTACATTCCTTTAAAACATGCAATGTGAACCAGAACCCATTTTCATATCCAGTCAGTGCCTGCCTTTTCTTCTGCATTAACTCCTCTCGCCCACCTTTTTGGAAGAAATCGTTTGACTTAGACCCATAAATGATAAAAGAAACAAACAAAAGGAATGACCATCCTCTGCACTGGCTTGGATTCGAGTCTCTGATTTTCACACACCCTTTAATGACGTTGGCCTAATACCTCATCAGCACTTGGAGTTTTTCCTGTTGTCCATGTAAATCGCTGCAGTAGCCTTCGCTCTTGGCAGATAAGTGAACTGTAAATAATTTTGCTTTAAAATGGATCAATTTGTCATTTTTAAGCCACATGAATTCTTTTCATCATTTAAGCTCCTAAGTGCTGTCTGTATTCATTTGCTCTTCCAAGCAAATATTTTCAGTTCACTTTCTAAGTACCTACATTTTGAAATCATTCTGGGAAATACTGATGAGTTGATTTTTTTCGCATTTCCATTTATAAAAACCATTATGTCTTCCCAATTTCCCTGGCCTGACAGTAAGTAAGGGAATCATTCATTTCAGAGAGGTTGGTACAGTTTTAGTTTTAGTTTAAAAGGTCTTGTGATACAGGTTCATGGCCAACATGTGGCCAAAGACCTTTATGGAATTTTTTTAATTGAGCCCATTTCCATATTCCTAGTTGGCTATGAATTGAGACTCAGCAATAAGACTCTTGCTTCAAAAATATCAGCATAATGACAACAATTAGCATTGGAAATTCCTATCTTAATATGTGGCACCCCTTCTCAACCAGTTACTCACAGTAGAGATGTGGTGCATGGATATCCTTGTTTCTAAGCTCTCCTCCTTTTGGTGATCCTCTTCACCTCCCTTCTCTCCTGTCCCCTCCATCCTCCTGCTCCTAAGCCTCCTCCATTCAGTCTGTCAGCAATCCCTGTTGAATTTGGCAACAAAGTGTCTTCTGACCTCACTTGTTCTTTTCCTGGGTAACTCCAGCTACCCTGGTGTTGCCCACCTCAGGTCCCCACATTGACTGCACCTGGGGCTTCCTGACTGGCCTCTCCGCATTCACTCCTCTTCCCCACCAATCCATTCACCACCCAGTAGCGACACCAAACTTTCTGGAAACATGTTGGCTCTTGGAACATCCCCACTTGAAATTCATTAATGGATTCCCCCTCTTGAAACTAAGAATGAAACCCAAACTCCTTACGTAGCCCACAGGGCTCATGCGTTATGTGGCCTCCCAGTTCCTCTCAGGCCACCCTCCCTTGCTGTGTCACATTAGCTTTTTTGTTCTTCAGAAAGTCCACTTAGCACACCCTCTTTTTTTTTTTTTTTTTTTTTGAGATGGAGTCTCGCTCTGTCACCCAGGCTGGAGTGCAGTAGTGTGATCTCAGCTCACTGGAAGCTCCACCTTTCCAAGCGATTCTCGTGCATCAGCCTCCCAAGTAGCTGGGATTACAGGTGCATGCCACCACACCTGGGTAATTTTTGTATTTTTAGTAGAGATGGAGTTTCACCATGTTGGCCAGGCTGGTTTCGAACTCCTGACCTCAAGGGATTTGTGTTCCTCGGCCTCCCAAAGTGCTGGGATTACATGTGTGAGCCATCATGCCCAGCCTTCTCTTTCTGTTAGTAGGGTTCTTCCAGAGTCCTCTCTTTACCACCTTTCTAAAGGACATTGCAGTGTGTTGCTATCAATAGATTATATTTTATTAATATTCATCTACACACACTATGTATACACACACTTAGATACATTCCCAGGGATAAATTTCAAGAGCTCAGGTACCATCTATTCCTTATTTACATGTTGTTTCCCTCAGTATCTGGCACACAGCAGGTGATCCTATGTATTTATTGGGTTAAGTGAATAAATCTATTGCAGGTAGGGCAGCACACTTAGGAGGGCCTGGGCTGGATGTTATATCATTTGTGTACTAGGTTTTTCCATTTTTCCATGTTCTTAGTATGCACAGGGTTTCGTTAACAGACTTAAAAGTATACTTTTAACTACAGCTACTTGTCTTTGGGCTAGTGTCTCACCTAGGAAAATGAGGTGAAATACAATTGCATTAAATGCAAATCTGCTCCTGTGTCATAAATAGTTCAGAAGTGAACGTATTCTCATGCCCCTAGTCTTCTGGGAGGTGATCCAGACTGCTGAAAATGCACACAAGTTGACTTTAATTTGGGAGATATATAAACATGGTTTTTCTCCTGGACAGTTCTGGGCTCTAACCAGATAAAGGACAACCTCATAGCTAATTAGAATGCTAACAGAAAATAAAAAAAAAATTACTTTGAACTCCCCTCACACCCACAGCATAGTTTTAAAAAATCCAGAGTGCCCACAAGATATTAAATTACAGAATATGTCTTCAAATTAATGAGTTTTCATAATTGAACTTGAGAAGGAACATAGAATGAGGTTAAGTCTTAGCAGGGAGAACATCCAAAAAGCTTCCAGATTATTGTGTATTTAGCCCACTGGTGTGCCATTTATATATGCCAGTTAGAGATAGTTGAGTGGTGGCACAGTTTTTAGAGCATATTCTCAGGATGCTCCTTTACTTTTATTTTCCAGTTTGAGGTATAAAGTTTAGATGGCATTTAAAGGAGACTCAGAGGTGCAGTTTGACCGAGAGGCAGTTTTGCAAACTCATTCCAGATTGTGTCTGTCATTTGGTGTTAAATTGGACCTAAATGAGTCATTTATTGGGGAGGTGAGAAAGGGTGTTATAATTTGAAAAATGGCCCAAGCATTTCCAGTAGACTTCATTTGCACTCTCTATTTCTGGTGGAACCATCTCTTCAGTTAAATGTAAGAGATCTAGGTTCTTCCATGTCAGGGATTTCTTATACTGGGACAGACATGAGAGGGTTTCAAAAACCCATGACGTGACATGCTGAATCTCTGCACATGCATGTACAGGTATGTATGTAAAAGCACATACGCATTTTCTCTGGGAGACAGGTCCAGTACTTTTATCAGACTTTCTCAGTGGGTCAGGGATGCCAGAAGGATATTTCTCTCCAGTTCAGGAAGAAGAATCAAGTGGAAAAGGTTTGAGTTAGGCTTCAGGAGGTAATGGCCCAAGAAGACAATGGAACAGAAACTGCCAATAACCCTACAAAAGAAGCAGCAGCACAAGGCTGTTTCCTGCAGGTAATCCTGCAGTGTGCACGCCTTTGTGAAGCGTAATTTCAACACGATGAGACCAGAGCTTCCAGGGTCAGAATTTAGTGCTTATAGGCCGACCCTGGAATCAATCTGGCATCTATTAATTTGAGGAACCAAAAGAGAGTGGTCCTTTGAAGGGAGGCATGCCACTCTCAGGGTAAATGCAGAGGTCTTTTATTGAGTTTTTTGCTTTTACATTTAAAATATCTTTCCCCTTCAGAGGTGAACAAAAGTAAAACATTACTAAAATGTAAAAAAATAGGAAGTAGCAGTTCCCGTTAATTCTATTTACCAAGGTTCATTTTGAAATGAAAATGACTTTAAATTTTGTCTTGATTATAAAAAGTATTCTCTATGCACCATAAAAGTAAAAAAGGTAGGTAATATGGGAAAGTATAATGATAAGAGGGAAAAACTCCACCCATAATCCCATTTTTTCTATGTGTTGTTATGTAGGTTCACACAAAAAAAGGGCTGATACTGTACATGGTTGTTTATAATCAAGACCCTTGTAAAGACCACATTGAAGAGGGGGGGAAAAAAAGCAACTGTCCCATGTGCATGCAAAAGAAAATGAGTATGGTATCCATCATTTACATTTTCTCACTCTGGCCCTGGGAGCTGAATTCACTGTTGGAGGAGAAACTGTTGAAGTTGGCAGAGCCAGGTTCTATCAACTCTGGAATGGCAACCAAATCTGAGCTGAGCACTTGATCCTCAAAAGAGAAAAATGGTGACGTGGGATTATGATGGTGTTTGTTCCCACCCAAACATCAGCGTGTTTTCCTGGCATCTGCAACAGTGTATGTTTTTCCCCTTGAATTGAAGTGAATTAAGCCTCTCATACAGTTTTCCCAAGACCTCCAGGATAGGTTAGAATATGGTCCTCAAATTTCTCCTGCAGGCACATCAAGTATAATTTTAAACAGTCTACCTTGCCTTCATTGAATGCATGTCCAATTGTTCTCAATTTTGAATCCTTGCCAATACCTCCATTCAAATCTGTAATAGTCAAGAGCAGATGAAGTTTTTGTCCTCCTTGGGCTTTCTTCAGATACTTGTTTCAAAGCAATTACTGGAAGGAGAGGAAGTATAGGGACCTGAGAATTAAATGAAGGGACCTTGCAAATTTCCAGCAGAATTCCAGGGGAATGAAAGATGAAGGATACTCGGGGAGACAGCAAGGAAGAATGGCCTTGATAGGATTGATCGGAACACCTGGTGGAAGATTTGGGCTCTATAAAGAACTTCAGGGATCTAGAATGATCAAGGTCAAAGCTCTTATAAAGTACTTTAAAACCACGAGCTCTACAGGATCTATAAAAGAGAATGGAGAGCCCTTTCCTGTCCTCTACCCCATACAATGCTTTAAATCAGCTAAGTATAGTGACATGGTGTCTATGGTATATGAGGCATGACTGCAGGATTTTTTGTTTTGAATAGGGAATGCTAAACACCTGAGATTACCACAGTCTTTTATTGGAGAAAATAAGAACTACAGTTATTTTCTGTTCTACCCACTATTTTCCTTTCCATTAGGTCTTACTCTCCATTCATTCCCCATTCTAACAGAGCTTTTTGTAAAATGAGAAGGGTCTTTGCTGAGCAGATTTTAATGAACAAGGACTTGGTTATTCAACTGAAATTTAAATGGAACTCTTCCCCTTTGAATATTATAATACTTGGACTTTGGAGAAGTTGCAGATCTAAGAAGGCTGGCCCCCAGAGGTCAACTCATATACAAAGTTTGATCTTGGTTTTCAACCAACAGTACTATCGGCAGTTTAAGAGGTGAAGTGTAATGCTTGCCAAATTGATTAGCTAAGAATTATGGAAGTTCTTCATATATTAGTAATTTCTACACCTAGAAATACCAGTAAACATATAATACTAGGCATGATTTTTAAAAGATCTGACCTCCTTTTTTTTAATAGTCGAAAAGAATGGATAGCAAACTCTTAGAGAGGAATTGGGTATTTTATTATTAAAAGGTACAAGACATGGAGTCCTGAGGAGCATCTTTAGCCCTGATTATATTTCTTCTGGATATTATAGCCTTATCCTAAACCACTCATGGTATTTGGTGTCACATATTTTTGTGAAAATGAAAATGTTAAAACTGATCCATCTTGCAGTAAACGAGCATAGCGTCTTAGCTGAGAACCTGTGATGAATATCAGATTTGTTTTCCGCTGTAGCCCAGAGAGCAGTATGGGTTATGATTATGTCTTCCTATCTGGCCCACCCCTCTGTTTGTCTGCCAGTCACCTGGGGATTTATCTACATTCAGCATTAGCTGGAGAAAGGTGGGAGCCAAAATACTGTTGATATGTATGTGTATGCAAAAGTGCTAAACAAAGACAAGCTGGTGGAAAGCACCCATTCAGAGAACCAATAATAATCTTTTCTTCTTGCCCCTCTCACTTGCTTACTTTCAGCAACCACTGGAAAGGAAAGACAGCCAGAATAGTTCTCAGCACAGTGTTTCCAGCCACCGAAGCCTGCACACAGCATCCCCAAGCCACAGCACACAGGTGCTCCCCGAGTTCCCACCTGCAGAGGCCCAAGCTCCAGATCAAACTGACAGCTCTGGCCAGAAAAAACCAGATCCTTTTAAAATCTGGGCCCAGTCCAGGAGCATGTATGAAAACCGACGTGAGTAGCATCCTGGCCTCTGTCTTACCCTGACCCCTCCGCAGGGCTCTACCTTTCTCTTGAAGGTTATTGAAAATAGATGAGTTGCAGTGTGTAAACTGGGTAAAGTGAAATCCGCAAGATGCAAAAGTATCACAGAGGGAGTGGACTCTGCTGGCTATTCATGGAGTCTCCACTATGCCTTCACTTTGGGGAGGGGGTAGAAGTGGATGGTTATCACATAAATGCCCTGGGTAAAAATGGGTTTTTTCGTCCCTTCAGTTAAAAGGAATGGTAGATAAGAGCTGCTGTCTCATTAATTCTCCGAGTGGAGATTGTGATGTGCTCTGAGCACAAATCTGATATGCAACAGAACTTAAACATGTTTGACTGGGATTTTGGGCTAATGAGAAGAAATTAAATGCTTTTTAAGTGGTCTCTTGATTTTTAAAAATACTGGTAATTTTTTTTAACCATTATAATCTCTCTAAACATTCCCCATGAAAAGGAAAAAACCATAGCAGTGAGTGGTTGTGCTTTAATTACTTATCCAGTGCTTTACCTTTTCTATAAATATGAGCCAGTGATAGTATACTTTGTAACTTCTTGGCTTGTATAAACATAATATCACCCTCATGTTTAACGTCTTTTTATTATGAAATGATTTCCAAAAACTATTCACCATAAATAATATTCATTTATCTTACCAATGAAAGTTCCTAAAAATGCCTTAATTTTAGGCGATGCAAATTGATTGTTGTTGTTGGGTGGCTGTTTTCTGATGTTTTCTTATAATGGTCAGGGTGAGGCAGCTATGAAGGACAGATACCTCATTTTCTCTTTTTGGTATGGGGTAGGAGAGAGGTGTTGTGATGGTGGAGATTCGGTTTGTTGAAGGGTCTGGGAGAAGCTGGAAGAGTGAAGGGAATCATTTTGCTCATCCTCCCCTCAGCACAGGTTTCATTCCTAGCTGCAAATGTGGTCACTGCTCAGCAGGGTCCCCATCGAGAGTCGTGGCAGAGAGGTTGTGTGAGGTGTGGGTCCCTGGCCTCCCGTCCACTACACAGACTTGGCCATGCTGTGCTTCCTTTGCCGGCCGAGGTGCATGCTGAAAGTCGACTCCTCTGTGACCCAAGCAAAATGGGGCAGTGAGGCCAGCATCCTTGTCTGAGGAGGAAAGTTGGTCAGTCCACTGAATGATGCTCAGCAGTTGGGGGGCAGAGGTGAGCCTGGAGTCTTGCTGGTTATCAAATGTTAGGAGTCACTCAGGGCTTCATCCTTTTCCTCCTCAAGGGAGAAATATTACTGCCTTCTTGGTACCACAATGCATGGAATTAAATAGGCTGTTTTGGCTACAAGTTCACTCTGCTGACAAAAAGCCCACTAATTTGAGCAGGGACTTATTTAGTCGCTGGACTAGAAAGACACCCCTAAAGTACCCCTGAGGCCTGACTAAAGGAAATGAAGTTCCATTTGGAATGACCTCATATGCAGTGGATGCTAACCAGGAACCAGGTTCTGTCCTCATTGTGTCTCCTCGCTCACTGTAGTGATTTCACTGAAGAAAACCATTTAAGAGATATTTCCAAAGAGGAGCGTTTTCACATTCCCCGCGCATTTCTCTCTGAGCTTGTGGCTCGTCCAGTCAATGGCCCAACTTCAGTTAATGTTGAGATATTGCTTTATTGACCGAACTCCTGCTCTCCTCAATACAGTACACATTTATGATTGAGTTTTCCTGTATGAATCTTTTTGTGATAAAATGAATTGCATTCTGAAGGGCTGGCGGGGGCGTCCTGGGTTGACAGGACAATTGTAAAACATCCGTTTAATAGAAGGCTCTTGCTCAAATGCCATTTTTACCCTGGTGGCGGCAAATTTTCTTAAGAATTTGACTTAATCAAATGTGTCTAAAAAGTTTTCACTAGGAAAAAAAAATTAGGAAAATATGTAATGTGGCCATAGCCAGCTACTGTAAGTACTGAAGTTGCTCAGGTGGCAGCCGGACTGAAATATTCGGGGCCAGGCGCCACGGCTCAGTCATATAATCCCAGCACTTTGGGAGGCTGAGGCGGGCGGATCACGAAGTCAGGAGTTGGAGACCAGCCTGGCCAATATGGTGAAACCCCGTCTCTGCTAAAAAATACAAAAATTAGCCGGGTGTGGTGGCGTGCGCCTGTAGTCCCAGCTACTCGGGAGGCTGAGGCAGGAGGCATCACTGGAACCTGGGAGGCGGAGCTTGCAGTGAGCCGAGATCATGCCACTTGCACTCCAGCCTGGGCGACAGAGCGAGACTGTCTCAAAAAAAAAAAAAAAAAAAAAAAAAAATTCGGAATGGTGCCAGTTTTGTTCCTTCACTTTCTTTAACATCTAAGGAATCGGATAGAGCAGCACAAATGAGAACCTGTTCCTTTTTGGTAATTGGAGTCTCTGTAGTTGACGGATAGATAGTAGCAACCTAATTGATGTTAACATTCACATGGATTTCTTCCTCACTACTAAATGAGGATAATGATGAGACCTCCCCCTGGCCCCCATGGTAATTATTCAGTATCTGTCACAGATTTTCTTATTTTCACAGCACCTAGGAATGATCGTGCATCAATCTCGTCTTTGAATCAGTATTTTTCTTTATCTGAGATCAGTTTCTGCCATTCTCTTAGGTTGTTTTGTATCTTGTCTTTCAAAGAGAAAAAAGTGTATAGCCTTGTTAGATGTGATTCCCTGCCCCCTCCCCCCAAGACAGTAAAATGAGCAGAGTAATCCAGGAAAAACAGGAAAATTGAAGTCAGCAACAGCAGCTTAACTGTGCCATATTACCCTCTTTTTGTTGGAAATACATTTTTCTTTTTCTTTTCTTTTATTAGGGGCAATGTGGAGATTAACACAATCTGTGAACGCATTCCTTCACATGGTCTAAATGTGTTGCAATGTACCATATTTTTGATATGGCCATCTCTCAAGGCAGCAGTATTAGAATGAATCAGTCTGAATTACAAATGTGTTCATGAATCCTTTTGAAGGGTTTCAATGTTTAATTAAAAACAAAGACGAGCACTGAAGTCCTTTAAAAGCCATGTTGCCTGTTTTATGGTTTCTCTAGAATTGTGCACATCTTAAAAACGACAGCGATGCAGTGTTATTAGTAAATGTTTAGGAAAATCAGATCCTATCCAGTAGCATTTACTACAAAAGAAATTATAAGGCTTATAGTTGAAACTTTGCCTGTTCACTATATAGTTTGGAAAGAAAAAACTGAAAACTGTCCTATTAACCAACATTGTAAATCTGTCCTGCCTTGGAGAGACATGCTTACAAGTTTGGAAGTGGCGATTGAGCTTCTTTATCATAGTGAGCTTAAGAAGCTTGGATATACCTCCAGATTTTAAGAGCAATTATGAGTTTGTATTTGTGTGTTTGTTCAGTTCTCGGATAGATCCATTGATCTGCATCTCTAAATATAAGACTATTCTGGCTTGAAATGCTTAGAATTCACCTGAACAGATATTAGTACAAGAATGAATTTCATCCTGGACTTGATACACTTTTGAATAAATGCTGTAGTATAGTGGTAGCACAAATATACTTAAATTTTTCAAAAAGCAATAAGGTTTTAGACAAACCATGATTGAAGTAAGGCCATTCAAGAATGTGTACTTTAGAATGTCATTAAATAAGGAGAGTTTAAGATAGTAATAGGAGTTATAGGAAACTCTCAGTGGTGCAATTGTAAATTCTACCTTTTTTACAAGTAAAGCACTGTAAAAAAAAAAAGAAAGAAAAAATGGAATCAAACTATAGTCTTTTAACATAACAGCCATGACCTTTATTGTGAAAGCTGAACTGACTGTTCCTTATCAATCAAAACTAAATTAAAGTGAACTAAGAGAAAGAATGTACATTAAGCTTTGCAAAATTGTGAAATTAATATTCCAGCTATGTCACCTTCACCTGCGTCGGGATTGAGCAAGGGTGAGAGAGAGAGAGAAATCAATTCCACGAATTTTGGAGAATGTCCGAGTAAGGATCCGCTGAAAACTTTTGTCTCTCCGTTTTCATTCATCTTGTTTGATGTTCTCATTGGTCTGGGGGCCTGGGGAGAAGTTCAGAAAAGAGAGGGAAGAAAAAAGGGGCATGAAGGGAAGTGCTTTGGAGCTCTTGTTGACCAAACGCAAACCAAAGACAAGATGGAATAAAAAGGGTTTTGCATGCCCTTGTCAAGTCTGGAAATGTGTTAGTTTGTCTGTAGTAATGGAGACACCAGGCAGTTTCTTTGCAAATCTGGTGGGTCCATTCTTTCTAATTATCAAAGGAAGTCTTTTGACTGCTTTATTGAATTGTCACTGGCATTACCCAAAGGAGACTAACTGCAGAAACTGTTCATATGCAGGGGCTTACAAATGAAAATTGGACAAGGTTTTCTTAGCTCTATTTGATTTAGCCTCACTCAAAAAAAGTGATATTAATATTGGGAAAATGGTTCTACCTTACTGCCGCCTAAAAACTTAATTCTAATAAAATCTGCCTGAAGTAAGGAAGAAAACCATTTTGGGGGAAGTAGTTTAGAAACTTCAATGCCTCTAAGAAGAGGTGGCCTCAGAGGACACAGAAGAGAGAAATTTTATAATCCCATAATGTGTTTCAGTACTGATTTATTGCCAAAGTTATAAATTGGGGTAAATGGCATTTAGTTGGTAGAAGAGTAGAATTCTTAAAATACCAAAATTAAAGTAGCAAGACTTTCTTTGTAACGTGTCTGTGTGTCGACGTTTATGTCTGTGTTTTCTGGCTCACTCTTGTGTCTTTAACATCCCTAGTGTCAGTGGGCATCTTCCTTTTCAACAGAAAACCTTTAAATAAATTTGCCATTTACCACTGATTCTCAGAAGGAAACGAAGCTTTTTTTTTTTTTTTTCCATGTGGCCTAAACGGTGTGATAAGCCTAAATCTGTTGGCCACAACCTCCCATACCATGCTAGCTCACACCTAAATGAGCAACAGTAGGCAGAAACTTGTTACATTTGGTGTCACTGTAGGATGGGCAAATGTTCTGGTGTTAAATGATGCTGAGAAAAATGGGTCTGGGCTGGAAGTCTCTGCAGAGGCCCTTTCGTTGTTCCCAGAAAAGCCACACACTCAGCAGACCTAAAACAGACTCTGCCAGGAGCCCAGTGCTGGCTGGAAAGCACCAGTGGTCTATTTCAGTAATAATCCTCTTGCTTGAGTGACTCAAAGACGGAGACACAACTTGATTTAATTTGTTGTTTCATTGAGGCTATTACAGCAAATATCCTGTAGCCAGCTACTCGAACAGAAAGAAAATATTGTTACCTTAGCGTGCTCAAGAAAATATTACTCTCAAATTGTGTTTATGGGAGTCCTGTGCAGTAGCTTAGCTCCATGTTCTGGGTGTTTTGCAGCTTAGCCTCAGCAATTATAATAAAAGCAGTGGATAGAAAGCACCCATTTACAGCCCTGGCACTGAGATAGCTCAAGTAAAAAGATCAGATTCAAACTCCTCTGACTTGTACTTACTGGTCACTTGGTTTCTTCTCTGTTGGTGTATTCATTCACTATACATTTTAAGTTTGTGGGTGAATCACTAAAAAGGGACATCTCTTCGCCAACCTAAAATCTAAACATCCACCTTCTTCTTCCCTATTCCATTGTACAAAACTGGAGAAGAAAAGAATTAAATTCTCAGGCCTGCGCTTTCCTTCAGCCCCAAATCCAGTTAATTAAATAAGAAGGTATGCACTATAGCATTTGAAAATCTCCTTTAGGATTCACTGCAACTGAAATATATATTTTTTCTCTTTAAAAAAATGATATATCATTTTATAGGTCATAAAACACCCTATGTATACATTAAAATATTACGTAAGAATTAAATAGAAATAACTCTTTTACTTTAGTGAAGTAACAGAGTGGTGTATAGAACAATTTCATGTATAGTAAGTATTTTCTTATGGAAATTGCATTTGTTTTAAAAAACAAGATATTCATTTTAAAGCCCTGGACCATTGCTGAGTATTGAAAGTAAAATATCAGGTTACTGGAAAATGAATTAATACTTTTAATGCTGAAATATCATAGGCAAATTCTAGAGTAAAGCAGTCATTTTGGCAATGAGATATATGATTCATTAACATAGACTTTTTGTCATCACCATTGATCTTAAGGATTTGGAGGCCTGGCTGATTTTGGTAATAGTATTGAAATCCTAATAAAATTTGTACAGTCACCCCTCAGTGTCTGCTGGGGATTGGTTTCAGGACACCCGCATCCCCCACCAAGGATATAAAAATCCATGGATGCTTAAATCCCTAGAAAATAGCCTAATATTTGTGTGTAACACACACACACACACACACACACACACCCCTTCCTATATTATTTATTTGTTTGTTTGTTGTTTGTTTATTTATTTGAGACAGGGTCTTACTCTGTCACCCAGGCTGGAGTGCACTGGGGCAATCATGGCTCACTGCAGTCTCAACCTCCCTGGCTCAAGTGATTCTCCCACCTCAGCTCCCGAATAGCTAGGAGTACAGGCACACACCACCATACCTGGCTCATTTTTTATTTTTTGTAGAGACAAGGTCTCACTATGTTGCCCAGACTTGAATGCCTGGGCTCAAGCGATTCGCCTGCCTTGGCCTCCCAAAGTGCTGGGAGTGCCACTGTGAGCCACTGCACCCCACCTCCTATATACTTTAAATCATCTCTACATTACTTATGACATCTAATACAATGCAAATGCCATGTAAATAGTTGTGATACTGTATTACTTAGGGAATAACGAGAAGAAAAAAATCTGTACGTATTCATCACAGCTAAAACCATTGTAGGTCTAACAAATTTTCTATCTGTGATTGGTTGAATCTAAGGATGCAGAACCCACAGATATGGAGGACTGACTGTATGCAGAAATACTAGGATGTTTTAGAGTAATTTTTGGCAAAAATGATCTAACAAAGCCTATTAGCATTGCTAGCCTTAATTATTTTAAGGAAGAAGAAAGTGACTTAAAGATAAATCAGAAAGTCTGTTTAAACCAAGCTGTTCTCTTTCATCCTCTAGTAGAGGAAACATCTGGTGACTTAACATGACTTCCGAATCCTTAGATCTGGCTTCAGAGGTGACTCTGACTTAGCCTGAGTGTTCTTGGACATGGACACCTGCTTTGTGGTGTGGCACATAATAATTTTAATTTACTTAATTCTCCTTGCAAGAATACTGAGGAAAGCAGTTAATGCTGACTATTTGTAGTTAAGGATCATGGCTTGGGCTTGATTCGGAATTATCAAACAGTGATGGGTCCTGTGAAGAACTTTAGGGCTCAGTGACTATTCCCACTGTTTATCCCCGTGTCTTCCATTATTTCACCTGTTCAGAGTATTTTGTTTCTTTGCCTATATTGAAAATCTTCCATCTGATCAAGCACCACCATTCTTGTCCTGCAACTGTGTTCATCTTGGGGGTATCATTGCTTTTATCAGTAAAATAATCCTTCTCTTTTTTCTCCCCTCTCTGCAGTTCCAGATTACCAGGAACAGGACATCTTCCTCTGGAGAAAAGAGACTGGATTTGGATTTAGGATTCTGGGTGGAAATGAACCAGGGGAACCTGTGAGTCTTTTGCTTGTCTCTCTTCCCAGCATATTTTTCTAAGGCTTCAAAGCAAATTGGCGACAGTGACAAATCACCAAGATTTAAGTCCAGCTAGATGCAACACTGACTCTTTAATCTTGAGTAGTGTGGGTTTCTCATTGGGTTTTGTGGAGCTCTCTTTGTCTTGAGGAAGAAGAGACTAGATTCTTTCTAAAAAGTTTGTATGAGTGTTTGTGAAAGGTGGGAGCTGCCTCTGTAGACCACCCCTTTTCCCCCAAGGGAGATGAAAACAGAAAGCAAAACAGGAATAGGCATCACCTAATATCACAGTGGCCTGGTCCTTCTGGCCAGGTCCCTTCACTCTGCCAGCAGGTAGTAGGCTTTGTATGTTGAGTTGCTGGTGTGCAGAGAGTACTTCGCAAAGCCTTATGAGACAGTGATTGGAGAATGTCAGACCCCTGCCTTTACAAAACTTGAGAAAGAACCCTGAGTAAGGGTCAAGAAACATTGAACTTCCCTGGGCCTCAGTGTCCTCCATTTTGGAATAAATTTAGAATAACATAACAGGGTTCCTTTGAAGGAAGAAAAGAAAACTGAAATAGGTATCGTTAATTTCCTTGTGGTAATAACAGCCATTATTCATCGAGCGCTTACTATGTGCCAGGTTCTGTGCTAAAGGCTCTTAACATACATTCTCTCATTTATCCGTCAAACCCACCAGTTTATCCCGTTTTCACATCAAGGAAAAGAAAGGCTAACTAACTTGCCCAAGATCGCAGAGCTACCAAATGGAGGGACTGACAAATAAGGTCTGACTCGAGTTCATGTTCTTAGCAACTATTTTGTCAAAGTTCTTTGTAAACTATAAATGCCACGTAAAGGTAGCTATAGCATTATTGTCTGCTGGAAAGGCAAGGCAGGCACAAATATTTTAGCTAAGGTTTAGTGAATGGCAAATATAACAGCAAGACACTAACTATAAAGAGTGCTCTGCTTTCGGGTGCTAAAAGACTTCAAAAATGGAGATGTCCAACCAACTTTTGCTTCATTCATTCATTTAAGAGTATTTATTACAGATTCCCTATTCCTAGGCATGATGCTAGACCCTTAAATAAAAGTAATATTAATATTTTAATTAGCAGAGTTTTATGGAAAGAGAGTTTTTAGGTAGCTACCAAAGAAGAATAGGGTATATAATGAAGGGAGAAAAGTAATTTATATCTGCAAAGGGGAAAAAGAGAGTGAGTCATCAATAGGCCACAGATAAACATCTGGAAACTAAGCAAGAAATACTCTTTCCACCATTTAAGAATTGTTGCAGTGCTTAGCACAATGTCTTGTACACAGTGGGTGCTCAATAAATGTTTGCGGCATGCCTGCAGACATGAATGAATGAATTGTTCCCAGAGATGTGAAGGCTATTGATGTAACAGTAAACATAGGAGAGCAATGTTTCATCCATCGTTCAATTACTCAACAGATTTATATTGGTCACATCGTACCACTGGGTGCTGCTGATACTGACGGCCGCCTGAGGTCTGGAGATGAATTAATCTGTGTGGATGGGACGCCAGTAATTGGAAAATCACACCAGCTTGTGGTCCAGCTTATGCAACAAGCTGCCAAGCAAGGCCACGTCAATCTCACGGTGCGGCGTAAAGTGGTTTTTGCGGGTATGTATTTCATTCATTCCTTCAGACAGTGCGTTGTCACTTTATTCACAGAAAAGGCCTCCTTCCTGTGTCTGCCTCCTTGAGCGTCTATTTTAGCAAATGTTTGCAAATGTGATCAAGCTCAGAATTTCCAGATGGCTTGCTTCTCTCAAACCCTGCAAAAATTACTGTCATTCTAAAGTACTTTAATGTGCCGTTTGCATGTGTTCAACAAAGGCTTCCAGAGGAAGGCTAGTTGAATATATATTACTTCCCTTCTATCTCCTTGCAAATCAGAACTTAGCCATCCTCTTCATTTGATGCTAATCCTCAGCAAATGAGGTCATTATGAAAGTCAGAAGAGTTGTAGCTTCATATCAAGGGAACAAAAATCGGGTTTGTGCTACAAAATAAGCTCATAAAAAAGTTACTGATTTCTTACTGTCCTATGTATTAAACCAAGATTTTTTTTTTTTCTTTCTACAAGAAAGTTGTAGAGCTGGCCAGTTCTAGGTCAGCTTTGATTCCTTCTTCCTGCCCATAAGCTTTGAACTTTAATTCTCAAAATACTACATATCCTTTCAGGCTCAGCTCAAATATAACTTTCTTCCCTTGGAAATTCCTCCTTCCTCCAACTGCCTTCAGATTTTAGCATTCCCTCCTTGCCATTCTAGTGACTCATGGTTTACTGCTGTATCAGAATCTGCCATTTTGAGACAGTGAATTGTGTGAGTGTTTGTCCTTTCCCTTGAAAGCTCACGTTGAACACACCTTGGTTGTTCACCTTTGGATGCAGCTCCCACCTTGAAACCTTTAAGGCAGAACCCAGAGTGCAGCAGAGGTGATTGTCTTCTATCAGTGGAATTACTGGAGAAATATGACCTGAAATATTATGAATTCTCTTGGCATTCATATTAGTGAAACAGATACCTGTCAGATAAAATTAATTGGTAACTTCTTTTAAAAAAAAAGAGTATAACCCATTTTAAATGGTATATGATTAATTATAGAATTAAGATGTTAAATTCCAGTGTGTTTGTGACCTCACAATCCTTCTTAACATACTATTCCATGTAGCTAAAAGCAGTCAGCTGGAACGAGTTTTTGAGATGAGATGAAAACTAACTATCTCGCTTCCCTGGCCCAAATAGAAATAGTAAGGCAATGTGATTTTTTTTGTTGTTTCAGGTTTATTTTTTTAAATCTTAAATATTTTGGATTTTTAGCTCTGTGTAAAAGGCGTGTCAAATCTATGAAGAGACATTATGCAAGTGAACTAGTCACAAAAGGAGAAATATTGATTCCCTTTATATGAGATACCTAGGGTAGTCAAATTTATAGAGATAGAAAGCAGAATGATGGTTGGTGGGGGGTGGAGGAAATAGGAAGGGGAATTAGTTTTTAATGAGTACAGAGTTTCAATTTGGGAAAATGACAAAATTCTGGAGATGGATGATGATGATGGTTGCACAAAAATGTGAATGCACTTAATACCACTCAACTGTATGCTTAAAAATGGTTTAAAAATTTGTTATGCTTATTTTTCCAAAATTAAAACAATCTATGAAAAGAGAAGCTTTTGGAAATAAATACAGTCTGATCCAAAACTTGGACACAACACACATTTTGTTTTTTGGCATAGTTGGTTCCACCTACGGTGTTGGCTATTTAGGAGTGCTTTACCTTGCAGTCTGATGGTAACACTAGAACGGTGACTAAATTCAGAAGGAGGCCAGTGTATCCAGTTCTGTGATCAGAGTCGATGTTGACACCTGGAAGCTAAGAAGAGAAGCATGTGTATGTCTCACAGGTGTTGTCATGAACCCCACATAGGGCGGGTAGCCTCAACGTTACCATCACCTTACTGTTTGTCGCCTGATGGAAAAAGCTGGGTGGAAATGTGACTGGAAAGTAATGACAATGTGAACGTGCATCCAAGGTTGTATCTATGAAGCCAAGATGGCGGTCTTCACGGGTGTAGCCCTCACCTACGCTTAGGCCCTTCCCTTTGTGCAATGGGGAAATATTTCACAGCAGGCCGATCTTGCTGCAGACTTGATTCTGAGTGTGGATGTCGACATATAGCATGCTATAAACAACAAACGCTATTTGGGAGTCCCATTTGGTGTTAGGTGGGATCAATGTTCGTAGATACTGAATGGTTAATATTTGTCAAGAGAAGCTGCTTTCAATCCGTATATCCAGGTATTGTGAAACCAGGTGCTGTCTCCTCCCCTCGGTTCACGTTTTGATTTCTAGCAGGAGTTGCTGGAAGGAGGGAGGGGCAGCAGGATGGAGGGGCTGCAGGACACGGTGATGTACGCGTGCATCTCTCTGCTACAGTGCCCAAAACCGAGAACGAGGTGCCCTCGCCAGCCTCCTCTCATCACAGTAGCAACCAGCCGGCCTCGCTGACAGAAGAGAAGCGCACTCCGCAGGGCAGCCAGAACTCGCTGAACACGGTGAGCTCGGGCAGCGGCAGCACCAGCGGCATCGGCAGTGGCGGCGGCGGGGGCAGCGGCGTGGTCAGCACCGTGGTGCAGCCCTACGACGTGGAGATCCGGCGCGGGGAGAACGAGGGCTTCGGCTTCGTCATCGTGTCCTCGGTGAGCAGGCCCGAAGCAGGCACGACCTTTGGTGAGTGCTGAACGTGAAATTACCCAGGGTTTCCCACCATGCCTGGGAGTTTTTGTTCTCTTGCGAGTGAAAGCTGACTCAGACCTCACGTGCAGAAATGCTTTATAGCTTCTTGCTCTGGGTAATTAAAGACTTAATTGGAGATGGAGTTGATTTGGTAGCTTTTTCCCTTTTGAAGGTTGGGAATATTTGTTCAACCCTTTCAACTTCCACACTGAGAATGTGATCACGCATACACAACTTAAAGCATACATCAGATTTGCGTGAAATTTGAATAGCAGCCGGGCGCTGTTGCTCACGCCTGTAATCCCAGCACTTTGGGAGGCCGAGGAGGGTGAATCACTTGAGGTCAGGAGTTTGAGACCAACCTGGCCAACGTGGTGAAACCCTGTCTCTACTAAAAGTACAAAAAGTAGCTGGGCGTGGTAGTGCATGCCTGTAATCCCAGCTACCTGGGAAGCTGAGGCAAGAGAATCGCTTGAACCTGGGAGGTGGAGGTTGCAGTGAGCCGAGATTGTGCCACTGCATTCCAGCCTGGGTGACACAGCGAGACTCTGTCTTAAAAAAAAAAAAAAAAGAAAAGGAAAGGAAAGAAAAGAAATTTGAATAGGAACCCCTGGACAGCATACAGAGTCTACAGTTTTTGCCAAAGCAAGGCTTTCGAAAGGTCTTGAATAGGATAGCACTAATTGCAAGGGCCTCAGAATGGTCTTAAGAATGTCTTAAGAGTTTTTACAAGGAGCATACGGCTGTAAAAATGCTCTAGGAAAAACAGAGGTGTAAGGAGTAAAAATACTACATGAGATGCTAGTCTGCCTCATCTGTGTTCTTTCTCTACTCTATCCCCATAGGAATTTTTTTTAATTTTAAATAATATTTTTACTGTTGCTTGATTTAAAGTCTGGTTAAAATCTGAGTTAAGAGTCATTCGATTTTCCTGTCTCGTCCAGACATTGAGGGTTTCAGCAAAGTATGGAGAAACACAGTTGTCACTTTCTCAGAAGGATTCACTCTCTTCTGGGTACACTAGCAAAGACCAATAGAAACCCAGATGATTGCAGAAACTAGTGATATATGAATCTGCTTCCCATTGCAATGGATTGATTATAGATGTACACTCCAAAAATGATCCACCTTCCTGATTGGGTAAAAAGTCATTTGTTATCTCCCAAGCACATTTGTTACTTACTATGGAATACAATGGGAGAAGGGGAAGGGCTGTGCAGGCTGTGTGGGCTTTTCATGTACCTCAGCTCTATCCCTGAATGACTTATCCACATGGAAACTGGCTAGAATCAGCAAGGTGCTACAACCCTTTAGCATTCTCATCCAGTAGAGCTCACTTGGCCTCCATTTAATCCTGGTGTGTTGCTTCCTGCTGGAGCTGTCTCCCCGTAAGTTTTATGTTTAACAGGGGACAGTGACTCAGCCAGGTCTATGCATGTGTGGCTGCAGTAACAAACGCCTATTACTAACAGTGCTTTTTGAGCTACATTAATAAAGTCATCATAGCATGTCATGGATGGATGACCTGACATCAAAGCAAGGTTTTTTGGTTTTGTTTTAAAATTAATTTCAGAGACTTTCTTGCTTAATATAAAAATAAAGAGAAGGAAGAGGGGAGAAAGAAATCCCAAATTATTTTCTTCAGATCTACAGTTTGACTGTCTCCATGCATCCTGTGACGTTCCTAACTATTTCAGAATTGTCAGTTTCACCTTCTAGAAAGAAATAGCAAATATGTCAAGTGGCAGGTTATGTGTTATATAATGAATATTGTATTCACACTCACAATTTGGTCTTTGATTGTTTTCCTTTGGCTCTTACAACGAACAAATTAAACTTTCCCTAATACCTTGCATGAGGCTTCTGAGCTTTGCTGAGCTTTCCTCAGACCTGCTGTTCGATACCTTTGTTATACCAATTGTCCTTGGAGATCAACTAAACTTAGTCAAGACCTTGAATTTGAGTATGGGAGCATTCCAGCACACCTACCTATTGTATTCTAATAGACTGTTAACTTTTAAAAATTATCTTACCTTGGTGTTCCATTCTGTGATACAAGCTCAGGCAAATCTGCTGAAATTCAAAGGAATTAAAGTGCATTTTCCCACACACTTTACCCTTAAGGTCCAAATCATGACAGAAGAGCCTACTCAGTTAGTTGTAATGTCCCTCATGTTATTTGTCACCCTTTCCAAAAGGTAACTCAACTGCATAACTACCTTCATAGTCCCCAGAAAGACAAATTCTCAAAGTAGGTGAATATGCATAAGAACTTTGAAACTCAATACATGATTAACTAGATTAACCAGAAATCCTATGTCAGGCCTCAAAGCCAGCCACCTCTCTCTAGAAGTTAGCAATGACATGCAGTGCCTCAAAGTGCACGAATAAACCTTTCTCTCCAAATGCACTTTTCTCGGTCTTTGATATGGGTAACTGATGATGAGAAAGGAGATGATTAAAGGAAAAAGGGTGAGGAATGATTTGAACCTAGCTTTGGATCAATGTCCTCAGCCTGAATAGGTACTAGATTTTCGTAGTCCTTTGAGGGGATTTTTGTGAGGCAGCAGAATGATTTCAGAGCTAATGAACCAGTCAGGCCACGCTCTGAAAGCACATAAGACTAGCTGCTTGAGCAAAGGTCCTAAAAGGAAAAATAAGCTTCAAGGTTGGGTGCTTTCTTGGCTCATCTCTTATAATTACACCCTTTTTCTAAAGCTTTCATCATTCTGGGGAGAAGGCAGAAAGTCTGAGTGTTTGTTCATCAGGTGTTTTCAGATTGAATTTTTGGTGCTAGCAGACTCTTATGCCTCACCAGATGCCCAGTGATTATTTTTCTAAACAGAGAAAGAACAAAACATTGGCAGAAGCTTAAACAACAGCTGGCAAAAATGAAGTGACATGAACACAGAATGAGTAAAAGCATCCATCCCAGCCTTGGGTTTCACATTTGCAGTCCCAAAATAAGCGAACAGCCAGTTATTTTGGGGCTCTTAAAAATCTTTGAAGTTGCCAACTATCCCAAATTTTGTAATTGGTTTAAGGAGGAAAGCTGGGGATTCCCCTAATTTTGAATCTGGAAAGGATGGCAGCAATGAATTCTAGTTTCAGGGCAGTAGCTCCTTATACAGACACCCTGAGTATTGCCAATGTTTTGACCATCGGTGCAGAGCTCTCCTTTAATAACATTTGCTTAATGCTTTAATTTATTAACACTTAACCTTCTCTTTCCCTTTTCAACCCTTTTTCTCTTCCCTTTGCTATATTCCCACGTAACTTTAAAAAAATTAAAACTCAATATCAAAGCAGGCAATGCATGTGTGGCTATGCCTCACAAAATAGGTCGGATTATTGAGGGGAGCCCTGCTGACCGCTGTGGCAAGCTGAAAGTAGGAGACCGGATCTTGGCAGTAAATGGATGTTCCATCACCAACAAATCCCATTCAGACATTGTGAACCTAATCAAGGAAGCGGGAAACACAGTTACCCTCCGCATCATTCCTGGGGATGGTAAAGTATACCTATTATCTCTCTCTCTCTCTCTCTTTTTCTCTCTCTCTGTCTCTGTCTTTTCCTTTTCTCTTTCTCTCTCTTTGATTAGTGTTCGTGTAACTGAATAGTATTAATTTAGTGGCAGCTTTATTCATCCCTAACTAAATATACCCATCAGGTAAACGTGAGCCATTGTTACTAACCCATACCTCACCCTCTTGTGTAATTAATCCTGTAGCCCTGTGACCCTGTGTTGCTGCAAATATAAAAGTTTCAGGCCGGGTGCGGTGGCTCACGCCTGTAATCCCAGCACTTTGGGAGGCCGAGGCGGGTGGATCATGAGGTCAGGAGATCGAGACCATCCTGGCTAACACGGTGGAACCCCGTCTGTACTAAAAATACAAAAATTAGCCGGGCGCGGTGGCGGGCGCCTGTAGTCCCAGCTGCTCGGGAGGCTGAGGCAGGAGGATGGTGTGAACCCGGGAGGCGGAGCTTGCAGTGAGCTGAGATCGCACCACTGCACTCCAGCCTGGGCGACAGAGTGAGACTCCATCTCAAAAAAAAAAAAAAAAAAAGTTTCAGAAAAATCTTCACCCTTTCCTCAACTTATTTAGCTTTTTGTGTCCTTGTCTTCAACACTATAAAATAGTTTTAATACAGGTGGTACAGATCCTCTGATATGTATAATATGAGCTGTATTATATGGTGACATGAGAAAACCTGCATGGTGGCAATTCAGAGCCAGTACTATGGTTTTTTAGAATAAGTGAATATATCAAAGTTTTTCATTTAATGGGAGAATCTAAGAGTTTGTGTCTACTGGATTTTCCCTAATTTTTGGATGTGAATGAAGAAAGAATGAAATCTCTATATTTTTGATAAATTGTATCTGCATTAAACTAGGCCTGTCCTTATTTGTTTTTGTGATTAGTTAAATTCAAATCTTTGGTTCTTTTATGTAAGTGGTGATTCTGCCCCCCAGGGAACATTGGCATTGTCTGCAGTGGGTGTGAGTAGCATCTAGTTAGGTCAGACATGCTTCAAAACATCCTACAGAACACAGAACAGCCCTCACAATAAAAAGTTACCCAGCACAAAATACCAATACTCATTGTATTATTCATGTTTAATAAAAATTAAGTTGAGGCTGAATGCGGTGTCTCACGCCTGTAATCCCAGCACTTTGGCAGGCCAAAGCGGGTGGATCACCTGAGGTCAGGAGTTTGAGACCAGCCTGGCCAACATGGTGAAACCCCATCTCTACTAAAAATATAAAAATTAGCTTAGCGTGGTGGCACATGCCTGTAGTCCCAGCTACTTGGGAGGCTGAGGCAGAAGAATCGCTTGAGCCTGGGAGGCGGAGGTTGCAGTGAGCCGAGATTGCGCCACTGCACTCCAGCCTGGGCAACAGGGCGAGACTCATCTCAAAAAAAAAAAAAAAAAAAAAAAGTTAAGTTGATACACTAAGGCCAGGAAGTATAGATCCTTTAGAGAATTAGTTCCTGAATATTCACTTTATTCTAAGCTGACTTTGCTCTTGGGAGGAAGGTGACACTTGTCCCAAAATGTTTAAATGTCTTTTTTCAGTCTTGCTATACATGTTATAAAATATATATTCTAAAAGTGAGTATTTCTCAAGAAAAAATCTAGTTTATGAAGATAGTGTGATAAAAACTCTATGCCATGTATCTATAAAATAAGAAAATTAGGGTTTCATCTGAAAGTTATTTACCAAATGAGTATTTTTATATACTAACTGCTAGAAAGTGAACTTTATAGTTCAAGATTTGAAAGGTATAGCCGGTGCCTTACGGAAAAGGTAAATGCAAAACCAAACAGTAAAAATTTAAAATTGTTGATTCCAAGAACAGAGAACTTTCTCTGCACCAAAAATATCCCACACTAAATGTGGAGGAAAACACTGGCCTCTTGAATGATGATCTACTTGACCCTCCTTCAAATGCATGGTTAGTCACTTACCAACTGGTCTGGAGTTCATTCCACCAATTCACCACTCTGGAAAGCTGTTACAATTTAGGAAAGTGGTCACAAGATGATAGAACATAGGTTCCTAATAGGAAGGATGAAGGAAGCCAGAAAATATAGTGAGAAGTGATTGAGAGAGCCAAATGCGGTCCAGACATCCCCCCTTTCATTGCACTTCATTTTATTGCGCTTTGCAGGTACTTCATTTTGTACAAATTGAAGGTTTGTGGCCACCCTGCTTCGAGCAAGTCTGTCAGTGTCATTTTTCCAACAGCGGGTGCTCACTTTGTGCCTTTGTGTCACATTTTGGTAATTCTCACAATATTTCAAGTTTTATTAGTATTAATTATTATTATATCTGCTGTGATGACCTGTGATCTCTGATGTTACTGTTGTAATTGTTTGGGGGTGCCACAAACCATACCCACATAAGATGACAAACAATAAATGTCATATGTGTTCTGACTGCTCCACTGACTGGCCATTCCCCATCTCTGTTCCTTTCCTCGGGCCTCCCTTTTCCAAGATAAAGCAGTATTGAAATTAGGACAATAAATAACCTTACAATGGCCTCTAACTCTTCATATGAAAGGAAGAGTCACACATCTCTCACTTTAAATCAAAAGCTAGAAATGATTAAGCATAGTGAGGGAAGGCATGTCAAAAGCTGAGATAGGCCAAAAGCTAGATCCCTCATGCTAAACATTTATCCAAGTTGTGAATGCAGAGGAAAATTTCTTAAAGGAAATTAAAAGTGCCACTCCAGAGAACACATGGATTTTAAGAAAGCGAAACAGCCTTATTGCTGATATGGAGAAAGTGTGAGTGGTCTGGATAGAAAATCAAACCAGCCACAACATTCCCTTATGCCAGAGTCCAATCCAGAGCAAGTTCCTAACTCCTCAATTCAGTAAAGGCTGAGAGAGGGGAGAAAGCTAGAGAAGATACTTTGAAGCTAGCAGAGGTTGGTGCATGAGATTTAAAGAAATAAACCATCTCCGTAACATAAAAGTATAAGGGGAAGCAGCAAGTGCAAATATAAAACTGCAGCTAGTTTTCCAGCGGATTTAATTATTAAGATCATGGATGAAGGTGGCTACACAAAATGACAGATTTTCAGTGTAGACAAAACAGTCTTCTATTGAAAGAAGATGGTCATTTAAGACTTTCCTAGCTAGAGAGGAGACATCAATGCCTAGTTTCAAAGCTTCAAAGGACTGGCTGACTCTCTTGTTAGGGGCTAATGCAGCTGATGACCTTAAGCTGAAGCCAGTGCTCATCTGGCTATTCTGAAAATCCTAGAACCTTTCAGAATGATGCTAAATGTACTCTGCCTGTGCTCTAGAAATGGAACAACAAAGCCTGGATGACAGCACATATGTTGTGCTGTGGTTTATTGAGTATTTTAAGCCCACTGTTGAGACCTACTGCTTAGGGGAAAAAAATTTCTTTCAAATATTACTGCTCATGGACAATACACCTGGTCACCCAAGAGTTCTAATGGAAATGTACAAGGAAATGAATGTTGTTCTCATGCCTGCTAACACAGCATCCATTCTGCAACTCGTGGATCAAGAAGTCATTTTGACTTTTAAGTCTTACTATTTAAGAAATGTATTTTGTAAGGCTATACCTGCCATAGATAGTGATGGCTCTAATGGATTTGGAAAATCCATTTGGAAAGATTTGGAAAATCTTCTGGAAAAAAATTCACCCTTCTAGATGCCATTAAGAACATTTATGATTCATGGGAGACATGTTGACCTTAACAAGATTTTAGAAGAGGTTGATTCCAACCTTCATGGATGACTTTGAGGGGTTTCGAGACTTCAGTGGAGGAAGAAGCTGCAGAAGTTCCTTTGTGGTGGAAATAGCAAGAGAAGTAGAATTGGAAGTGGAGCCGGAAGATGTGACTTAATTGCCGTAATCTCATGATAAAACTTGAACAGATGAGGAGTTGCTTCTTATGGATGAACAAAGAAAATGGTTTCTTGAGATGGAATCTACTGGTAAAGATGTTGCAAACTTTGTTGAAATGACAACAAAGGGTTTTGATTATTAAATCAACTTAAGTTAATAAAGCAGTGGCAGAGTCTGAGAGGATTGACTCCAATTTCAAAAAAAGTTCTACTTAGGGTAAAATGCTATCAAACAGCAACATGCTGCAGAGAAATCTTTCATTGAAGGAAGAGCAAACTTCATTGTTGTCTTATTTTAAGAGGTTGCCACAGCCACCCAACCTTCAGCAACCACCACCCTGATCAGTCAGCAGGCATCAACATCAAGGCAAGACCCTCCATCAGCAAAAAAAGATTACAACTCACTGAAGGCTCAGGTGATCATTATTTAGCAATAAAGTATTTTAAAATTAAGGTATGTAGTGTTTTTAAACATAATGCCATTGCACACTTAATAGACTATAGTATAGTGTGAACATGAATTTTATATGCACTGGGAAGCCAAAGAATTTGCATGACTCACTTTACTGGAATACCTGCTTTTTTATTGCCATGATCTGGAACTGAACCCGTGATATCTCCGAGGTATGCTTTGTGTATGGATTTAGACACGTTTATCAACATGTCATGGAAAGATATCAAACAGACTAACCCAAAAGAACAGGACGCAGGGATTGACTTGCTGGGTTTATAATTGGTCAATCTTATTGTGGGAATGAGAACATCCAAAAGAAGGAAAGAAAGTACTCCCTGAGTGAAGAGCTTAGAAAAAGAGTTTGAAGTCAGTAAAGACATAAATACTCAGAAGCGACTTATTCTGCAGTGTAGATAGTAGATGTTGACTTAATTTAATAAAATACACAGCTGGGTGCAGTGGCACACGCCTGTAATCCCAGCACTTGTGGAGACTGAGGCAGGAGGATCACTTGAGCTCAGGAGTTCCAGGCCAGCCTGGGCAACATAGCGAGACGTCGTCTCTGCTAAAAATTCAAAACAATTAGCTAGGAGAGGTGGCTTGCACCCGTAGTCCAACTATTTGGGGCAACGGGCAGGATACGCTGGCGGGAGGATGGCTGGAGCCCAGGAGGTTGAGGTCGAGCTTCAGTGAGCCCTGATCATGCCACTGCACTCCAGCCTGGATGACAGACTGAGACCATGTCTCAGAACAAACAAAATAAAATACCCTGGAAAAAAAACTTTTAAGCCTGAACACCAAAAATTATCATGCAAGGTGGATTATCCAATAACAGTTGGCATTATAAAGGCAATTTTAAAATTTAAATATGTAGGAAATATAAAATTCACATAGACACCTTGTGCTACCTTGGTTAGAAACAAGTAAACATAAAACTGGTACAACATAGTTGAGGATTGATATTTTTTAAGGCAATACATGTTCTGCTGAGCATGTGATTTCATCCAAGATGTTTCAGGAATTTGGTTGATATGATAATAAGCCTCTTCTCTAGTTACTTTGTAAGTGCCAGAAGCCCGGTAAAGGGAATCAAGTCTGGCAGAGGGTGAATATGTGATGCTCAATTTTTTTTTTTTGAGACGGAGTCTCGCTGTGTCACCCAGGCTAGAGTGCAGTGGCATGATCTCGGCTCACTGCAAGCTCTGCCTCCCGGGTTCATGGTGATGCTCCTATTTTAAGTGGGTCTGAGAAACAGCATTTTGGAAATTAGAGTTGAAGCAGGGGAGTTAGATTTCTCAAAAGATGTGGGAGATCCAGGAGGATTTTGCAAACCCCCAGAAGACAAAGAGTGAGCATTACAGTTCAGTGAAGAGATAATCACACTGGATCCACTTCCTTTCTGTGAAAGCGTGTTGGACATAGTTGATTCCAAGGTAAAATGGAGGTGCCTATGCCTCAGGTCTCTTTCAGATTTTTTACTCGAATATTTACTTCATCAAGTGGCCCAAAAACCATTTGTTTCATGATATCTACAAGGAGACTGAAGGTCTTAACTCAGAGTGGTTTCTAAGCTCTTAGAAATCCATCACGTCTGGGGCCGGGCATGGTAGCTCATGCCTGTAATCCCAGCACGTTGGGTGGCCAAGGTGGGCAGAATGCCTGAGCTCAGGAGTTCAAGACCAGCCCAGGCAACATGGCGAAACGCTGTCTCTACTAAAATACAAAAAATTAGCCAGGCATGGTGGCGCGTGCCTGTAGTCCCAGCTACTTGGGAGGCTGAGGCACAAGAATTGCTTGAAACCAGGAGGCGGAGGTTGCTATGAGTCAAGATCATACCACTGCACTCCAGGCTGGGAGACAGTGAGACTGTGTCTCCAGAAAAAAAAAAAAAGAATCCATCACGTCTGGGACACTGTTCTCGAAACCCCAGCAGGCCCTTTGAAAAGATGCTCTGCCCTTTGTGCAGTGCGTGAGTCTACTCTGAGTCCATTTCCATGTCTAGTTCATGCTATCTAATTCTTTGCTCTTGTCATCGGTAGCCTTATTCTTTCTGCAGTTTCACTCATCTCAGTCTTTAGTTTCCCTCACTCTGCTTCCCACATTTTTCTCTGACTTTTCCAACAAAACCTCCAAAACGTGATTCCTCTTTCCTTGGCATTATTGTATGTTAGAAGGTCTGGCAGGAGTGTTTTCACAGCCTTGGTCAGGCCAAGGTTGGGGGAGTCCTTACCTTCATTGCTTTGATTCTCTTTGGGACCAGGGTGGACAATGGGGGAGGGCAGAACCTTCTCTCCTGTGAGATATGGGCAAGGGATGAATGAATAAATACACAATGGCAGCACAGAAGGGCCCAGAGAATAGCTGAACTTACTGAATCTGAACTTGAAATCTAAGAAGTCAAACAACATTTGCATTGTATGGAGATGCCCCATGGAGTGGGAGAGAGACTTTAATCAGACAAGGACAGAAGCTCCCTGAGCCAGGTAACATGGAACCATCAGATTGAATCAAGTTCAATATAATGAAAATCTTTAGAAGCTTAAAAATGCTTTATTTGAATAATGGTCCTAAATTTGCACTTCAGATCACTCTGATTCAAAGTATTTGCTTATGTAGGAGGTAGAGCTTGGCAACATATAGATATTGCTGTTTCCTTGGCAAAGGCATTAGAATAGTAAAAAGTCCCCCAAAACTTTTCAAATATTTATGGGATTCAAATTTCCCCATGCCGCCCTTAGATATTTATTACATACGTGTTTATCCAGTAAAATATTTACAACAGGAATAATTGTATCCTTTGTTGATTTGCTTGGCTTTCAATGTGGATTCCGTAAGGGGAGGCTGAGGATATTAATATGGGAACAAGGTTAGAATTGTAATTGCTTGTCACAGATAGATAGGTTGAAACCCAAGATGGAAGCTGCTGTTGGAAGAGTAAGTGCCGAGATTTGGAATAGTCCCTGGACAGGGCTGTGAGAGCTGGGATTTGCTTCTCTTGATACATGACTGCTATTGAAAGTGTAGTAATCTCCATTTTCACTCCTCTGGGAGAGCTAAAGTAGGTATAAACACTGTTTAATAAAGGATGTTGGGTACTTTCTGGAATTTGTCATAAAGTACCTAATCTGTCCATGTGCCTTGCAGTTTTAAAAGTCAAATACATTGACACCTCTTTCTAATACTGTTTCTGGAGGGCAGGGAGACTCATACTCTTGTTTCAGGCCCTTCTTTTATATTTTTTCCACCGTAAGTAGTCAATTTTGCTTTGGGATAAAGCTCTTTTTTATAATGGGCTCATCTTTATATTTTAAAGCGCTAGAGAGCATTTCAGCAAATACAATCCTGGTTTAATTCCAAATGAAGAAGTAAAAGTTCATTAAAACAAGCATAACTTTATTGATAGTATAAAAACATCCTGGAAATCTAGGGTATACCTAAAATTATTTTGGTGCTGCTCTGAGGATGGCTTATAAAATCTAGCCATCAAAGCAGGGTGTTTCATATTTTAATTCATCTCTGATACTGCTTGGTGAGGTTGGTAGTATTTATACAGTAAAATAAAATTATTTCTTTTTTGAAAGGAATGTTCCAATTAGATATGATTTCCTCAATACCAACACATGATTCCTACGTAAACCAAAAACTAAAAGTTCACTGTCAGGCAGGTCCTGGGTTTAATTCCCAGTATCTCCACCTGCTGCCTGAGTGACCTTAGACATATTACCTACATTTTCTACACCCCAGTGTCTTCATTTGTAAACTGGGGCCATAATTGCACCTATTTTATTGAGTGGTGAGAGTCAAATGAAGTATGTGGTAATGGACTTAGCACAGTGCTTGGCACGTTTAAACCATCCTTAAATGGTGGTGCTTCATAGATTAAGATAAACAACAAATGAGGAAAATTCAGCAAGGTCAAATCGACATTTCCATGCTAAATGTTAATTTTACTATGCTTAAAATTAAGCTTCAACCCAAAAAAGAGTTTCACAGACATACAGATGAGGAAAAAAAATAGCAAATAAAGGATGGGAATAAAAATAATAAAGGAATTCTGTGTATTGGGTGATTATCTCATCAAATTATGAAAGCAGCAGAAAAATAAAAATAATTTGAGAATGGAATCTGATCTGCTCAGAAAACTCTGGCTACCAACAACACACAAGAACTGTAAAGAGGAACCTCTGTACAATTCAATCATTATAATCACTTTGATTACAAGGAGACATTCTTTTTAGTATCCTGATTGTGATTTCCCCATGGCCTGAACAACCTGGTGATTTCTGAGAGTCTCCATAAAATTAATTGCAATGAGCAATATGAAGTTTGCTAAAGGACCAATACACGTGTTTATGAAAGTTCTGGAGAGTCACAGCGATGGGCTATACAGCTTGTTTGTCCTATTTAGTGACACAGTGAGCGTACTTTATAAAATATCACTGATTCATCACCTTGGTTCTGCTGGTTAACTGCCCTCAAATGGGAGTCATATGAAGGAGCTAGTTTTCCTCCAAAAGCTCTGAAAATAATTTGCTGTTAAAATAGCGTCATTAAAATATACGAACAATATGCTTTTAACATTATGATGACAATAATAAACACATGGTACCAAAAATATGCTAATCACTTCTGAGCAGTTTTTGTGTGCCAGGCAGTATTCCAAACAATCTTCTTGGATCATCTTTGCCCCAATTTCCTTAGATAATTCTCTTATTCCCAATGTGCACACGAGAAAACTGAGGCACTGAGAATTTAAGTAACTTTGCTTAAGTCCCATCCAGGAAATTGAAGAGCATAGAATGCAAAGTCAGATAAGACAGTCTGACTCCAGAATCTGACCTAGTCACCATTGTGCTAAACTGTCTCCCAGTAAGCCTGAGAAACACCACCTCCCCAGCTTGGACGGTCACAGGCATATTGGTGTAGTAAAGACTCAGAGGAGTGCATAGGAAATGATTGGTAAAACAGATTTTGGGAAACATTGTCCCAAAACATGAATGGGATTCACCTAACAATTCACTTGATTTAGTTATTTTCTTCTTACTCTTGTGCCTTAGCTAGAAGAATAATGGGCTTTTATGGCTGCAGTAAATTAACTGTTGAAATCATATTTCGACTTTCTCATTTTGCAGAGAGCTTAAATAACTTATACAAGGTCTCATAGTAATAAAAAGTAGTAGCTGTAATAAATGTGTATTGAGTGCTTATTGTATGTCAGGCACAGAGCTTAAACATTGCATATACTTTTATCCATGAGAGGGGAATTATTGTCATCACCCCATTTTAACAGATGAGAAAAATAAGGCACACAGCTAATGAGTAGGAAAAAAAGGTGATTTGATCCCAGGTCTGAATCTCAAGCCCATGCTTTTAACCACTATGTGTCATGAAAATAAAATAACAGGAAGCCGGACCAAAGCTGAGTAAGATCCTTGGGAAATGTAAATGGAAGATAGACCACAGGTAGTTGGGATTTGTGGGATGTCTTTTGTTCCAGGACTCCAGTGGAAAGATATATATTATAGGTATCTCAGTTTGGAATAGTTAACATATTTTCCCATATAATAGTTAAATGTGATGGGAAGATACATGTATTCAGTAAACACGAAAGTGCCTACTATAAGCCATAGGTCTCCTGGTAACTTCTAGATTTGATGGTGCACTGAATTAAATGGGCATGCACAGGTGAATCTTATAATGGAACCTAACACCACATTTAGCATTTTCTTTGTTAGAAAATGTATGACGAGTTTCAGTCAACCTACAATTAAATATTAAAAATACAACTTGCTCATAGTTGGTTGCTACTTGCCTTGGTCTTAATGAAGAAATTATTAGTAAAGAACATATAGCTATTACTATAGGACTTTTCATGAGTGATACCAAACAAGATCTGTCAGGAGTTCCATATTTTCAGTTGTGCTTTATTAAAAGCAGTGGGAAAGAAAGTGGATATTATATGTGTGTTTAACAAGTTGTTAGTACACTTCTGATATTAATATTCAGTTGAGGAAATTAAGCCGACTCACTAAATATTGCTGATAAATTGCAGGAAACATTGGTAGAGACATTAATTATCAGACTTTAAAGTTCTGGAAGAGAATTCTGCTGTGGTGCAGCACTTTGATGGGACTGCCTTTTTTCAGTGGCAGGGGAGGAGTGAGAAACATATACCTTGGCTAGAATTTTAGAGCAGTGTTTTCTTTGGCAAACTCTGTTTTATTTGTGGAGATGTCTGTTTGGGAGGAGGGTCATGGGGACATACATGACCCACATCAGAGAAGATCTTAAAATGGTTTATTAAACTCCTAATTGTCTAGAAATTCAAGTCAGACTGCTTGAAATGGGGACAGAGAAGTCACACTTGTTATTCAGATACAGGGCTTCTGCACACCTCCTGGCTGGAGGATGTCTTCTCTGGGGTCTTCATTTCTTTATGCTCTGTCCCTCTTTGCAGAGTCCTCGAATGCCACCTTGCTGACCAATGCAGAGAAGATTGCCACCATCACCACCACACACACCCCTTCTCAGCAAGGGACCCAGGAGACAAGGTCAGACATGACTGGTTTCCTTTGTTAAAGGGGAAAAAAGTAACTCCCAGCATGACAATATATGTCCTTGATTCTTTCTCAGTTTGCTAATGGGTTGCTCTTATATTTATTTCTTTCACTTTGGCAGGAATACCACCAAACCAAAGCAGGAATCTCAATTTGAGTTCAAAGCACCCCAAGCAACACAGGTGAGCACCATGTCTCTTTTTTCTCTATACTTTGCACGTTTCCTTCCAACTTTCTCAAGCTACTTTTATGGGATATTTTTTGAAGCACCTTTAATTTAAAAGAAATAACCTTTTGTGAGGTGATTTACCAAACGTATACTTACATTTGATTGTCTAGGAAATAACATGTTATTTTACTACCTTAAAATATTCCTAGATAGCCTTTTCTAGGGGAAAAAAAATGAAAAGCAGTAATTGTCACAAGGATCGGCAGTTAGAGAAAGCAAAGCAACCAATATCTACTCATAGTATTCATAAACATGCTTCTGCCAAGAAAATGTCTTTGTGATAAGGTGTTTTTCAGGCTTGAGAATTTAAGGTGAGATCCATAGAGCAAAATGCCTGTCCTCAGGATGGCGAGGGAGAGTGTGAAAATACTAGCAGGTGAAACAAATTTGAGGAACTTTGGGTGATGCAAAATTAAACAGATTCCTTTTTTTTTTTTTTTTTTTTTTTTTTTAAGAGACAGGGGTCTCACTGTGCTGCCCAGACTGGACTGAAACTCCTGGGCTCAAGCAATCATCCTGTCTCAGCCTCCTGAGTAGCTGGTATTACAAGTCCCCAGCTGGGTTCTTTCTTTACTGGTTGCCTGGGGGCTTTCAGTTATCCCTTCATAATTTTCCTTGATCAGGATTTGGAGAGGTTTTGTTGGTATCCTCATGATGGGCACAGCCAGCATTTATTGGACACAGGTCAGGGAGGCTGGGCATCCAGCAGCCAGGTGGCTGGTATCATGTAATGAGGAATTGTCCTTCCCCAAATGCAAATCACAGCCTCACTGATTAAATTTTAATCCACATGTTATAATAAATACACAGATGCATATAGACATGCTCATAACTGTTTTCAAATTCTGGATCTGTGACTTCTGAGATTAATGAGGATGAATCAAGATTATTAATAAACAAGAGTCACCAAGAGGGGGATAGAGATTGTGCCTTTTTGCCAAGAATGTTTAGGAAGAGTCCTATGGATATTAGTTCTCCTAGAATGATTGCATTTAATTTCTTTAAATAGGAGCAAGATTTTTACACTGTGGAACTGGAAAGAGGAGCCAAGGGATTTGGCTTTAGCCTTCGAGGAGGCCGAGAGTATAACATGGACCTCTATGTTCTGCGCTTAGCAGAGGACGGTCCTGCGGAGAGGTGTGGAAAGATGAGGGTAAGTGGAGAGAGGAGTCTGGGGTAGGTGCAAAGAAACCATCTGCAGTGAATTCTTGTCATATATGGTTAGAATGTTCATGTTCATAAGAACTACATTTTCTATAGCTTTCATGATTCTCTTAAGTGCATGACTCCTACCCTACCAAATATTTCTGCCTAAAGCACAATTAATTATAGCTGCTAAAGTTAGGTGAACACTTCCAACTCTTTGGGGTTGATATAGGGAATAAAGGATTTAAATTACTTTCAAATATATTAAAGTAGATATTTTTCAGAGCCCATTTCTATAGTTTTTGTGCTTAATGTCATGGGGCAGGCACATCACTTGACAGGAATTCTGGGGTACCCTGGGATGCTTAGAAAGCAGGAAAGCCATATGGCCCTGTAGATTCTGGGCAGTGAGGTCTACTTATCCTCTAGCTGGTTACCAGTGGTCTTACCTTAGGCTCAGAGACAGCAAGTCTACTCTCTGCCTTAGCAAAGAGCCAGGGCTCTGTGGCATGAATATTCAGAGTTGCTCTGTAGTAAGAGCTACAGATTTTTAATACATAAATGCCAAAAGTCCACTCTGCTCTGTTTCGCTAATATCTGTTACTGTAGATGAATGTGCTGTTCTCCTGGGCAGATTAGATGATTAAGAAAACATAAATCATCTACCCATAGATAGGTCACATAGATTGGGAATTGCCCATGGAGAGCCATTTACAACAAATTAAAAGAAATCAAGACAGTCAGGCCAGGAAAGGAAAAAAGTGAATGCAGTTGGGCCTGAGCAGAAAAAGGGAAAAACTGATTAAGGGTGAGGATCGTAACACTTGCACTTAAGCCACAATCTTGATGTTTAAGTTTGTTCAGCATGAATTTTTTAACATTTAAAATTGAGAAGGTAGAGCATTGAATGTGTTTTAAGAAAATTAAACAGTGAAAAATGTAGTAAAAATACAGTGTCCAGGGCCAAACAGTATACCAGTTTCTCTCATATTCTTTTCTTTTGCATGTATATATTCAAGGGGAGATACATGGTGGTACATATTTTTTTTGTTTGAAATTTCAGATATAAGGAATTTATTTTCCCTTGCCTTTTAATCACTTTAAAAAGTTAATTACTTTAAATTACTTTACTTTAAATTACTTTAAAAATTTAATCTCTTTAAAAAGTTAATCAAATGAAATATTATTATGCTACTTTGTATAATGGTGTATAGTTTACATGACAGGTTTACATGTATTACCTGATTTGATGCCAGCAGCTTGGTAGGTGTGAGTGGTATTATCAGCCTCTTCTATAAGTAAGAAAGTAGACTCCAGGAAGTTAAAGTACTGGGAGCAAATCAGTTACCAAATGATAGGATTCAAATTAAAGACTGTAGACTTGAAAGCCAGTGCCATTCCTCCTCTTTTTAGAATATAAGCTCTATTTGAGTGGGGATCTGCCTCGTCTTATTTATTCTTTTATTTCCAGTGTCTAAAATAGTGGCTGACACAAAGTGAATGCTGCATTCAATACATCAGTCAGGATTATGGTCTCATCTGAAGTCTCACCTGGGGAAGGGTTTGCTTTTTAAGCTCACTCACGTGGTTGTTACCAGGATTCAGTGCCTTATAGGGCAGTCCCTCATTTCATTATCATGGGACTCCAGAGGATAGCTCATAACATGCATCAGGGCAAACAAGTGAGAGAAGAAAAGAGGGCAAGTAAGACAGATGACAAAATCGTTTTATGACCTGATCTTTGAACTGATATCATGTTTGCCATATTCTGTTTATTAGAAGCAAGTCACTTGACGTAGCTCACATTCAAAGGCAGGGGGAGATTACACAGGTTGTGAATGCAAGGAGGCAGAAATCATGGGAGCCTTCTTAAAAGCTGCCTACCCCAACCATTAACATGCCCTTACTGCTTTTTTTCCCCCCTTTCTCATGTGATTTGGCATATATGTAGTTTTCTAATTTTCTTAATTGTCTTTCCCTCTTTAGAATATAATCTCCATGAGGGCAGGGATTTCTGTTTGTTTTTGTCACTGCCACCTCCAAAGCAATAGATGTTCTGCCACGTGCTTAATAAACATTTGGTGAATCCGTACATGAATTTCAAATCTCACTTAGTTTTCTTTTGCTTTGGCAGATTGGTGATGAAATTTTAGAGATCAATGGTGAGACCACCAAAAACATGAAGCATTCTCGAGCTATAGAACTGATTAAGAATGGTGGCCGCAGAGTTCGTCTGTTTCTGAAGCGGGGAGACGGCTCAGTACCAGAATATGGTGGGTCAAACTATGAAAACATTCCTTCCTTCCCTGGCATGACTCCATGAATTTGTCTCCAGAACGGCAGCAGGAAAGTCTTTTTTGTTTCCCCTATTCACCAGTGTCTTACCAGCCTCTCGCACCATGTGATTATTTGCCTCGCTTGTTCTGAAATCTCTACACATTTCATCCTTTTGCTTGCTTACGTGGACTGGGGCATGGCCTAAGACAAGATCTTTATAGCCCCCTTTCTGATAATCAGAGAGAACGTTTTGTCTAGTCCGACCAAGAGCGAAGGAATGTTTGTTTGTACTGTGCCAAACTGTTCCTCAGATCCAATTGTTAGCACAAAATGACTATATACTCCTTTTAAGAAGCAGGAAAGCAGGTTTCCTGAGTGATATGTTGAGGCACAATTATTTTTTCCTTTTTGGTTACTTGGTGTCTTTATTTAAGAGGCATGAAATTTTGAGAGATTTGGGGGCTTTGCTAACCTCCCTTATGCTCTGTATACAACACTTCTCCATCCCCCAACTGGTGTCTTACCCCAAATCAGACCATCTGAGCCCACTACTATCAAACAAACAAACAAAAACTGTTAATATATTAGCCATAATGTTTTTAAATGATAAAGGATGAAATAAATTCCCAGTGCTCATCATGAGGGAAACATGTGACTATACCTTTCCTATGAGGAAAGCCAGGTTATACATAGAGTTCCTTTGTCATATCTTTAGACTTGATTTGAGTAGACAGCAATGATCTTTACATAGCTTAGTGTTCTGATGGCAAAATATTGTATATGATAATAATTATGTCCTATTTATTTGAGATTTGTGTTTAAAATTAAAAAAAAAAAAAAAAAGAAGAAGCTATGCCCTAGATGTAGGGCTTTTTTTCCCAACCAAAGGTCTACCAAAGTTTCTATAGAAACTGTGATTGAATGGTCCCCAGATACGTTGGTCCCCTTTATTAGGGATTTATCTATTATCACCCTCTTTTCTGAAAGTCATTCTGCACAATTCTCAGTTGCATTTTGGACTTGATGAGATGTTTAATTCAGATGCAGCTCAAGGAGAAGGATAGCTCCTTGGAGGGCCAGCCTTCCCAGGTGTTCGACATTTGTACAGGTGCAAAATACGAGGGGTCCGAGGTACAGGGGGAGGGTGGGTATTAGACAAGGCCCCTATAGACATGGCCAACCACAGGGGAAGTATTTTGACAACATTAAGATGCCGTGGCTGTGCACTGTACTGAACTTCTGACCATTAGGTGTATTGATACCACTGAAACTGTGTAACATTGTCTCCCTTTTCTGTCTTCCCTATGCTTCTGTTGGATGTGATATTTCATTTGAGAGTCATCGTCAGTAACCTGTGTACCTTCTCAAAACCTATGTCTGTTGCACTGAGGATGAAAATCCAACACTAACAAATGTTCTTTGGGCTAAAAATAAAGATCATTTAAATACATGGTTTTCCAAGAAGGGTTGAACCTGCCACAGGGTTGTGCTACTGTAATGTCTCCATGCGTCACTTGGACTAAATCTCTCTAATTCCATTGATTAGAGTCACAAATGGGTTATAATATGTTAAGTTCCAATATTTTTCTGACTTGATTGGAACCTGCTTCTCTGTGAGGCTATTTTTGTAATGAGTTTTTTGTACTTAATTTAACTGCCGCGGTCTTTGGTGGGGGTGGGAAGGGATTTTGTTCTTTTGTTGTTTATTGTTAATGCTCTCCTATGCCAGCCTGTCATTGTTCCAGTTGTTTGAAAAAACAAAACAAAACAAAACAAAAAAGGATGCATTCGTTGTCTGGGTTCTCGAGTCACCTTATGGCTGTCTAAAAATGTCACTGTTCCGATTGCGGTCTCTGCAGCCTTATTTGAGTGTTGCCTTAGACTGTCTGACTGGACAAATAAACTCTCTTTGCCCTATGTTAACAAATGTAGATTTTTTTTCTTTCCTCTGTGTTATAGGGAATCTAAATGTTCAACTTTTTCTCTTTCTCTCTTTCTCCTTCTCTCTGACTGTTCTTGGTGCTGGGCCCTCCCTTCCACAGCGATGATACCTCCTAATATCGCTGCATGTATGAGAAATGAAAAGCTCGGGGAGGCTTGCTTCTACCTTATGGGCCATAATCAAACTACGGTTTGTAGCTCAATCAATACTAGGTGTTTCTGTGCTGTGGCCTAATTTCCTCATTGCTTCTGCTTAGCTCTGTTTTGATATGTTTGGCAATTCATTCTGAGCACCCTGCGTTCTTTGAATTGTAAGTACAACGCTGACCCTGTTGAAGTGTTGCCTTCCCTTGTCTTAAAAGTAGGCATAAGAAGCCACTGGTGATCCAAGTGCCTTCCTGTATCCACATCTTCACATGACCTTTGTTAAGAACCTGTTTTTTGTTCATTCTCGTAGCCAACCCAGTATTTAGAAAGAATGAACCTTGTTTCATGGAGCCCTGTATCGTAGGGCTTTGCTAGATGGGAAGACGAGATTTCCTGCTTGGTCAGGTATCTCTTTGCAAACTGCAGTCCATGGGCCCAATCCTGTCCATAGCCTGTTTTTGTAAGTAAAGTTTTATTGACACATAGGCACGCCCATTACTTTTGTGTTGCCTGTGTTTTTATACCACAGTGGCAGAGCTGAATAGCTGTAACAGAGATGGTGTGGCCCAAAACACCCAGATTATTTACTATTGCCCTTTAGAGAAAGTTGGCTGACCCCTGCTTTTGGCTTTTCACTTGCTTTTTGTTAAAAACCCACTCTAGGTTTTGGGAAGTTGTCATGAAACAGGTTAATTGCTAAATATTGACCTTGTTGGCTCATGAAAGATCCTTAAAGAGCCCCAGTGACCCCTTAGTCTCTGACTGTCATACAAGTCTGCCCTCCAGACTGCAGTGCCTTGTTTCAGGTGCTTTGCTTGGAATGGTGTCATGTGGATGACTTGTTGGGTTTAGTTGCAACAAAGCATCCTAGCTTTGAAAAGAGCTCTCCTCAATTCAGGACACTGCCTAAAACATTTGCACTGTCATTTCAAATATTGAATAATGATAAATAGGGGCCATTATGGGCTGCCCTGCTTTTAAACCTGTAGAAACCTTGATGTTATAGGAAGCAGCCCAGTGACTCCAAGCTCTTAGATGTCATTATGACTGCCTCCCATGTCATAAAGAAAAAATGCCTCTAAACCAAAAATTTTATTTGACCCCCATCCAATCTCAAATGTGTACTTAGCAGCTTCTCTTCCCCTACCTTTTATCTATCAGAAAACACCTTTTAAAAACAGTTCCTTATTTTTTAATGTGTGCAAAAGTAGAGAACGTAGTTGAATAATACAGATAGGACAGTTTAATGGGCCCTTGCGTACATATCCCATTTGCCAGTCGTCAACATCTGGCCAGCATGTTGCCTCTGTAATCCCCTTTGCCTGCTACCCTGGATTTTTTTTAAATAGAAGTATACTTCTGCATATGGTAAAATGCATAAATCCTGAATATACAGTGCAGTAGATTTTTCACTTCTGTATGCGCCCATTTAATCACCACCCAGATAAGATGTAGATGATTCCTGCCCTGCTCCAGAAAGCTTCCCAGGTGCCCCTTCTTCACATCAATACCCTAAATTATTTTTAAGTAAATCAAAACAAGTATTCTTTAAAGCAAAGAATATTTTCTTGGGTGTGGGAGACGGGTGGGCACAGGGGAAAAGGGTTGGGGGGGTGGGAAAGGAAGAACAAGGGATAGCTACAGAGAGGAAATTTTGATGCCTCTAGACAGACTATTTGGATTGTGCCTTTAAAGACTCAAATCATGACTGATTTTTGTCAGTTCTTTAATGATCTATGTCTCGGGTATGGAGAACATTCAGTCAGCCAGACGCTGAAAGCCACAAGTACTAGTTTTTAACCCTAACTACGTGCAGTTATCCTTAAGTTAACAGATTCAGTTGGCTTTGAGTCTGACTGCTTTAACAGTTGTTTGCTTGTTGTGACTAATGAGGTCTCGAGTGTGGGTGGGAACGGGGACAGGAGCCGAGGGACCTTCGTACCCAACTGTTGCTCTCGTTTATTTTCCTGGCAGACCCCAGCAGCGACCGCCACGGCCCCGCCACCGGTCCACAAGGTGTTCCGGAAGTGAGGGCCGGGCCCGACCGCCGGCAGCATCCGTCATTGGAGTCCAGTTACCCACCCGATCTTCACAAATCATCACCACATGGGGAAAAGCGGGCACACGCAAGGGATCCGAAAGGCAGCAGAGAGTATAGCAGACAACCCAATGAACACCACACCTGGAATGGGACTTCGAGGAAACCCGACAGCGGGGCATGCCGACCCAAGGACCGGGCGCCGGAGGGACGGAGGGACGCGCAGGCCGAGCGCGCGGCAGCCGCCAACGGCCCCAAGAGGCGGTCCCCAGAGAAGCGGAGGGAGGGCACCCGCAGCGCCGACAACACTTTGGAGAGGAGGGAGAAGCACGAGAAGAGACGAGACGTCTCTCCGGAGCGGAGGCGAGAGCGGTCACCCACCCGCAGGAGAGACGGCTCCCCCAGCCGGCGGAGACGGTCTCTGGAGAGACTCCTGGAGCAGAGGAGGTCCCCCGAGCGCAGGAGAGGGGGCTCGCCCGAGCGCAGGGCCAAGTCCACCGACCGGAGGCGCGCACGCTCCCCCGAGCGCAGGAGAGAGCGGTCCCTGGACAAAAGGAACAGAGAGGACAGAGCCAGCCACCGAGAAAGGGAAGAGGCGAATCTGAAACAGGATGCCGGCAGAAGTTCCAGACATCCCCCGGAGCAGAGAAGGCGACCTTACAAAGAATGTAGCACCGACCTCAGTATCTGAGACGCTGAGTCACATTCCAACCTTTACCGTGTCAAAGGTTCTAAGAGGAAAGTCACAAACCTGAAATTATTTAGTTTCTTACCTAATGAAGCATCTGACACCTGATGATCCTATGAATAACAACAAACATTTTATGCATTTGAAATCTTATAAGAAAAAATATATATGAAAAGTATTGTGCCTGATGTATCATATTAAAGAAAGTATTTTTAAATGCATACTTTTTTGGAAATTATTTGCCAAATGCTGGCCCAAAGGGATATAAATTTTGTTTCTACGTAACCTGTAGAATCGTCAAGAATTGTTCCCGTTTTGGGGCAATCTTTTTCTCTCCTGGTTAAATGGGGCTGTTGATCATTTTCTCTACGTAAGGGAATTTATTGATTAAGTTTAATTAATTTGATATAGACTGTCATGTAGTGATGTAGTGCTATACTGTAGTCGGAAGTTTTTCTTAAAAGCAAAGAGCAAAAATGCAAAGTTTTATTTGTAAAAGCTGAGGACCCTTGGGGATGGATTAGGTTTGCCGATGATCCTAAAAGTAAGCAAACTGTATGACAAGACTACTATTGCAAATGAAGGATATTTATAGCTAAACTGCGCAGCACAAAGAAGTTTTATATTGTGAGTTATAGTTGGTTCAGAAAACAGTTTGTACTCTCCCTGGCCCAGGAAGGCACACAGACAAAAATGTCGGCCACTTTTACTCAAATACAGCCCAAGCACAGACAGTCAGGTTCGTGATCATCACCAACATCTGATAAAATCTCATTGAAGGCAATGCCATCACAGCTTTGCTCAATTACTACGAGGAAGAGACAACAAGCATCTTTCGTGTTGTCTCGTCTGATTGGAGGCTGAATAGTAGATGGAATGGGGGGACAGTGTGCCTGGTGTGAGGAAGACGTAAGATCCCCAATTTGGAAAGCATGCCCCCCTCCCTTTTAGTAGAAGCCCATGGTTGCCCTTTGCCAAACTGGGGAGGAGGCAATGAGCCTTGGTGGAAGGAACCTCTCTGTTGATATTTAAAGAAGTGAGGGCTGTGGGTATTCATTGTTAGAAATGCCAATTTCACTTTGAAACCATAGTCCAAGTCTCTAGGTTGGTAGAAGGGAAAGGAAGGAAGTGGTCCCAGTGATTCTAGGTCTGGTTGGGAAACTTCTGCCTCATGACTCTGTCCTTTGAGTCCTTTGGACAGCAGCACAAAACATAACAATTTTTATTTTTAAACAGACCCATTCTTTTTGATCCCACAGGAGCTGTGGTTGGGTCGGCCGTAGCCCCGGGATGTGGTTTAAGTGGATTACTGCCTAGCTGAGCCAAAATGTTTGCTTGTACCTGTTGGACCACTACAGCAAACCGCTGCTTACAGTGCATTGTGTATTTCTGTAGTACTGTTTTGCATTTTCCATAGAGACAGAAAACTTTGCAAGTCAATCACTGTTGTTCCCATGGTACTGTAAGAAAAAAAAAAAGGAAAAAGAAAAAAAAAAAGAAAACCAGCCAATCATTGCGTGTACAGAGCTAAAAATTGTAATTAATAGAGCCTGTTGGGAAAAAAAAGAAAACAACTGTTGCCTTTTTTTCTTGTATAAAAGAGAATTTATGACAAAATTTAGCTGTGAGGAATGTGATACGTGTTTATATTTCTGAATATGGAACAAATTGATTCATGGGGATATATTTTAATGTAAACTAAATCAGGTATGTAAAGTTGTTTTAAAATGGGAGACTATATAAGTAATTCTCTAAAGCTTTAGTTGGTTTGAATATCATCATTTCCTCCATGGTGAGCCTGCTTGTGAATTATTAAGCACTTGTTTGCATTCTCTGTTCTTCACTCATTTATTTCTTGCAGTGTGCTATGGACTTAATGCTCTTTCTGTATTGATGAAAAGCAGTATGTGGGCCAATCTTTTTATAAAACACTATGCATATATAAATATTACATTGTTCATAGCTTTATTTGACTTATGGGTTTATACATAACATTAGAATGAGTAGCTGTAGTTGTGTGGACATTTATAAAACAAGTTCCTTTCCTGGAACAGACACAATATACATTCTGTAGCTAAAAAGGAGGGAAAAGTCTGTGAATGCTATTTTTATTATTAAAGTTTTCCATACAAAGCATACATTGAGCTGTAGTAAGGCTGAGGAAGAGTACAACTGAATAATGATGTTCTTTTTCATCAAGTTCCTAAGAGCTGACTTGGAGATTTTATTCCCAGGGCTCCACTGCTAGGATTCTTCTCACTAGTTCTAACAAAATCTGTGATGTTAAATGACTGATGCTCTCAATTGTGATCCAGAGTTTTAAATAAATGAAATCAAGGTGGATTTTGGGAATATATCCTGAAGTTAACATCTTGATGTCCTTCTTGTTGTAAGATGATATTTGGCAATTTAAAATCTATGTGCTACCCACCTGGGCTTGTCTCAATCCGTGGACTTTTTGGTGTGGCAGTTTCACCTGAATTCCACACATCAGATTTGTTTGGAAATATTGTACTGTACAGGGACTATGCATTATGCAGAAAGATATAGTTTTCTTTGAACTGCTGTAACCTTAAATTGGAAACTGATTCTTGTGAGCCTACTTTCCTTAATCCCGCCGCCCCCCTCCCCCACTTAATGTAAATGTCTTGATGAGAGATAATGGATGAGTATTTTGTATGATGAAATCAAACGATTTAGGAATTTGTCTCCCTCCGTTACACAGTTGATGCCTGAAAGAATGTTGGGGGGGAGGACTCAACACCCTAATTGTATTTTTTAAGTTTCTTTTGTGAAAGATTTTTTAATGCATTTTTACTGTAAAAATACATGGAAATGTATGCATTCCACAACCACTATTGCTTCTGGATTGATATCTTCCTTGTCTCTATGTTGTCTCAAATGTATCAGGGTCAAGTAATCAATTGAGGGCCCCTGACTCCAACTTGATGAAATGCCGTTGTGTTGAAAGAGCAGGATCTATGCCATTGCAATAGCATAGTGCCTTGCTACTCAAAGTGTGGTCTGTGGACCAGCTGCCTCATCATCACTGAGGAGCTTGTTAGAAATGCAGATTCTCAGCCCTACTCCAGACCTACTGAGTCAGAATGTACAGTTAATAAGATCCTCAGCTATGCCTTATGCACATGAAAGTTTAAACAGCACAGCACAGTATAGCACAGAACCCTGATAATAAAACAAATCCTGCCAAGCTAAGAGCTTCATCACTTCTGGTGTGATTCTTGGGCACATTCCTTAACCTCCTCTGAAGCCTCCATTTCCTCATCTGTAAAAGGACATACTTCACAGAGCTAAGAATAGATACACATCTTTGGCAATCAGAAGAGTCCTCAGTAAATGACACGAACTTTTTTTTTTTTTTTAATTGAGGAAGATTTCTGCGTGGCAATGAGTACTCTACTCTTTTTGTTGTCCTGGTTTATTTTCCAATCAAAATAAATGAAAAAAACTTTTTTTTTTTTTTTTTTTTTTTTTGAGACAGGGTCTCACTCTGACGCCCAGGCTGGAGTGCAGTGGCATGATCGCAGCTCACTGCAGCCTCAACCTCCCAGGTTCAAGTGATCCTCCCTGCTCAACCTCCCGAGTAACTGGGACTGGAGGGGCATGCCACCATGCCCAAATAATTTTTGGTATTTTTATAGAAATGGGGTTTTGCCCTTTTGCCCAGGCCGGTCACAAATGCCTGGGCTCAAGCAATCTGCCCAACTCAGCCTCCCAAAGTGCTGGGATTACAGGCATGAGCCACCGTGCCTGTAAGAAAAAATTATTTTCTCACTCTATTAAAATGGGGAAGAAGGCCTTTTAATTATGAATAGTATAGTACATACTATTCAACAAAATACTACACTTAACCATTGCTGAGGAATATGAAACCAAAATGCTGTGCTGTGAAAACTGAGACAAAGTCATCTCTAAGTCTAACTTCAGGAGGTAGATGTGTGTGGAATTAGATATACTCCCAAGTCACACTAGATACGAAAGTTAACCATTCTCAAGTGACCTAACGTTCGTGGGGGTGGATCAGGTAGTGTTGAATAACTTTCCAGTTTCCTTCACACAGTTTTTGGTTGTTCCTTTTTATGACTTAGTGTTTGGGGTTTTCCTCCAGAACCTAATCTCCTGGGCGTTCAAAAGGCATTTTGTTGAATAGTAGGCCTTCCTCCAACCCATCTCCTTTGCTGTATTTTGCTTTGTCACCAGGATGGTAATTATGAACTCTGCTCACTTCCCTAGTATCTCCTTTATAAAAGATGGCATCTCAAAGTGGTCCCTGGCTTAACCAACAGTTGAAGCTGTTTGTAAAGCCCTTATGTCATGCAAGTTCTTTGCCTGCCATAAACAGCCACACCAAATGTGCAGAGACTCAATTATGCCGTCAGGATTTTTCCAGCTGGGGGCAATCCGAGACCACCTTTGGTGGCCTGCATTAATCATAAAAGGAAAAGCCCTTTCAAGTTCCTCCAAGCGATTTCTCCTTTGAGGCAACACCATCAGCATCGTGGATGTTTAGCACAGTGAGATCCAAGTGCTTTGGCAATACAAATCATTAGAAGCTTATGTGAAGGGAAATGCCCTCTCCAACACAATGATTTAGGGTATTTTTTGCAGGAGTGGATCTTCTGTGAAAATTGTTTGACTACTCCCTCCCACCCCTAAGTGATGTCTTTATGCATTGTGGTCATTGTCAGAGGCAAGAGGAGTGTGGCTTTACTTCATTAGTGTAGTTATTAGGTGTCCAATGGATCCAAAGCACAAGATCTCTTTGCAAGTACATGGATTTAAGCAAAGTAGTGATAACTGTTGAATTATACAGTAAATACTCAAGTATTGCATGCGACTGCTACCCTTGACTGCATCACCTTTCCACCTAACTGAAAAGTCTTTATTGTCATGTCTCTGGAGGGAATAAAGGCATGGTCTTCACAGCTGAGAGCTCTAAACACCACTCCATTAAGTGCTGTACTTTATATTTATCCCTCAGAGAATAAATTCTCTTTGGTCTCATAAGATTGTGGAATTGAAGGGAAAATATCTCAGAAAGGCTGTTCATTCCTGCATGTGTAATAGGCAAGGCTTGCTACTCTATTTCTCATTTCCTCAACACATTTATTGAAGATCAGCTCTGTGCCAGGTACATGGTGGGGGCTAGAAATGCCTGGTTCCTGGTCTCAAGTGCTCGTAGTTGGTGGGGAGAAGACAAATGCTTGCAAACTGCATACCAAGCAGAAGCACGGGGTCCTCTGATAGCAACTAATAGGAAATTTAGCCAGATTGAAGAAGGTTATAATTCAAGTGAGGCCAGAAGGAAGAGGAAGCTAATCAGTGAAAGAAGGAACAAAGTGCAGGCTGAGCAAAGGCCCAAGTGCAAGGGAGTGTGGTCTAGAAGGGAAGGGTTGCATTGTGAAGGGAATAAGGGTTGTGCCAGGCTGGACTTGTTCCAGATTGTAGACTTCAGAATAACAGAAGACCACTGAAGAGTTTTAACAGGGCCTCCGGCGAGCTGTGTGTGTGTTCGGGGAGGGAGAGGTGACCAGCTCAGGTTTAAGTTTGAGAAAGATGGCCTCACAGCACCATGGGAGAGCGGACTTGGAGAGAGGTGGAAAGAATCCAGTTAGCCACCGGGGCTGTCCAGGGCAGCAATTGTTACCACGAAAACCCCTCCTGTACCATGCAGTTCTCAAAGTTCAGAAGTCCCCAAGCCCATGTTTACCTTCCTCTTACTAAAAGAGTTCATTTTATTTCCAACCTAAATCCTTCAGCTTCTCTTCCCTATACCTTAATTAATACGTGCAGAACACTTTGTACCCAATTTCTTCTGTTAGGTAAGGTCCATCATTTACTATTCTACTGGGTTTTCTACAGGTTTACAAATTCCCACCTTACTAGCCTTTTTTTTTTTTCCAGATCCTTGTTTCAAACCTAATCTTATTTTCATTTTTTTTAAGTTGACCACATCTTTCTCAAGTTACAGAAGCCTGTCTATGTATTATCCAGTCTTTGCTAGCCATTCCCCATGTTTGAGTGTGAAGAAAGAAACCACTCAATCCTATGATACCCCATTTTTAAAAGCAGTTTTTATTTACAAAACGAATTCATATTTACAATACGAATGCATATTTACAAATGCATATTTACAATAAAAGATTCAAGCATTTCAGGAAAGTATAAAAAGTGACATTCTTCCTTACACCTGTCAATCCCAATCCACAGAAATAACTGTTATTAGCAGCTTGATTCGTGACATTTCTAGTCTTTCTGTGTGTGTGTGTGTGTGTGTGTGTGTGTGTATAACTGTATGGGTATATGTGTACGTATATATAGTTTTTATGAAAAAATGGGCCATTAGCCCTTACTATGTTATGAACTGTTCCTTTACCTTACATATTGTGGGTATTTCTTCAAGTTAGGAGTATGTATGTATATATAGATATACACACACACATAAAAATAAAGCCTTTTATACGTCACTCATTCCCATTCTTTGTCCTTCTCTCTCCCCCACTCTTGGATTAGCTTCCTTACGGTTCTCTCTGCCTTTTCCCTGTGCCACCTACAGATTCCTCTCCCTGTAGCAGGCAGAGCTACTCTTTTAAAATGTCAAGTGAAAGGTCAAAGTCCTTAGAGTAGGCTCTGAGGTCCTCCGGGATGGGGTTGGCCCCTCTTTTCCACTCTGGCACACTCAGCCTTAGGGGCTTTGCTCTAGCTGGTCCCCTGCCTGGGACTGGTCTTTCCTCAGATATCCACGGCTGACTCCCTCCCTTTATTCAAATCCTCGCTCAATTGTCATTCTTCCAATGCATCCTACCCTGATCACCCTATTTAAAATTGCAAGTTGTGTCCCGTGTTCTACTCTTTTCCCCACTGCGGCACTCAACACCTTCTAACGTGGTGTGTAATCTATGTGCTTACTCATGGTCTATTTTTTTTTTTTTTTTGAGATGGAGTTTCACTCTTGTTGCCCAGGCTGGAGTGCAATGGCACGATCTCAGCTCACCGCAACCTCCGCCTCCCAGGTTCAAGGGATTCTTCTGCCTCAGCCTCCCGAGTAGCTGGGATTACAGGCATGCGCCACCATGCCAGGCTAATTTTGTATTTTTAGTAGAGTCGGGGTTTCTCCATGTTGGTCAGGCTGGTCTCAAACTCCCAACCTTAGGTGATCCGCCGGCCTCAGCCTCCCAAGGTGTCTATTGTTTATCACCTGTCTCCTTTATAATCAGGGCCAGCTTTGTGGAGATGCAAACTGTGCACTCACACAGGGCCTTGCACTTAGAAGGGCCCTTTGCTTGATTTAATGCTCTGCTCTCATGGTCTTGAATTTTCAGTAATTTTTGAATAAGGACCCCCACATTTTCAATTTGCACCAAGTCTTGCCAGTTACGTAGCTGGCCTCTTCTAGAATAAGTTTCTTCATTAAGTTTCATGAGGGCAAGAATCTTTGTCCTGAATCTGATGAATTCCAAGGTCCTGGAGTAGTGCCCAGGACATAGTTTGTATACTCAGTAAACAAAAGTATTGTGCTGTCTCTTCATAGCTGCATATTCTAAAGTTGACCACAATTTACTTAACCAATCCTCTATGGACACGCAATTGTTATTACAAAAACATGCTGCAGTGAAGAACTTTATACTTTAAAACCTGGTACCATTAAGTGGTTTGTTTAAATAGTTTTGAAGAGATAAATTGTGACTCCTAATCCTCCTTTTTTCTGGTGACACCGATGTTACTGAGAATTTGCATTCTTTTATTGGGAGCAGCTGTTTTTAGCAAAGTGCTTGCAGTCTGTGGGACCTTTTCCCATCAGATGAGAGTTACCAGGCTCAGCGGAGCCGCTGAACCAATGGTTCGTACCTTGGGTGCACATTGGAATCACCTGGGGAGCTTGAAAAGCGCTGATGCCTGGGCCCACTTCCAGAGATTCTGATGTGGTTGCTCTGGGTGTAGCCGGGGTTTATAAAAGGCCCCAGGTGATTTTAATAGAGAGCCATGCCCTTGTCCATCAGCTTTAACCCCATAGCCTGATGGGGATTGAATGTGTCTGCTTTGCTTTCTCTTTTCTTCATAAGGTGTCTATGCTTGCCTTTTTAAGGTTGCGATGATGCAGCAGCTCAAAGAAAAGATGGTGTGAGATTATTTTCCGAAAGTAAACTAAACAACCTTCCTACTTGCACAAAATTATTAGCCAAATATAAACATAATGGACATGTATATATCAATTGTGAATTCTGTTTTACATTCCTGTCACCACTGAATTTATTCACTAATAAGGACAGTTGTTCTCAAGAACAGGTCAGAAACACCATCATTTAATCAAGATTAAGCTATAGTATTTTTTCACTTAAATTCTTTTGAGAAATATTTTATGTTCTTATTTAAATAGAACATGTGGTATGTTAACAAGAGAATATTGAATAGTTGACAATCAGCAGTCATGAAGAGGGAAAATTATTTCTAGCAAGTTCTTGGTTTCCAAAGTATTTATGATGTCTCTGTCCCCATCTCTACCCACAAATAATTTTAGCAGGCAACTTTGGGGCTGAAAAATAATTGTGTTATGAGTGAATGAGTGGAGTGTGACATTCCTATGACCAAAATAACATACAAGCCTTAAAATTTAGGGGAAAAATACTCTTGGGAAAATGCTACTGACAAAAAGTGTCATTTACGTAGAAGCTCTAGTATTTATGTAAGCAACTCTAACACTGGTCCAGTCCAGTGACCCAGAAGGTACCATTGATATGACCAGCCCTAATTTGGGACCAAAGGAGAAATCAAGAGTACATTTGAGATAGTCACGAAATCTAGAACTAGACAGTATCTCTTTTATTGGCTGCAGAATGTGTCAAGACTAGTGAAAATGTCATCTATCTCTCCAACCCATCTATTTGACAGTCCTCCCTATAGCCACCCCCTCTAGGAGGAATTTTATGATTTAGATTTTCCACTTATCCCTGGGAAATTATACCTTAGCTGACCTTAACTCACTCCATTGTCTTCTAAAAATATAAATCAGGCCAAAGCAGTTTGTTAACAAATATGTACTGAGTATTATTTTCCAGGCTTGATGCTGGGCACTCAGCGTCAAACAAAAGCAATAAAACTTCAGCCTTCCTGAAGTTCAGAATCTGCCAGGAAAGACAGACATTGGATAATTGAGTTAAATTGTGGTAACAGCTATGGAGTGTATGTGGTGCCCTTGAGTGTCTGTAATTGGAGGACTTAATCTTGATAGAAGAAAAAAGGGAGGCAAGAAGGAAGAGCTCTTTCCAAGGAGGAAGCAAGACCTGAGCAAAGGCCTCATGGCCAAGGGTGTGTGTTTTATTCCAGGCATGGAGGGAAGGCCCATGAGACTAAAGATCTACCATAGCCATGGGGAGAAATAGAAGCAAGAAGTGAAATATGTCTGTGAGCCTTAGGGAGAAAAACTCACTGCCTATTCCCATAGAGGAAGAAAGGAGAGACAAAAAAAAAGCTATTTAGAGGGGACCAAATGACCCTCCCCATTGCTAAAATAAAAAGCAGTGAGAACAACCCACATTCAACATGTGGATCATCCTAAAACCTCTTAGAATTACCACAAACTATGTGAAAGGAAAATGATGTGCTCCTCTCCTTTTTAGAAAGAAGCAAAGATTTTATTTATTCTTCCTACCAGGGCCAACAATTGGGTTCCAGAGAACACATTTGGGCTGGGAGTACCTTTGTTTCCAGTTGCTTTCTTTTAACTGGTCTTATTGGAAACTTGTAACACGGGAACCATTTCCTGTAGCTAGATGTGCAAAATTGTTGTGCACTGTCACGGGCCCTGTGAAATCACCCCAGGAGTCTGGCTGATGATGTTTTCTCCCCTCAACTTATTTCAGTTTTATTTTTGAAATCTATTTCATGGGGGTTATTTTTGTTACTTTGGTGTATTTTGTCTGGATTGGTTTTTGTTTCACTCTTTATTTTTATTAAAAATGTATTCCCTCTCCCTTCCTGGATTCCATTAAAATGGATGAGAAATTCCACAGGCGCATGCCTGGATAATTAAAATGTCTCAATCCTTGTTCCTATTAATGAGCTTTATTTTGGATTTTGAGGAAACTGTTCTTTCTTCGTGCCCCTCCCCCACTATGTCATTGATGGTTACACTGAAACAGTGGGAAATGGTCTGGTCCATTTATAGAATTTAAACCAGAAAGAATGCCATATTCTCTATGATTTTATGCTACTTTCAGGAGGGGCCTGATGTGGGTGTCACCAAGAACATGATTCAGGCTTTGAGAAGACTAAGAAGAGCAGTTGAGACCAAAAAAACAAAAAAACCCAAAACAGAAAAACCCTTAATATTTTGTTTTACGATGCAAGTAATGCATACTACGTTAGTTTGGTTTTTTAAAAAAGTCCAAATAGTGTAAGATAAAAACTCTTAACCACTCCCTTCCTCAATTCCAGTCTCTTCCCAGAGCTAACCACTGTTGCCATATTGGAACGCTCCTTCCAGACATGTCAGGATATCTGCTAATGCACAAAAGCATATGTGTGTGTGTGTGTGTGTGTATGTTTTTTGTCTGTGGGGTTCTAAAATTACAAGTGCATAATAATGTACCTATTGTTCAGTGGTGTTATTTTCTCCCACTTAATTCATCTTTTGAATCTATGCCTTTTTTTTTTAACTGCTAAATTGTACAGTCATCCCTTGGTCTCCATGGGGGACTGGTTCCAGGACCCTCTGCAGATACTAAAATCTAAAGATGCTCAAGTCCCTGATACAAAATGGTGTAGTATTTGCATATAACCTACATCCTCCCATATACCTTAAATCATCTCTAAATTACTTATAATACCTAATACAATATAAGTGCTATGTAAATAGTTATACTGTATTATTTAGGGAATAATGGCAAGAAAAAGGTCTGCACATGTTCAGTAGACAATTTTTTTTCTCAAATATTTTTGATCCACGATTGGTCGAATCTGCAGATATGGAGGGTCACCTGTGTTCTATAGCATATTAGTCAGCTAGGGCTTCCATACCAGAATACCACAAACTGTGTGGCTTCAACAACAGAAATGGATTTTCTCAGAGTTCTGGAGGCTGCAGGTCCAAGATCAAGGTGTTGGCAGGGTTGGTTTCTGGTGAGGGCCCACTTGCTGAATTGCAGGTGGGCACCTTCTCACTATGTCCTTAGGTGGCCTTTTCCCTTTGTGCGTACCCCTGGGGTCTCTTCCTCTTCTTATAAAGACACCAGTCTTATCACATTGTGGCCCCACCCGTATGACCTCACTTAACCTTAACTGCCTCCTTTAAAGGCCCTATCTCCAAATACAGTCACATTGGGGATTAGAGTTGCAACATATGAATTTTGGGGGTAATTTAGTACATAGCAGATGTATGTATCTCCTATACTTTAATACTTTGTACTTTGTCTGCCATGGGATAAATTCCTTTACATTTTTTCTTAAAAAGCTTAATATAGTATGATTTTGCCTCCTTGGTCTAAAAGTGATTAAGATTTCCTTTACCTCTGAGGGTAGGGGGAGGCAAGAGAGGAAATGGAGATGGGAAGGGATGCGGGGGGAAGGGATTGATTATTTTTAAGGCTGATATCCAATTACTCATTCTCAATAGCCCGCAGGGTTTTCAGCTGCTTCTCTGCCTGCTAAGCTACAAAGTGGGAGAATTTGGCATTTGAGGATGCAAAGTTGGAGGAGGCAGGCAAGGCCAGAAATGTCCTGTGTGGGATGCAAGCCTTCCTTGAAAATTAGCATTGCCAGTGGGAAGCCTGGGAGGATTTAAAAAGTTCTGGGCCCCAGGCAGACACCTCCAGCTCTCTTTCCAGTCGCTATGCAGACTGAGTTGTCTGGGTGAGTAGCACCCAGTTACCAAAATTCAGCATTTACCATTTTGTGCATCTTTAAGGACCCTCTGTGCTGGCTCACCCACGTCCCCTCATGTCATGGGAAAATCTGAAATTCTTTGTTCATTTGGATCAGAGTAATGGCTCAGGGAAGACAAAAACATTTTTTTTTTAAATCTACAGGGGCTCTCTGGATATGTGCAATACTGGAGAGAAATACTCTGACCTCTTGTCTAAGGTAGTAGTTCTCAGGGGCAATTTTGCCTCCAGGGTACAGTTAGCAATATCTGCGGACATTTTCATTGTCACAACTTGGGGAAGAGGTTGGTGGGCTACTGGCATACAGTAGGTAGAGGCCAGGGATGTTGTTAAACACCCTACAATGCACAGGAAAGCCTCCCATAATGAGGAATGATCCAGCTCTGTATCAGTCTGTTCTCATGCTGCTATGAAGAAATACCTGAGACTGGGTAATTTATAAAGAAAAGTGGTTTAGTTGACTCACAGTTCCACATGGCTGGGGAGGCCTCAGGAAACTTATGATCACGTTGGAAGGCACCTCCTCACGGGGTGGCAGGAGAGAAAGAATGAGAGCCGAGCAGAGGAGGAAGCCCCTTATGAAATCATCAGATCTCACTAGAAAAGCATGGGAAAAACCATCCCCATGATTCAGTTATCTCCACGAGGTCCCACACTTGACACATGGGTATTATTACAATTCAAGGTGAGATCTGCCTGGGCTCACAGAGCCAAACCATATGAAGCCCCAGGTGTCAACAGTGCCCAGGTTGAGAAACTCTGCTCTAAGCCAAATGATAAAGATTTGCTGGGGCCTTGCAATTGGGAGAATAATTTCAAAGAACGTTGACATCTTAATTTTGCAGAACATGTAATTTTAGGTAAGTCTGCATCCCTCCGAAATTGCTGATTTGAATGCTTCTTTGAAACAGCGGGTATCTCAGTAAACGATTTCCTTTTCTATGTTTCCAATGGCTGCTGAGGCAGTCTTCAATTGCTTAGTCATAACATACAGGATTCTTGGAGAGCAGTTTGTGAAATCCAAAGCCATTCTATGTTTGGTTACATTTTCAGTTGGGTTACTTCTATCAAGTGGCCTTATTTAAATTTCAGCCACTAACTAAAGCTTCACCTTGAATGTAATAATAATGCACACCTCACAAGGTGTTATGACGATTAATTAGTTAACTTTTGTAAGGTGCTTTGAAGACAGGAAGTCCACTCTGAGTTCTATTATAATTCGGCAAATTAGGCAATTTTTAACCCGAGTAGTGGCTTTGATCCTGCCTGCCGTCTCACATACCTGAGCAGTTCGGCGGGAGGAAGGATATTGGAATAAGCAGTCATGGTCAGCAGTGGAAAAATGCAAACCTCATTTGTGATAGCTATTTTCAGGTTCTTTTAATGGTGAGATGAAGAGGAAAACACCCCAAGGGAAATTAATATCCCTTAGTAGTGAGGGAAGACTTCAAGTTGTTACCCCTGAAACCCCAACAGGTAAATTAGAGAAATGGTGTATTCTCTCACTCATAGTTATTCATTCATTCTGTCTCTTCCCCCTCTTTCCCTTCTTACTGCCCCTGCCCTTTTCAGAAAAGGAAAGCGTGATGACGAGACTCTGCTGAAACTCTATCAAGTAAACCACAGGTTACATCCAGGAAATCTTCATTTTCTGTGTGGCTTCTATCTTTTAACTCCTCTAGAGTTTGCCTCCTTCTTCCTTTATAACCATCATCATTGTTATCATCATCATCTGGTATTTGCACAGCCCTTTGCAGTTTGAAAAAAAACAAAAATTGAAGCCAAAAACACCTCCAATGTGCCAGGCACTGTCCTGGGACTCCATCTATTCCTCAGAACACCTATTAAGATAGGTACGATTACCTCCTGTTTACAGTTGTGATAACTGAGGTTCAGAGACTGCTATCAAGACCATGGTCACTGACCTGGGAGGTGATGATGGTGGGAGTGCTTGTTCTAAAGTCGGTGTTGTATTCTTTCCGGAACCTCAAGCTAAAAGAAATTTCACAGCACCTTGTTTTTCATCTGACTTTCGTCCTCTTGGTAGTCTAGTAGGGAAGGTGGCATCTTCTTTGCTTTTCAGATACGGAAAAAGAGGAGTAAAAGGGTTTGCTTATGAATACCAAGTTAGCTGGTGCATCGCCTCGCTCACCGCTCATACACGCCTCACCCCCTGCAATTTGGCTTCCACATCGCCCCCTGGTGGCCCTCAGCCACCAAGGCCACCTGTCCTAATAGACAAGTCTAGTGCTACCTTTCTTCTCTTCCCTTTCTGCAGCCCTGGACACAGGGGACCACTGCCTCCTGGATTCTCTCCCCTTGGCTTTGATGTTTCCTTCCTCCCCCTGTGATGCGTACCCTCCCTTTGTTTTCTCCTGGTCCCTCTGCCCGCTTTATGCACTGATGGCTCCCCAGGAATCCCTCTTGGGCATTCGTTTCCATTTTGGTGATTTCATCTATTTCCATTGCTTAGATCAGTGGTTCTAAACTTTGCTGCATATTAGAATCACATGGGGGAGCTTTCAAACTTCCAGACTGCACCATAGACTAATTAACGGAGAATCTCTGATCATCAGTAGTTTTGTTTTTTCCGCATATCTTTCCTGGTGATTCCAAAGTGCAATCAGGTGTGCAAACCAGAGGCTGAATAATCTACTATATGTGACTCTCAGGTGTGCACTTCTAGCCCAGACCTCTTCGTTCAATGCAAGACCTATATCTGCACCTGCTTACTCTGTCCCACAGACACTTTAAACTCAGCACATCCAAAGAGTATGGTTGTCAGATTTAGTGATTAAAAATACAGAAGGCTCTGTTACATTTGAATTTCAGATAAACAAATCATTTTTGAGGGTATGTCCCAAGTACTGCATGGTGCAGTCTGGAAGTTTAAAATCTTCCCCAGGTGATTCTAATCTGCAGCAAAGTTTAGGAACACTGATCTAATACATGGAAATAGGAGAAATACTTTTAGGGTAAGTATATCCTAATTATTTCATGGGGGCATACTTACCCTAAAAAATGATTTGTTGTTTATCTGAAACTCAAATGCAACTGGGCCTCCTGCATTGTATCTGGCAGCCCTCCCAAAGAGAAAATGACTTCTCTTGGAATTGCCTCTCTGCCTGTGCCCGGTAGCTCAGGGAAAAGCTTTACCATCCTCCCTATCAACCCAGTGGTGAACCTCAGAGCCTTCTTTAACCCATTTCTTTCTCACTTACCTCACATACAATCAATCACCTACTCTTTTGACCATCCCTCTGCATCAATGCCAATGTCATTGCTGTAAGTCTACCCTCCTCTCCCATCTCATTCTTTCGGGATTATGTTAACTTTGTACCTGGATCCCTTTGCCTCTACACTTTCCTCTAACAATCCAATTTTCATGATTGGCCAAAATAACCTTTTAAAACACATCTGATCATGGCACCCTTCCCCCATAAAAGCTTCTGATGGCCACTGATTGCTGAAAGACAGGGCAGCATGTGCCTCGCAGAATCAGACCCCAACTCACCCCAGATCCAGGCCTCCAGTCCTAGAGCATGGCCTGGCCCTTTCCTGCATCCTGGCTTCTAATTGGCCTGGACTACCTCACAAAATTCTGCTCATTCAAGGCCAGAGAGGACAAAATAAAAACCAACAAAACCAAATCCACCTTGGAGTCATCCTTTTCACTTTCTGATCTATTAGTAATTCCTGTGAACACTTCCTTCCTTATAACTCTTCCCAGCTGCCCACCAGCTCGCTCCTTTCTCCCCACTAATGCTCTTTCAAGACTTTGGCGTCTTGCGCCTGGACTCATGACAGAGCTTTCTGGTCGGTCTCACTGCTTCTACACTTGCCTCTTCCTCGTGTGGGCCTTTTTAAGCAGGTAAGATCTTGTCACCTATGTACCTATGTACGCCTTCCCTATTTTGTTACACCCACTCCCCTTGCTGGTATGGCCAGCAACTGTTTCAGAATACACCGACTGGACCTCCATCCCATGGCCAGGTTCTGAGCCTCACTGCCTGTGAGCTTTCTCTGGCTGGTGGAGCCAGCTCTCCTCATGCAGGCAAGCAGGCTGGCAGTGACCAGCAGCCCTCAACCCATGATCGACAGACCTTGGGTGGATAATCCACACTGTTCTCAGAGTTCCCCAGCAGGATTAAGCGCAGTTGCCCACAGGGATGATTTGCTTGTTAATACTGTTCATTGGCTCCTTCTATTCTTCCCATATTGGCATTTACTGGGTTCACCTCCCAAATAAGCAATTTGCCCTCGAATCTCTGACTCGGAGCCTTCTGCTTAGGGCCCCCAAACTAAGACACTGGTAAACTGTTAGTAATCTTCTCAGTGTGTTAGATCATCCTCATAAATGCCCCTGATGAGTGGGAGAACATACAAAATTGAAGGGCTGTGCGGAATCAAGAGAGTTTGAATACATGACTTGATGACATCACAGGGTTGACCTCTTTTCCTCCTTCTTATTGAAATCTCTTCCTAAAACTGGAGAGAATTCCTATCATAAGCTCTTTTGACGTATACTTATGTGACTCCCAACAACCCCTTAAGTGCCTGTTTCACCCACAAAGGAGGGGTCCTGGGAACCTTGTTTGTTGTCTCTGACCCTGGCTATAGATGATTGAACCAGAGTGGACTTTATTTGCTAAGCTGGGCAAATAAAGTCCGATCTCTCAGGGATATGGAGTTAGGACTTAAGACAGTTTAGCTCAATCCCAGCTGAGAAAAATAAAACCTAGGAACAATGAGACAGCCATTTTCCATCACATAGTTATCACTACATAGGCTAAAGCCAGTTTGCAGAGAGAGAAATAAAGGAGGCAGAGATGAGAGGAGGAAAGTACTCTCTTGGTCCCTGGCTGCTTTCCAGCCCCTTCCTAAAGCTCAGCCGCATCTTTGTCCATGGCTTCTGAGAGACAACCTGTATCCCTGTGATGTGTTTTTATTTTCTTCCTCCTTTAAGCACTTTAGCTAGCTCAAGTTGGTTTCTGTTACTTGCAGCCAAGGGGTTCTAATAAATAATGTTTCCATGGAGCTTTCTACAAAAGAAATGAGACAGCTTTGATGTGATTTCCTGCTGGAAGATTTTTGTCCAGACTACTGAGGTGGCCAACAATAAGCATCCAATGCCCAAGGGGGGCTGTCTGGAGGAAGGTGGGGAGCACAGTGCATTGTGTTTTTGTTTCCTGACAGGCTTTTGTTTTTTGTTTTTTCTTCCTTTAATTTGACCGTACAACTGGAGTATTTTGGTGCCATTTGGCTTCTTAAGATATCTCTGTTAAGACCCAACATTGCGACGTAGGCATATCCTATGGCAATCATCCTTAAAATTATAAAGCACTTCTCTTAAGCATGGTTAAATATGGGAAAATGAGCAATGCCATCTTTCAGCTATCCTAAAAATCTAATGTATTAGAACATAGGTTTTCAAAGAATCCGTCAATCAGTTAATTCTCCCACCCTCCCCCTGCTTAAGTGGTATTCCTATCCTGAAAGCATGCCAGTAATGAGCTGGTGTTGGAGTGGTCATGGTGGTAGATTGGCTCCACTGATGACCCCAGTTAAGGGCTTCTCTGTATTCAATTCTTTTTGTCCTGAACCTTTACAGTCCTGTTTCAGTACAATTCTGGGCTAACCTTGTGACTTACTGTAACCAAAAGAATGCAGTGGAAATGAGAGCATGACTGTTCTGGGTCTAAGTCTCAAAAGGTCTTATACACTTCACATGCTCTCTGACACAGTTGGTCTTGCTCACTCTTGGACTCCAGCCATGCCATGAGAATAATCCCTGGATAGTGTGCTGGGGCACAAGAGACCAGGTGGAGCAGGACCAAGTCATTCTAGTCAAGGCTATCTGAAACAAGCAAGCCCTACCCAACTTACCAATTGACTGCAGACAGCTGGGCAAGCCCAGTTAAGATTAGCAAACCAGGCCAGATTAATTCAGGTGATCCATAGACTTCGGATAAATGGTTGTTGTTTTGGGCTACAATGTTTCGGAGTGATTTATTATATAGCCCTATTGTAATAACAAGCATAACTGATATACCACCAAATACTTACTTACTCTATTGGAATTTCAAATGCCTAAATCCCTAACATGAAACTTGAAAAGAAAATATATTATAGTTCTACCTATAGGTATTACGATAGATTTTCAACAGATCTATTGGAAGCTGTATTTTTGTTTTGTTTTATTTATTTATTTATTTATTTTGAGATGTTGTCTCACTCTGTTACCCGGGCTGGAGTGCACTGGTACGATGTTGGCTCACTGCAACCTCTGCCTCATGGCTTCGAGCGATTCTCCTGCCTCAGCCTCCCAAGTAGCTGGGATTGCAGGCTAGCACTGCCACGCCTGGCTAATTTTTGTATTTTTAGTAGAGACGGGGTTTCACCATGTTGGCCAGCTTGGTCTCGAACTCCTGACTTCAGGTGGTCCACCCACCTCAGCCTCCCAGAGTGTTTGGATTACAGGCGTGAGCCATGGCGCCTGGCTGGAAGCTGTATTCTAAATGACTGACTTAATATGGGCTATACTGTGTACCTGGAAGTCACTCTACAGACATTTGGGTATCATCTAAAAGATTAATCCTCCAGAGCAGAGGCGAGTGGCCATTTACAGCCCATGGCCCAAATCCTAGCCATGGCCAGTTTTTGTAAATAAAATTTTATTGGAACACAGTCACACTCGATGATTTACATATTGTCTGTGGTTGGTTTTGTACTGCAACATTAGAGTTGCATAATTGGGATAGACTGTACAGCCTGCAAAGTCTAAAATATTTACTTTCTGGCCTTTCGTTTAAAAAGTTTGCCAACTCCTGTCCCAGAGAATCTGAAATTAAGGTTCCATGTGCTAATAATTGGAAGAGCTGTGTTGTATGGATTAAGATGGCCAAGGAAGAGAAAACAATGATTTCAAATAAAAAGCAAAAACCTGAAGTTGCAGTGGTAGATGCTCTTAATGGCAGCCACCCACTTGGGATGGAGATGCTTTGCACAGAGACATGTGTGTGCAGCATGCTCCATGGAGAATCAGCAGGAGGTTATTTAAATAATGACCAATAGCAATTTCTCGACTCAACAACAGGGAGCCCAGTTTGCTCTAAATATAAACATCACCCTTAAACTCCTTAAAAATCACTTTTTTTCTGTAGTTAACAGCTCAGAGTGTGTAATCTTTCTCCCAGGAGTGTAACTTTTTTTGGAATGTGAGAAACCATAGGGAAAATTTTCTAAAGAGATTTGTTTCAATTAACTCTGCCATTGATTTACTCCTTAATAAATAAACAGAGGGAGAGTCATGAAGATTAACCAAGATTCTCGTGGATGATGGATTCCAGATACCCAAATAATTTCTCTTATCAACTCTCATATTTAAGGAAAAGATTGGAAGCAAAAATGTACAGGTGAATGAGACAGATAAAATTTTTGGGCCGGGTGAGGTGGCTCACACCTGTAATCCCAGCACTTTGGGAGGCTGAGGCGGGTGGATCACTTGAGGCCAGGAGTTTGAGACCAGGCTTGGCAACATGGCGAAACCGTGTATCTACTAAAATTACAAAAATTAGCCAGGCATGGTGGTGCACACCTGTAATCCCAGCTACTCGGGAGGCTGAGGCATGAGAATCACTTGAACTCGGGAGGTGGAGATTGCAGTGAGCCAAGATCGCGCCACTGCACTCCAGCCTGTTTGACAGCGCGAGACTCTGTTTAAAACAAAACAAAACCAACAAATAAAAAATTCTATCTAAATTTGTCTTAATTGAAATATATGAGAGAGATGCATACTTTAAATGAGGAGTTCATAAGCCGTGGTGAAGTAAATCATGTAAATCATTTTATGCTCTTATTGTCCAGGCATGTCTGCTTTTCCCCTCTTCTTGCCCCCTTGACTGATCCCTTGCTATGTGTCAAGCATTATGCAAACCCCCCACCTGAATGCTGAAGAAGCATATCGAAGTAGACTTGCCCAAGAAGACAGCCTACTGATTCCTCCACCTAAACCTGCTATTGCTCAGTTCTCCCCAGTCCCATTTGATGGCAGCAGCCCCACCCAGTTGTTCATGTCCAGTCCTAGGCAATTCCTTGGCTTCCTTTCCTTTTATTTCCCATCCAATACATCATCAGATTCTATCAGTCCTTCCACTGAAGTAGAATTCAAATCTGGCAACATCTCCAAATCCCCATTGCCATCACCACAGTCTACAGAACGAGTGTCTCGTTTTGATGCCTGGACAAGCCTCCTACGTGGTCCTGTTGCTTCTGTTCTGCCCTGTGTTCAGTTCTCTACACAGCAGCGAGAGTGAGCTTTTCAAGGTGTAATCAGGTCAAATCCTCTTCCTGCCCAAACCTTACAGTAGTTTCTCTTGCCACTCCAGTTCCAAACCTCCCACGGCTATCTACAAAGCCCTATGTGATCTGGTTCCTCACTACTTCTCTGACTCTCCCTTTGACCATTTCCTTCTCCTCTGACTTCGGCAGTCTACGTGCTCTAAACTTCTTCCTGTTCTTCTAAATCACCCAGCTTATTCCCACCTATATGCCTTTCACTGGCCCTTCCTTCTACCTGGAAGACTGACTCTTTCATTCTCTCTCCTACTGTACTTCCAGTGGTTCTCAGCTGGAGTGCCCTCACAGGGCACACTGGGTAATGTCTGGAGACATTTTTGGTTGTCACATCTGGGATAGGGGATTGCTACTGGCTTCTAGTGGGTAGAGTCCAGGGATGCTGCCAAGCCTCCTACATTAACCAGAACAGCTCCCATAATAAAGAATTATCTGGCCTTATATCAGCAGTGCGGAGGTTGAGAAGCCCTGCCCTGTTGAGTTCTCTGCTCAAATATTTTCTCTTCCGAGAAAACTTTTTCCACCTACTCTTTCCAAAAGGGCTTTTCCCCTCTTCTTCCTCCATCACTCCGTAGTTCCTCATCCAGTTTGACACTACCTGGAATTTGAGCATATATTTCTGTTTTTTGTCTCTCATCCCCACTCGAATGTAAGCTTCCTGAGGGCAGAAGCTCTACCTGGTTTGCCACTGGTTCTTCAGCATCCAGGCCAATATCCAGCACATAGTGGGCCTTCAAAATATGCTGACAGCTCTCTGAGGCTTGGAGAGGTTAGCTAACCTGCTCAAGATCACACAAGGCTAGGGAGAAGACAAGCCATCGGGTTTTCTATCAGTCCTTTTAAGCTACTGCACATATACATACAATTGAAGGAAAAGTTTGTGCTGCTTATGAGAATTCAAATTTAAGACAATTTTCCTAGCTTTCTTCTTCCAATTTTCCATGCTTTCCCCATGCCCTGTTGCCAGTCCCTCCTATGTAGAAATTCTATTTTCATTAAAATCCAGAAACTCTCACCACTCCCACTTCCCCGCCAAATACTTATTTCTTGAACACCTCTGATTTCTCTTTCTAATTCAAATATGGCTACAAGTGAGGTGGAAATGCTAGGCAGCCTGGAGCCCGATCACACATGAGCTGTCTGTCTATCAGCAAACCCCACTGTCAATATTGGATTAATTGCTTGCATAACCTCACATTCTCTGTAGCTTTCCCCTCCGAGACAAAATTACCAGTCTCCTTCAGCACCAACTTGGCAATAAGAGGAAGCCTTGAAATGATTATCCTAATTTAAAGACAGCATGAATTCCTGGCTCTCTTTTGGGAACGTAAAATTGTGAGTGTCCTTTGTTCTTGCAAAAGTGATGCACTTAAAAAAAAAGTCATTTAGTTTGCCTTCTTGACTTTTCTGAACTTAAAGATTACTTCCAGTTTTATTTTTCAAAGACTTGGCATTTCAGTATTTTAACATTGGACATTTTAACTTCAGCCTTTGAATGTTTCTATAGATTTTTTTTTTCTATTCCATTTCACCCCTGCTTCTCTAGCTCCCTCCTCCCCACATTCACCAACTGACTGCTCATTTCTCATGCTGAATAAATAGCCATGATTACTATGGAAATTGATGAAGGATGGCTGGTTGTCAGAGGGAGCCCCCAGCTGGACACCCCCAGGGTTGCAAAATGAAGGATGCCACTCTCTCCTTGGAAGAAGGTCCCAGACTTTTGCTGTCAGCTTGCTTTTTTGCCCTTATCAAAAGTGGTGTACTTTTCTCTGCTCCAAAGCCTGTTCCTCAGTGAATTAATTTCTTGGCAACCCTCGCAGTGTGCAGCTGAGCACTTCAGTTTCTCACTTAGGATTTCCTGTCAACCTTGACCTCCCTTGGCTCTTGCTGGGAAAGTAGCCTGCAGACTAGCCTGATTCTAGCCTCACTTAGGCTGAATTACTTCTTTCTTAGGAGACAAGCTGCATTTGTTCCCTCTCCATAATCCCTCTGAGGTCTTCTACTTGAGAGAAGCCCTGAAGCTCTTTGAATCACATTTGAGCAGCAGTTGTGTTGGCTGCAAAATTTAAATTAGCCAAGCCCAGGAGAAAGTGACTAAGAAAATCAATGTTTCAAGGAAGTAGTATATATGGAACATGAGGCAGGAGGTCACAGAGTGGAAATAATTCAAGCTTTTGTAAGGTGTTGGGTCAACTTCGATTCAAATGCATAAACACTGCGTGACCCACTGTCGGCCACTGAACCTCTCTGGGCTTCGATTTCCCCCACAAAATGGGATTTACGCTACCATTTTAGAGTTTGTGGAAGGATTCAGAATAGAGTATGAATAGTACCTACTAAAGTGACGGACTGTTATTAAGAGCTATTTTTTTTTTTACTGAAAATCTTTTTTTTTTTTTTGGAGACAGTATTTGTCTCCCAGGCTGGACAGTGGTGCCATCGTCGCTTAATGAAGCCTGGAACTCCGGGGCTCAAGCAATCCTCCCATCTCAGCCTCCCAAGTAGCTGGGACTATAGGCACATGCCACCATGCCTGGCTAATTTTCACATTTTTTGTAGAGACGGGGTATCACCATCTTGTCTAGGCTCCTGGGCTCTGGTGATCCTCCCACCTCGGCCTCCCAAAGTGTTGGGATTACAGTGAAAATCTTAAATACGACTTGTTACTCTCTGTGAAAACCCCAGCCTAGTGCTTATGTTTCCATATAGATTCAGTCACAAGTGGACTCTAATCAGGCTTCTTTCAGTACCTATGTCTGTGACCTGGGCTCATATACTTCCCTTCCCTGGGCCTCTGAGATGCCACTCATTAAGGAATCCGAGATGTCTTTCTAGTGGGTGTGCTAATTGGTGGATCCCCTCAACCTCATGGCTTTGTTTGTGGTAAATTGTTTGGGTAATTGACTGAGTTTCTAGCCTCATTCTCTGAGCACTCTGGGCCTGGCTAAGGTTGAGTTGCCTCAGCCCAGCCTTTTCTTCTGGGCATCGGCTGAAGAACAGTTACAACTGGCTTTGAAAAACAAAAGCCCTTACGTTTGTATTGAGTTTTAAAGCTTTGTAAAGTGGCATGACAACACAATTTCTCATTTATAATCCCATATAACCCTGGGAAGTGTATATGATCATTTTGTGCCCATTTTGTAGGTGAGGAAACTGAGGCCTTGGAGTGTAATGATTTGCCCAAGTTTGGACAGTTAAGGGATTAAAGACAGATCTCCCACCCCACTGGCCTCTTCATTACAGTGTACATGTGGTGGTCTTCATGTTCAGATTGATGGATGCCTTGGCTCCAGGGGCTCAGAACAGTCTGACATTGTGCTGATGTTTAGCCTCTATTAAAGCATCGCCTCTTCAAACCTGGGTAGCTTCTCCTCGTTTGCAATTTTCAGTCAGTAATGGCTTTTTAACAGAGGACCTGGATGCCTTTTGAGAGAGCATGAATGGACAATAATGATGGTGATGGTGAGAGTAATAGCAGCTAATGTTTTTTTCGGGACTTTCAAAGGCACTGTGGTAAGTGCTCAACAAAAGTGACCTTATTTAACTCCTTTAAGAAGCTTCATAATGCAGAAGAGCTTCTGTGAAGAAACTTGTGTATCTATCCCCATGTGATGAAAGAGAAAACTAAGACTTAGAGGGGCAGGGTCACTTGTCCAGTATCACGTGGTAGGTATGTGGAAAAGCCAGGAGTAGAGCTCGGATTCTACAGCCCATATGCTTCACAATTCAATGCTGTTCTGCAGTAATAGTTTAAATTTTTTTTTTCAGAGTCTCTCTCTGTCACTCAGGCTGGAGTGCAGTGGTGCGATCTTGACTCACTGCAACCTCTGCTTGCCAGGTTCAAGCAATTCTCATGCCTAAGCCTCCCGAGTAGCTGGGACTACAGGTGCACACCACCATGCCCGGCTAATTTTTAATATTTTTTTGTAGAGACAGGGTTTTGCCATGTTGCCAGGGTGGTCTCGAACCCCTGAGCTCAGGCAATCTGCCTGCCTCGGCCTCCCAGAGTGCTAGGATTACAGGTGCAAGCCACCATGCCTGGCCCATTGTTTAAACTTTCAATGGACAAACCCACTCAGAAAAACTTTCCTGTATGCCTGCTAGATGCCCAGCACTGCATTAGGTTCTGGGCAGACGTCACTGTATTAGGTGCTGGAGAGGCTGTGAATTTATGGGGAAGATAGCCAGAAAAGCAAGTCATTCCAGTTCTACAAGCCAAATGTTATAGCAGAGGGATTCACAAAGCAGTGTGAGGACATAGCGGGGGGAACAGAGGCAGGTCTTGAGGTTGAGAAGGATTTATTAGGAGGATAATTCAAAGTGCACTCAGAGGAAGTTTGAATATTTGTTGCCTTCAGCCACATTGGAATCTAGGATCTCAAATAATATCAGCAGGAATCTATCTCCCTCTCTCCTTACCTAGGTTCTGCTTGCATGCAGTGCAACTTGAGATCTTTGTGTTCTGTAACTAGGAGATACAAGAACATGCTTGACAAGCACAGATGACAGCTTCTACCCTCCTCTACAGAAACTGATATCTTCTCATGCATTGTTTGTAGATGCATGAGTTTTCATCATTGAAAGTTAGAGCTGGGAGTAACCTTAGAAATCTGCTATTGCCAGGCCGGGCGCGGTGGCTCATGCCTGAAATTCCAATACTTTGGGAGGCTGATGCAGGCAGATCACTTGAGGTCAGGAGTTCGAGACCAGCCTGGCCAACATGGTGAAACCCCATCTCTACTAAAAATATAAAAATTAGCCGGGTATGATAGCGCACACCTGTAATCTCAGCTACTTGGGAGGCTGAGGCAGAAGAATCGCTTGAACCCGAGAGGCAGAGGTTGCAGTGAGCTGATATTATGTCACTGCACTGAGGCTGGGCAACAGAGTGAGACTCTGTCTCAAAAAAAAAGGAATCTGGTATTGCCAGATAATTTCCACCTCAGCCACCTAAGATGCTACATGGTGCCACCCAGGCCAGGAGCCCAACTCTGGTGATTCCCAGCCAGTAACACACATCTGTGGAGTCATCCTGGGATCTCACTGTGGAGTTTGATCAGTTCATCCAGGAGACTTTCATATACTCCCCATCCATGTTGTCAAGCAGCCCAAGCCTTTCCTTTGGATTCAGATGTTGAGTTGCTTTTTCATAGTTACTTAGTAGCTAGGTCTAGAAGTCCTGGCTCTTGAATCAAAATCTGGACTTCTGTGGAAGAGACTGTTGACTAGACACCAACAGTCATATTTTCTTCTTCGTTTCAGTTCTGTGAGACCCTGGGATAGTCAATGCACTGTCCATGGAAGCCATGAACTCCACTTCAGCACTGGCCCATGAGCCTTCCCCACTTCTTCTGGGCTGTTTTTTCTTCCTGCTGGTTCAAACGGGGACAACTCCCAAGCGACCATGGAATTTACATCTTGAAGATGGTAGCTGCTCTGCCAGCTTGGCTCCTCCAAATGACTGCATGGGAAGTACCCCTGGCACCCTATAATCCAAACTGTTATACAAGCAAGAAATAAACCTCGAATGTTTGGCGTGTATTGGTTATGCCAGTTAGCCCACCCTAACAATCAGAAGTTGTTTGCCTGTTAGTTTGTTTCACTATACGAAGCTTATTCTGTTAGATGGGCTTATGTAGGATTGCAAATAATATTTCATTTTCTTAATGCAAAATAGGTGAATTCAGACACCATGGTGATCGTATTTTGAAACGGATATCTCACTGTTTATCTCCCTGTTGAATTCCCTCTGTGAGTTTGCTTTGCTCTGAATACAAAGACGGGAGAAATGACGTAATTTCTTCAAGATCTTCAGCAACACTACAGTGAAATTGAAACTAGAAGCAGAAAGCCATGCATCATTTTTTGCAAGAAGCTTTCAACTTCATCACAATAGCTTTTTTCTTGAGTTTTCCATGGCCCTTGGTCCGGTTCCCAACGCCTTTTCCCTTAAGGTTAGTGTGCCATCTGTGTTCTCAGAGGACTCTGTATTTCCCTTCTCCCTCAGTGGTTCAAAGAAAGACTCCAAATGAGTTTTTTGTGATGAAAGGGGAGGAAGGCTTGCTTGTACAATCTTTAGCTGAGAGAGCCTGGCACCCAGGAAAGAGTTGCAGGAGGCCATGACAATGGGAATGAGGGAGGCATTTATAGAACAACAATAACAATACAGTCACAGCTGCTATTACTGCTCCTGCTTGTTAAACTCTTCCCTTATGCCAGTATGTATATTACAGACATTGTATTACTAAATCATCACAGCATTATTAGGGCAAGCATTACTACTGCACTTTACAGGTGAGGAAACTGATGTTTGCAGAGGCCAGATAGCTTATTCCTAGTTAGTAGTGACATGGAAGCCTGGAGTTGAAGCAACTTGCCTGGCTTCTAAACCTAGAGCTCAGAACCAGTCTGATAGATTTCCCTCCCCACTGGTGTGTTGGGGAAGGCAAATAGTTAACTGAGTTCCCTGAAGGTGGGAATTTCTATTTGAAGAATACATAGAAGGAGGAAGACTTTTAGGAGAAGCAAAACAGACAGAATATTTTATGGATGGTGGAGTTGTGGGTATAGTTGTTGATAAAGAGAGTTGTGTGTTGTGTTGTGTTGTGCTGTGTTGCAGGGTTGTCCACAGGAGGAGTAAGTATGTTGACTTTGCCATTGACTGAATATCTGACCGACAGACATGTGAAGATAGCTGAGCTTGAGTTGATCTAGTCTGAGTAGCCACCAATGACCCGCATGTAGCTTCTGATTCACCCCTTTGTGACGCATGGACTGCATCTATATACTCTCCCAAAGTCTTTTATTTTATACTATTTCATGTTATTTTATTCCTCCATTTTTTCTCTCTTAAAAACATTTATTCATTTTGTGGGTGTCTTAGGTTGTACTTCCCCAGAAACAGGCTGTGAGGCAAGGAATTGCGTGCAAGTAGTATATGTGGAAGGTGATCCTAGGAAGCACTGGGAAGGGGATGAAGAATTGAGACAGAGAAAAGAAGGAAGCCATTACAACGAATGTTAGGGAGCAGGCTACCTCTGGGGGAAACCGGCTTAGTCCCTAGGGAAGAATCCCAGGGAGGCAGCACAGAACATATCTCTGAGATGTCCCGCCAGTAGTAGAAGCCACCAGCTGAGAGGTGAAAGCTGAGTGATAATGGTTCAGGAACACTAGAAGCATCTGTCACATTGGACAAGGTAAAGAAAATAGAGTCTGGGAATGAAGAGGGCTGAATTCTATCAGGGAGTCAGTGCAGTCTTGGTAAAAGAGTCCCAGGCCAGGAAATCAGGACTGCTTTCTAATCCCAGTTTACCTCTCTTCAGCTGGGTAAGCTTGGGTAAGCGACTTCCCTTCTCCAGCGAAGGGAAGTTTTCTCAACTGTAAAGGAAAGAGCCTGGGGTAAATGATTCTGAAGACCCCTTCTGGCTCAGAGGGTCCATGTTTCTTTGAATCAAAGTCTTGTGATGGACTCAAACAGATCAATCTTCTACCTCTGCATTTTAACCTAAAGGATAGATTGTGATAGCTATCTTCTATTGAACAAGTCCTTGCAACAAACTTAAAAGTATAATGGAGTATTTTATTTCATCTTCACAGCAGCACTATGAAAACAGGCACTGTTTTTATCTCAATTTTGTAAAAGAGCAAACAAAGCAAGGTTGATTAATTTGTCCACACTGCATAGACAATATGTGATATAGCTGGGGTTTGAGCTCATGCCATTCTGAGTCATAAGCACTATATTCTGCTACCTCCTACTTTTGTGGTGACAGCCCAGAACATCTGTGATATAGAATCTTCGCACATGTGAATATTTATGTGAAAATACAGTGGAACCGGTTGCTCTATAATGTGCCGTGGGACATATGGATTATAAACACACTCCAGGTCTGTTCAGTAGACATCTATATTATGAGCTGTGTCCCAGAATGGGAATCGATAACTGAGGTACAGTTTTCCCAAGATCATCCTCATCATCATCACTATCATTGTAGTGTCAGTCACTTTTTGATGGCTTACTACATGCCTGGCACTGTTCTCAGTGCTTGACATTACAATGCTGAACATATCAACTTGTTCAGTCTGTACTCTAACCCCATAAGGTAGTTACAATTATTACCCCCATTTTGCATATGAGAAAACCCAAGCACAGAGGAGTCGAGTAGTTTGGCTGGGTCACATGGCTAGTACGTGGCAGAGCCAGGAGTCTGGCACCAGAAACCATAGTTCTTCCCCTACCACAAGTCTACCTTTCCAAAGGCTCAGAAGCATGGCCACTGTGACGTTTGTATTTGCATGGTGGCCTGCTAAGTTAGAGCTTGGACTTCATTTCGCTGTGTGACCTAGAAAGCGATGGGAAGGAGTGACTGAGAGCCATTTTAGTCAAGGTTATCAATTGTCGATATGTGACTTAAAAGGGAGCATTCCCAGGTCATCTTTGTTTCCTGGTATGTTCTACTTATTGCAAATGCTCATTGTCTGAAAGTTGGGTAAAGTCCAAAGAGACTTTTTGTTTTTTAACCAATTCAGGGACATGGCATCTGCCTTGGTCCTTAGGATTGTTTGAATGCTGTGTTGCATTCCAGTGTTCTCATAGTACCCATCCTTCATCTGCCGCCAGTTACTCCCGAACCAGGGCAAGCAGGGTTTTTCTGCACGATAATGAAGCTCCATTGGTAAATGTGCTGCTGGCTGTAGGATCTGAGTGAGGACACCCATGCTGAGACTGGCCATCCGTAGGCACTTGTGATGATTTCTTCACCTAGTTAATCTGACATCCATTCATCGACTCATTTCTTTGTTCATTAATTCAACAAATACACCCCAATTCATTGTCAGATTCTGTATGAAGTACCATAGGGAACACAGAAAGATGAACAAGATTTATTCAGAATCCTTAAAAATTCACTGGCAAGCCTATTAAAATAGAAAATTGAGGCATAGATAAGGAAAGAACCAACTAATCATGGAACGAAATTAGGAAACAATCATGTTATTCATGAAACAAACATTAAATAGTGAAAAGTCACCATGTTAAGACTATGTAAGACTATGACCTTCAGAAAACAATAGGAACATTTGACTGCGACATGAGAAAAGAATGTCTTGAACTGGAAAAAAAGAGGAGGGTAAAACACGGCATGTTTTTTAAATAAATAACAATTTAGTTTCAAATTAAAGGTCATCTTGAGATTTTATTTTTTTGAGAAGTGTACTTAACTTTTTCCTTTGGTTGTTTAACAGGTTTAAAATCAGATCAGATTGTATCGGTAGCTCATTTGAACTCAACCTCTGATGTTAGCCTTGCACAATCTCAAGGCTTGTTGTCAATCAGGACGTATTTACAGTTCCTTCATGGATCTGAAAGCAGTTTGTAATTAAACAAGAAGAGGGAGAAAGACTTTGTTTGTTCCTGAAGATGACAGTTACAAGTGTTGCAGTGTGGACTTCTCTCAGCAGTGATAGATTCATTTGTCCTCTGGAGAGCAGAGAGTGGAACACAGGCTAGGGAAAATATCTCCTTGTGTTAGTCCATTCTCACGCTGCTAATAAAGACATACTTGAGACTGGATAATTTACAAAGGAAGGAGGTTTAGTGGACTAACAGTTCCACATGGCTGGGGAGGTCTCACAATCATGGCAGCAGATGAAGGAAGAGCAAAGGGACTTCTTACGTGGTGTCGGGCAAGAGAGAATTTGTGCAGGGAAACTCCCCCTTTTAAAACCATCAGATCTTATGAGACTTATTCATTATCACAAGAAGAGCACAGGAAAGACTCATCCCTGTGATTCAATTACCTCCCACTGGGTCTCTCCCACGACAAGTGGGAATTGTCGGAGCTACAGTTCTAGATGAGATTTGGGTGGGGACACAGCCAAACCATATCACTCCTTTTCAGGGAGCATTGCCCATCCTGACCTCTGCAAATGACTTGGCTGTATTATTTAAAGAGGATTAGAGATAACATGTATGGGAGATGTCTGTGATGAACCAGGACGTGGGCCCCATGATCTATTGAAATGAAAACTGATGATGATCATTCAAATTCATATGCCTTTTCTTCCTGAGTCTTCCAGAATCCTTGAGCTGTAAATAGTAAGTGTACCCTACGTTCCTCTTACTTGTTTCTCTCACAATGTGAATGTCAACCACTGGAGTTATAATGTTCTGTCTGCCTATCTTCATAATCGGTCCACTTCCTATTTTCCTATCCACTTACCCCTTTTCTGATCCCCAGCCACAAAGAGGATCTTATTCCAGTCCCGTCTTTACTTCTGACAGTTGTGCCACATGTCCTTTATCTCCAAAGACTGACAAAACAGATTTCTGAGTAAAGGAGGCATTTTTTACATGGAAGATGTGATACTGTAGCAGCTTGCTATTTGCAGGCCATCTACCTAACACCTCATCAGGAACATCAGTGAAAAATCAAAGCCAAGAAATAAAAGATCCTGAAGGATAAAGCATAGGTCAGAAAGCCCAGGCACAGAATCTCCTAGGAAAATTCATCAGGCCTTGACTGATATTTAGCTTGCTCTTACTATGAATGGTTTTAACAAGCTTGTTTGGTTGGTCCCTCAAATTAGAAAATTAATTACTTTGAGGGTAGCCGGAGTGGATGTTTCAGACCAGTACTGGCCAATAGAACTTTCTGCAGTGATGGAAATGTCCAATATAGTAGTGGCCAGCCACATGGGTCTATTGAGCACTTGAAATGTGGCTAGCACAACTGAGGGGCTGAATTTTTATTTTACTTAATTTTAATTGATTAAATTTAAATCCAAATAGCCATATGTGGCTAGTGGCTCTCATGTTGGACAGTGCAGCTCTAGACAGATTCATTGACTGTAGTGAAATGACCACAGCACCATGGTATGAGGTTATTTAGTATAGAGACAAACAGGCTTCTAAAACTCCAAGAACTCCTAAATCTCATTGAGTTATAGCTCTGATAATTCACTTATTTATCCATTCTTTTATTTGGTAAATATTTATTAAGCAATTACCATGAGCCTGCACTGTTCTAGGTGGTGGAGATGTAACAGTGAACAGAATGGATAGAAATCCTTGCTTTCATGCAGCTTCCTGAAGGGATGTCTCCACTAAACAAATACATAATCAAAATATATAGGATGTCAGTTGGTCCCAAGTAATATGTACAAGTCAGCAAGAAGGGATAGGGAGAAGGGGAGGATGTGGGAGTTGCAACTGTAAATAGGAAGGCCAGGGAAGTCCTCAGTGAGGAAATACAAAAGGGAAGGATCAACCTTGAGGTTACCTGGTAAAGAAAGAGCATGCAAGTTATAGGGAACAGTGAGTTAAAATGTCCTGAGTAGGGAGGGCTCCTGGCAGGTTCAAGGAATAGCAGTTGGAGGAGTATGGCAGTAAAAAGAATAGGAGGAGATGACCCATGATGTTAACTCATGCCAGGGTGGCAGCAGTGGGGGTGAGTCTTTGTTGATGGTAGAGCCATTAGCACTTGTTGACAATTTGGTTGTGATGTATAAGAACAAAAGATGAGTTCAGGATGATTCCAATGATTTGAATCCATGCAAGTAGAATGATGAAGTCATTTCCTGATATGATGGACCATAATTATAATATAATCTTGACTTATCAAGAAGAGGTTAAATCAGGTATGATGGATACTTGGAAGTGAAGTCATTTCTTCATGCTGCATCCATGGCAGACATTAAGAATGGGCTTGAATGTGGCCTCAGAATCCTTAACATAGTTCTCCTGGAAACCACTATGTGTCTAAGTTGGCACTCAAGATAAAACCATCACTAGATTTAATTATGCATGTAATCGAGTGAGAAAGGTGAGGAAAGATGTGATTCATTTCATGAAGCATTCAAAGAGAATGACTTCATTTGTATATAATATAATTGCTTATATTAATGGGATTGGATTCTCCAAAGTACATTTTTCCAGAGAACCAATGCAAGTAAAAGATTCTCAGAAACTTGGAACCCTCTGTTACCTGACTATAACATCTTTCATTGTCGAGTGGAGTCTCCTGTGATGCGGGGCTGACTTGTACCACTGTATCACGATTCTCTAAAGCACAAGAGCCATTTTCATTCATATCCTTCTCCCCAGTGCTTGGATCATTGTAAATGATCAGTAAATGCTGGTTAACTTGAACATTTCTGAATTTAAAAAGGACCTGATTTTAAGGTGACCTCACCATATTTAATAACACTATTAAAATTTTATTAAATACCTACTATGTGCTGGATATGGGACATCTAATAGTGCCAAGTGTGAGAAGACCCATACACGTGATATTTAATCATAATTAAACCAATATTTATTGAGAACCTACTGTATGTCACAAACTAGACGAGACAATACACAGAGCTGTGTAAGATTCAATTTGTGCCTTCATGTTGCTCAAACCTGGAGGCTCTCAATGTAGTGTAATTGTTTCACTGAGTATCACAGATTCACATAAGCATGGATCTTGGACAGAGATCTCAGACTTCCTGTTCTTAGGCATGTCTATTCTCTGTTTTCTAGGCAAACAACTGAGGGCCAAACAGGATTAGTAACTTGCCCAAGAACATGCACCTGAGCCTTTATGGAAATTGTTCTCAACTGGGTCAATTTTGAGCTGCAAGGGACATTCAGCAATGTCTGGAGACATTTTTGGCTGTCACAGCTGGAAAGATGCTACGGGCATCTAGTGATTAGAGGTCAGGATTGCTGCTAAACTTCCTACAGTGCATGGCACAGCCCCTATAACAGAGAATTATCCAGCCCCTAGTGTCAATTGTTCCAAGGTTGAGAAATCCAGCTTCATGTCTACCCTATAGTGCATCAGAGTTGTGGATTTACTTTTTTTTGAATCTGAAGGAGGGGACGAGGCAAGAAGTATAGTTTCAGAAACTTATATATTGACATTTTGCATCTTTAAAATACGAGGACACCCTGTATGTCCACTCTGGAGAATGTGGAAGTATTTGCTGACCCAGGTGCTCCGGATGGCTCAACTTTGTTTTCGTCTTACCAGGGTTTGGACTTTGTTTTGGCTGTGTTTCTGTGTTCTGCGTCAAACTAGATGGTGTTTGTTCAGAGAAAAATCAGGAGGTTTGCTTAGAAAAAGAAAAAGGAGGCCGGGCATGGTGGCCCATGCCTGTAATCCTAGCACTTTGGGAGGCCGAGGTGGGCAGATCACTTGAGGACAGGAGTTTGAGACCAGCCTGGCCAACGTGGTGAAACCTTGTCTTTACTAAAAATACAAAAATTAGCTGGGTGTGGTGGCACGTGTCTGGAATTTCCGCTACTCAGTAGGCTGAGGCAGGAGAATTGCCTGAACCCAGGAGGCAGAGGTTGCAATTAGCCAAGATCGTGCCACTGCACTCCAACCTGGGTGGCAGAGCAAGACCCTCTCTCAAAAAAAGAAAAACAAACAAACAAACAAACAAAACAAGGTTTTTGCTGTTTTGTTGGAAACTTGCCATTGACCTCACAAATGAATCCAAGAGGAGAAAAGGGACAAAGGCTTTGGTGCAAGGAGACAAGTAGACTAGGTTCATGATGGTGAGCCTTGCCCTGTGGGAACGCCACAGGCTGACGATTTTGTAAATCCTCCATCCTCTGAAACAGATGGAAGAGAAACTGTCAGTACAAAGTCAGGACAACAGTAAGAGTCAGAAAGAGCTCATGAAATATAATACTTTGGTCTCTCACTACATGAGTGGATCTTGAAAAGAAATTCCTTACTCTCTGGCAACTTCCTGACACACTTAAAACACCAAAATCCTTCCTATGAGCTTCAAGGCCTTGCCAATCTCTCTGACCTTCTCTTTTGCTTGTTGACTTCCCTTGCACCTCACTGGCCTCCTTGCAGTTCCCGGAGCACACCAGGCATGGTCGTACTGCAGGGCCTTTGCCTTTGCTGTTCCCTCTGCTTGACTCTCTTTCCCTACATTTCCTCCTGGCTTGCTCCCTCATTTCCTTCATGTCTCTACTCAGAGAGGCCTTCTTTGACCATTATCCCCCCCAACATCTTTTAAAATTCTTACTCTGTTTACCAACTGATGTAATTTAATTTTTTGGTTTGTTTGTTTGTTGTCTGTCTCCTTCACCTAGTATGTAAGCTCATGATGATGGGACTTCTTTTGCTTCATTATTACTGTCCCTCAGCACCCAGAACAGTACCTGGCACATTATAGGCATCCAAGACTTATTTGTTTAAAGAATGCATATGGCTAGTCGGGACCGGTGGCTCACACCTGTAATGTGAGCCACGTTTGGGAGCCCTAGGGAGGCTTTGGGAGGCTGAGGCAGGTGGATAACTTAGGCCAGAAATTTGAGAACTGTCTGGGCAATATGGTGAAGCTCCATCTCTTCTAAAAATACAAAAGTTAGCTAGGCATGGTGGTGCTCACATGTAATCCCAGCTACTTGGGAGGTTGAGGCACAAGAATCAGTTGAACCCAGGAGACGGAGTTTGCAGCCAAGTGACAGTCAAGTGACAGCCAAGATCGAGTCACTGCACTCCAGCCTGAATGACAGAGCCAGATTCTGTCTCAAAATACAAAACAAAAAAACCTGATGCATATGGCAAATAGAGAATTTTAGGTCATGCTCACAGGCAGATGTTGTGTAGCAGTATAGAAATACTGGAAGTGTTATGCATATTTGTCCTGCCCCTCAGCAGCTGTGGAGTCTTGTGGAGTCGGCAGCTTCTAAAACAAATCCCAATGACCCCTGCCTCCTGATGTCCATGCCCTTGTGTACTCCCCTCCCCTTGACAGAGGGTTGGACCTAATGATTTTCTGTAATGAATACAATGTGGCTAAAGTGATGGAATAGCACTTTCAAGAGTAGGTTATTTTGGGATGCTGAGGCCGGAGGATCTCTTGAGCCCAGGAGTTGTTGCAGTGAGCTGAGATTGTGCCACTGCACTCTAGCCTGGATGACAGAGCAAGATCTTGTCTCTAAAACAAACAAACAAACAGAACAGGTTTTAAAAAAACTGTGGCTTCTGGATTGCTTGTACTTTTTCTCTCTGACTCTTCTTGCTTTCTGCTTCTGATGAATCCAGCTGCCATGTGATGGGCTGCTCTATGGAGGAGTCCACATGGCAAGGAAATGAGGGTGGCTTCCAGCCAACAGAAGAACTGAGGACTTTAGGCCAACAGCCTACAAGGAATCTAGTCCTGCTAAGAACTATATGGGTGAGCTTGGAAGTGGATTCTTCCCCAGTCAAGCTTTCAGATGAGACTGCAGCCCCAGTGACCCTGTCTTGTAGCTTTGTGAGACAATGTAAAGCAGAGATTCATTTGCACCCAGATTTCTGACCCATAGAAACATAAACAGTAAATATCATTAAGCTGCTAACTTTGGAAGTAATTTGTTAGGCAGCAATAGTTAACAAATACATCTCATGTAGGGGTTTGGTGAGGATTAAATGAGAAAAAGATGAATAAGAAATGACTCCTCCCATCAAGGACAGTATAGCCTAGTGGGAGGTTTTATATCAGCTGTGGAGCATTAAGTATGAGAGTGAGATGAAAAAGACATTCCAAGAACAGAAAATGGCATGACCAAAGGAATGGTAATGTGACAATGCATGGCAGGTCATCTGAGGCATAGATGTTTATGGAAGGCGTTGAGCCTGGGATCAGGCCAAGGACAAACCCTTGAGAGGCTTTGTGTGTCCTGAGAAGGGGCCTGAGAGATTTTCCTGTAGGTAATGTGTACACTGAAGTATTTTGAGCACTGGAATATGTTGGGAGGAGATGTGCCATAAAGGATTTTAAGGTCAAAGCCAGTAGGATACACCTTTAAATATTTACTTCTTTTAGTATTTTTAAAATGTGTGAGTAATGTGTATATTTTCATTGTAAACAAATAATACAAAGTAAAAAAAATCACATTTTAAACTCTTTAATTTCCCATTTTCCCCTTCTGAGGACACCATAATTTTGATTTGTTGTGTCACACACGATGACACAATGTACAGTGATGTGCTGGAGCTGGCTTATAGCAACCCTTGTGTTTAGTGACAGCATGTTAATAGCTTGAAATTGAGCATATTTGCATCATAGACATTGGCAAAGACTACAGGCCACTTCCCCTCCAAAAAAATAAGCTTGCTTACAGGGATGCCACTGGTTGTGTGTATCCTTTAAGATCCTTTTCTACTAAGGTACATGTAAAAATTAATTTCAGACGGATAGTAGAAATATGCAGTTAGTGGCTGAGAGCACAAATCCTGGAGTCAGACTGCCTGAGTTCAAGTCTTGTCTCTGTCATATGCTAAGTGACCTTGACTGAGTTATTGAAACTCTCAGATCCTCAGTTTCCTTCTCTGTAGAATGCAGATAATAATAGTGACTGCCTCATAGACTTATAAGGAGGATTAAATGAATGAATGTGTGTACAGGGCTTGGAATAGTGCCTGCCACACTGTAAGTACCTATAAAGGTTAGTTAATATTGACATAAAAGGGGCCATACTGTAAATAATGTTCTACAACTTAATTTTCTTTAAACAGTACATCTTGGAGAGCTTAGAGATAGTATTCCTTTTTTTTTTAAAAAAAAAACTAAACTTTTAATTTTGAATAACTGTAGATTCACCGGCAGTTCCCACAAAAAAAAAAAAAAAACACAGAGATCCCTTGTACCCTTTCACAAGTGTTACACAATGGTAACATCTTGCAAAACTAAATTAATATCACAACCAAAATACTGACATCATACAGTAAAGATATAGAACATTTCCATCACCAAAAGGATGTCTCCTGTTTTCTTTTCATTGGCACACCTACTTCCCTCCCACCCCCCAATTCCTCCTCAAACCCTGGCAACTACTAAATGTCCTCTATGTCCTCTATTTGTATAACTTAGTGATTTCAAAGATTTTATATAAATGGCATATTACAGTAGTTAACCTTTTGGTATTGACCCTTTTCAATCAGTGTAATTTTCTGGGGATTCATTTAGGTAGTCGCATGTATCATTACTTCCTTTTTATTGCTGAGTAGTATTCCATAGCACAGATGTACTATGGTTTGTTTAACCTTTTTACCCATTGAAGAATATCTTGGTTGTTTCCAGGTTTTGACCATTAGGACTGTTACAAACATTAATGTGGAGATTGGGTTGTCAGCATCTTCAGCTCCAAATCTTGGGTTATTAAATAAGGCCAAAAAGAAAACCCAGGGCATTTCTCACCGTGTCATTCCTTTGATCACAGATCCCTAGCTGGTTTGCCTTCTTCGTTCCTCCCTTCAGAATTTACTTACATTTGTGTTATATACAATGTCCGGAGCTTTTAGTTATACTAAACAGGAAAAATAGGAAAAAGTGTGTCTAATCTCTCTTCTCGCAAGCAAAAGTCCTAGCATTCTTTTGAACTGCTGAGTATCACCCTATACAAACGCCTATATTTTGATAGGTACTCCAAATTGCCCTCCAAAAAGGCTTTCCCAGTTTAAATTCTTACCCATCCTAATACATACCAGGTACTATTTTGTGGGCATTGCACTCATCTGATGTGTACAGGTTCATGTGGAGTGAAGTGAGGTAGGCCTGTCATGATCTGCATATGGACTCAGACCTGAGCTTATTTTTTGTGCCTCTGAGCATGAAATATTTTAAGTGGCAGCCAGGTAGCTGGTGAGAGACCAGTCTCACAGCTGTTTGCTCCAGTGAGCCAACAGCGAGGGCCTTGTTGAGGTGACTGGAGAGGCTGACTAACAGGAAGATTCCTAATTAAACCCTCATGCCTCCATTTAAGCATGTGAGAGAGGGTTTGGTTGGCTGGGGAAAATTAGCATGGATTCAAAGCCAAGAAGAAACTGGGTCACAAGTCTAAATCTGGGGGTGTCACTGAAATTTGGAATGTTGCTAGAGATTGCTTTTGTTGTAGAGAGAGGAGAAGGGTTGAGTGGTGGAAAAGGAGGTGTGATAGGCCCAGGGAAGCACCATCAAAAGATCATGAGGAAACGATCAGGCAGAGAGAGTGGAGTACTGAGCATATATGTGAATTCATGATGATCCCTGTGGAATATGTAGTACCATGTGAGACATTAAGGCCCAGAGTCATCCATGTGGGAAAACGGTGTTGAAAAGAGGCTGAAAATCAAACTGCTTGGGAGGTCCTTGGATAAATTGTCAGGTTTTAGGTGAGAAAAAGGTGAAAGAGAGATTTCAGATCTGATTCTTGAAAAAGGGGCAGGATTTCCAAAGAAGAAGAGCATTCTAGAAGGACAGCACAGCACTAGCTTAATTTGTTTCCTTGTCTGTGTAATAAACTTGGCAGCTTCAAGCAATATACATTAATTATCTCACAATTTCTATAGGGCAGGAACCTGGGTTCTCTACTCAGCCTCTTACAAGTTTGCAGTCAGGGTGTTGGCCATGGCTGGGTTCTCACCAGAGATGTGACTGGAAAAGGATCCACTTCCAAGTTCCCTTAAATTATTGGCAGAATTCATTCCCATGTGGCTGCAGGGTTTGTGGCAGCTTGTTAAAGCAGACGGAAAAGTGAATGAGAAAGAGAGAGAGAGACTCCAAAATGGATCTGCTAACCATACAGAGTTTATAGCATAACATAATCACGGGAGTAACATCTCATGACCTTTACCACATTCTATTTGTTAGGAGCACACATGCAAAGGGACAGGACGAGAGAAAGGTGAGCACCAGGTGTTGGGGGTTATGGTGGCCACCTTGAAGTTTGTCTGCCACATGGCACAGGCATGAAGGGTTATTAGAATATTGGGTTCAAGGAGGAAGAGAAGGGATAAATTGGCTGTTGAGGAACATTAGATATAAGGATGGATCTAAAGATTGGGGCTCCATCCTGCAGAAGAACCTTGAAGGCCAGTTTGAGAGCTTTACCCTTTGGCATTGTGGAACCTATGAATGTACTCTTCCAACCTTGGCCTCCTGTTGCTTCCTGAAGCCCACATGCTTGCTAAGAAATACAGTTTTCATTTCCATTCTCTGCTCACTCATTTCCTAAGCAATCATTTCTTTTAAAAAGCGTTTTAGAAACGAAATGATAATTGTATTTAAAGTGCAGTATCTGCATCGAATTAACCTTGACCATTTTCTATAGTTTCATTATTTGGGGAGTTGTTGAAGCAGTACACACAAATGAAAGCATTGAGAAGCAAGATAATAGGTAACCTTCCCAACTTTTATCTAACTCAACTCCTCAGTGGGACTAATTGTAGAGAATAGAATGAGCTACTTGCTAAATGCATCATGACTTTATCCTCTCTTCTCAGTGTCTATTTAAACAGCTATGTTAGAAAATTAAAGATTCTAATGGAAATATTCAGGAAGGTAAAAATGCATGGAGATGGGGTGCATTTGAATTATGTCAGAAATTGTTCTCAAATATAAAAAAGATTAAAAAACAACTGCAGTGCCAAATAAACAGTTCCCTGTAGGTGGAATTTATAAGCCTTTAATACTGTGATTAGCCCTGTTTTAATTGTCAAATACTTTTTGAACTTCCATATGATGATGGTGGTGTGTGACTATTAGCATCCCTTGGTCGATAAGGTATATATTGACCAAAAGTAAAATCTTTACAATGAATTTATAATTTTTTGAAGATGACAATCACATGGCTGATTATTATTAGTATTTTGGTGAATCTTATTATTAGTACTTTGTGAATCTTGGTGGGAGCTGTGGACTTTTCTCTTGAAAAATGCTCATATACAGAAAACTACATACAGTTTTAAGAGGTTCATGAGCCCCCTGAAATCACCCATTGTGGACCTCCACAAATCTGACACTGAGAAACCTTGAATAACATATCTTTGAAAATTATAGTAAATCCACATATAAGGTGTATAACTGACTCAGTTAGTACCCAGTGATAGATGTCCTACGGATTTGAGAATCTTTCCAGGGCTATTTTGGACCAATGGTCTATGTGACAGATTTTATTATATGTTTGAAGTTCTCATGTCAAATTCTGGATGTAGAGGACTATAAAGAACTTCTTTGTGCTGGTATTGGAATTTTGTTTTCTAATAATGTTCAAAATTTCTCTACATAGAAACTTGTTTTTCAGACAGAAGTTTTATTGTAATAGTGTGGGAGACATGTAACAGTCTATTTGGGGTTGATGATAAAGATAAGACAACAATGCCCTTATGTGTTTGTGTGCACATGCATGTGTGTGTGTGTGTTTGTGTGCGTGGCTGTGTGTGTGTGTGAGAGAGAGAGAGTCAGTGAGAGAGAGAGGTGAGAAGAGAAAGGGAGATGAAGGGAAACAGAGAAGAGCAGAGAGAAATACATACAGACAGGACCACAGAGACAGAGATATGCAAACATAGAGGCAGAGGGAAACTCACATAGTGACAGAGAAGTGGAGTTAAAGGGAAAGGAAGAAACAGTCATAGAAATAGACAGAGACAGAGATTCAATCAATCAGTGCTATGATCTAAATGTTTGTGTTCCCCCAAAGTTCATAAGTTAATACCTTAATCCCCAATGCAGTAGTATTGAGAGATGGTGTCTTTGGGAGGTGATTAGGTCATGAGGGTGGAGCCCTCATGAATGAAATTAGTGCCCTTATAAAAGAGGCCGGATGGAGCTTGTTTGCCCCCTCCGCCATATAAAGATACAGCTAGAAGGCACCATCTGTGAGGAATGGGGCCCTCACCAGACACAGAATCTGCTGTTATCTTGATCTTGGAATTTCCAGCCTCCAGAACTGTGAGCAGTACATTTCTATTGTTTATAAATGATCCGGTCTAAGGCATTTTGTTATGGCTGTCTGAATGAACTAAGACAGTCAGATTGTTGGGAATATGGACAGACAAACATAAGAGACAGGCAGTATGAAAGGCACAGAGTTTTCAAACCAGTGAGCACCCAGGGGTGCTCCTATCTGTTGGCTGATAGTAGGATGCCAGCAATGCATTTTATCATCATGATAGGGCCAGGTAGGGGCTGGTGGGTGATTAAAGAGGCAAGAGCTTGCTAGATGAATTACTTCCTGGGTAAAAATTAAATGATTCAGAAAGGACATTACTACTGGCCTTGTGCCACCTGTGTTAAACATTGTCTGGGACAGTGCTGCTGGGCTGAAAGGAACTGACACTTCTTAGCTTTCCAGGAATTTTTTGTTGAACTTCTGAAAAATTTTGCTGAACTTTTGAAAACGTGTTTATTTTATCCCTCTATGAAGGATTAGATGAACATTTAAAACAGAACATGCTTTCATCTCTTCCCAAAAACTTGCTAAGGTTTTTTTTTTTTTCCTGAATACCTAGTTTGTGAATGTTACATAAGTCAAAAAAAAAAGTCATTTAAAAAGACATTATACTAGTCTTTCATGAGGGATCAGCCAAGGCCAGCATTAACACCGAGAGGGAGGGTGGTACGTTTAGAGACAACATCTTTTGATGTGCAAAGAATTACCCACTGGTTCCCCATACAGTACACGGCTGTAATTCATATGGTGAATGATCAGTGCCTTTAATGTCTTGTAACATAAAAATACTTGGATTTTAAAATCTTGTTTGAAAAAATAACTCACGTGTTAGTGCATATGTCCCTGATAAACATATGCTTTGAGCAGATATTCAATCTCTCCTGTATGCTGAGCTGACGGAAACTCTAAGGAATTTACTGGAAAGCCTTCTTTTAATGTGTCCATCACATTACATTAGGAATGTAATTTGTGTCAGAGGATGACTTATTTTTAAATCAAACCTTGACACGAACTGTTTTTCAACCACCAAAATTAAACGTCAATTGTGGTTTATGTTGTAGAGGGTTTGTTAGGGGACCCACTAACTTGAGAAACCATGAATTAGAGAACAGAAGTGAAATAAAATAATCTTAATGAATCATATTCCATAAATAAAGACAGAAATTTTATAGGTAAAGATGATATGAACCATCTTTAAGGGATGAAATGTTATAAGAATTGACCAGAAAGTACATGATATGAAAGGATCTAGAAAGACATTTTGGACTGTTGGTGGAACATAGGCTTGACTAAGATACTTGGGATCAGGAACCTGTCTACCTTGTTGGTATTATTTAACAATGCTAAACTCAGAACCGTGCTTGGTTCTTAGTAGGTGCTGAAAAATACTTTTAATGAATGAATGAACAAATAAATAGTGTGTTAAACAGAAATATGAGTACATTAAAAGAAGGATCTAGAAAATACATTTCAGCAATAAAGAATTGTTCATTTAAAGAGAAATGAGATGACAGGAATTTTAGCAGACCACAGTAGATAACATGAAACAGATGTGGCTAAATCCACAATGGCAAAAGCATTCAAGTAATCACTTAATTTGGTTTCTTTTTATACCTCCAGTCCCCCTACTTATTTACTTAAACAAAACACTTTGTCTTAATGAGAACTGAGTCATTAGGGACAGTTTTGGGACCCTGACTTTTTGGTAGGAAAAGGATAAACCTGATCAATTAAAAATACCAGTCAACCGTGGTGGAAAGCAGTATGGTGATTCCTCAAAGAGCTAAAAGCAGAACAACCATTTGACCCAGCAATGCCATTACCATTTATACCCAGAGGAATAAATCATTCTACCATAAAGACACATACACGTGAATGTTCATTGCAGCACTACTCACATTAGCAAAGACATGGAATCAACCTAAGTGCACATCAGTGACAGATCAGATAAAGAAAATATGGTACATAAACACCATGGAATGCTATGCAGCCCTAAAAATGAATGAGATCATCTCTTTTGCAGGAACATGGATGGAGCTGGAGGCCATAATCCTCAGCAAAGAAATGCAGGAACAGAAAACCAAGTACAGCATGTTCTCACTTATAAGTGGGAGCTAAATGATAAGAACTTATGGACACAAAGAAGGAAACAACAGACACTGGAGCCTACTTGATGGTGGAGGGTGGGAGGAGGGAGAGGAGCAGAAAAGATAACTGTTGGGTACTGGGCTTAATTCCTGGGTGATGAAATAATTGGTACAATAAACCCTTATGACATGAGTTTACCTATGTAACAAACCTTCACATGTACCCCCGAATCTAAAATAAAAGTTAAAAAAAAATACCTGTAATGTGCAAACCCTTTATTAGTGGAATCAATGTTTGAGCAATCATCATCACTGTAGAAGTAGCTGTAAATAGCATTTTCCACTTGCTCTGTGCTGGGCACTGTACTATATGCTTTACTAGCTTTTTAATTATCAAAGACTCCTTCATTGTTGGATATTATTACCCTCGTTTTCTTCATGAGGAGAATGGGGCTCACAGACGCTTTGTAACTTACTCAAGGCTGCTCAGCTAGACTGGAAATGGAAGTATGCATACGCATACATTTCATTCCATTTCCAATTACTCTTATTTGTAAACATTAACTTCCATGTGAACTAATTTGTATGTGACATAGGTACTTCATGGTTCAAGAATGTCCAGGATTCATTCTTTTATTCTGTGCCAGGATGTATTTGCATGTGTATCAGTGTCAATATTAGATTACTAACTCTTAGAGGATAGAGTTGGCTCTTTAAACCTCTTTACAAAGTGCCTGGCTTTGTGTCCCCAGAGCCTGACACTTAGGAAGCATTCAGTAATTTATCCAACAAGTAAATGAATGAGTGAGCAAGCATCACATGTAAATTAGGACCTTTCCTTTGGGCTCATAAAACCACTTTTAGTGTATTAATAAGGGTGTGCTTTACGTGCTCATTATACACAAATTCAAAAGTATCAGAGAAAATGATCAAAAATAATGTTGAATTTTACATTGTAAAAGCTTTTGTAATGCTGATGAGACACTTCGTTTTGTTTCTCTTGGGGCCAGCAGGGGAACCTGTGGCTCATGTCTCACTCTCTGGGTTCAACACTGGAGATTTCAAAGTTCCTTTGGGAACAATTATAAAGGGACTCATTGGGGAAGGGGATGGCAGTGCTCTCTCTACCTATTCTCAAGATTTTTGCAATAGCTGTTCTTTGGGGGTTAGACACATTTTAAGCTACCATAGCCTGATTTCCTTCATGATTCTTAACTTCCTTTATGATTATGTTCACGTTCCACTTCCTGTGGGCTTTCTAAACATAAAATGGGAAGAGGAGAGAACACATAACTAAAAAGTGAGTTCTTAAAAGAACCCTTGGATTTTCTTTTGCAGGTGCCCATGAGGTGGTCTGGACTGGTACATCACAGCATTGTTTCTGGCTGCAGGTATGATGGTTAATTTTATGTATCAACTTGACTAAGCCATGGAGTGCTAGGTATTTGGTTGAATATTGTTCCCAGTGAGTCTGTGAGGGTGTGCTTTTGGATGAGATTGACATTTGAATTGGTAGACTGAGTAAAGCAGATTGCCTCCCTAATGTAAGTGGACCTCATCCAGTCAGTTGAAGGACTAAATACACCGCAATGGCTGACCCACCCAGGAGTCAGGGGAGACTCCTCTGCCCCACTGTTGGAGCTTGGAACACTGGTCTTTTCCTGCCTTTGGACTCCAGCTAAGACCTCAACTCTTCTTGGGTCTGAGCCTACTGGCTTCCAGACTGGAACTTATAACATTGGCTGTTTTGGTTCTCAGACCTTTGGACTTGGACTTAACTTATACCATTGGTTCTCTTGGATCTCCACTTTACTGAATGCAGATGTTGGAACATCTCAACTTCTGTAATCATGTAAGTACATTCCTTATAACAAATCTCTTTGTATATATCTGTATCTGTATTTATCCCCATCTCTATCTCTATCTCTTTTGGTTCTGCTTTTCTGGAGAATCCCAACTTGTAACAAAACCCTAACTTGTAACAAAAAAAATCAAGTAAACTTAAATGAATAAGATGGCTATTTGTCACATGAGAAGTAATCCAGGACTAGGCAGTACAGGGCTGGACATGGCAGTACAGTGATAGCATCAAGGACTCTGACTCCCTCTACCTTCCTTCCATACCTTTTTGTGTGGCTTTGTTCTCATGCTCTCAGGATGGTTGTTGTACATCCAGGAGTTGTGTTCACATTCCAGGCAGGAAGGAGATGGAAGGTCAAAAGGCCAAAGGAGCTTGCAGGAAGTCTCATGTGAGGGTGCCACTTATGTATGTCATTGGCCAGGTTCATGCCACATGGACACCTCTAGCTTCTGAGGGTCTGGGAGCTAAAGCATTAGCTCAGCACATTACTACCACAAATAAATTTGGGGTTCTTTTGGAAGAGTGGGGTATGGATTTTGGTAGGGCAATGCTCTCCATGGATTGTTAGATAACCATGTCAAAAAAAAATGTTAGTACTTCACTGGTTTGGGAGGTTATATAGATTCAAAATAAGTGTGAATTAAATATTATTTATAAGTTTCTCTAGCAGAGTGCATCAAACATTATTTCATGGAATGAGGCAAGAATATTTACATTTACAGAGCTTCTATGATATGCCACACACATAGCCATTGCTTTACGGGCATTATCTCTTTTGATTCTCACAGCCCTATGAGGTCATTTCTATTGTCCTCATTTCACAAATAGGGAAAATGAGTCTGAGAGAGTTTACTTAAGTTATCTAAATTTGCACAGCAAGGAAGTAGAAGAATAAAATTAGAACTCAGGCCCATCTTGACCTTACAAAGTCCTTATAAAACTTTATTCTTACAGGAAATCTTATATATATCTTTCATATATGATAACATATTTTAAAAAAACTCTGATGCTTAGCACAGTAAGCTCCCAGGAAATGTCTGCTGATCACATCTGCTTTTCTCATCGTAGCTACTGAATTCGATGCTCCTTTTACAGGTGTCTCTTTAAGTCCCAATCCAGAACAGGCGGCTCACACCTGAAGTCAGACAGTAATGTCAGTAATATGAGAATGTCTTCAGTTTTAAGGATATTCAACAAATATTTGTTGCACACTTATGTTGAGTCAGGCACAGTGCTAGGACCTAAAGGTACAATGCCACACAACTCAGGAAAGGTCCTTTGTTCATGAAGCTGAACTTATTTTCTGTGGGAAAGAGACAGGCAAGACTCTAGTAAACAAGTGAAGATGACAATTGGAGAGAATGATGAGTGTGCCAAGGAAATGAGCAGCACAGTAGTATAATGACCTGAGAGGGAGGCTGCTTTAGAGAGGATAGTCAGGAAAGGCTTTCTGAGGAGACACCATTAAAATGAGGACTGAAAGATGAGGAAAAGCCAACCATAGAAAGAACCAGAAGAGCATTCCTGGCTGTGAAAACAAAACAAAAACTGTGCAAAGGTCCTCAAGCAATTACAGGCTTGGGATACTTGAGCAACAGGCCGTAGATCTGGACAGTGAGGAAGAGGGAGGGTTGTTGGGAGACAGTGTACCCAAAGGCAGGAACCAGATATATCCTTCTAGGACATGGTAAGGGCTATGCATTTAATTTGGGGCAATGTTAAGCTAGAACTTGATTTATGTATATAAAAGTTCAGACTTGGAATCTAAACAATTAATCTTCAAGGGAACATGACGTATTGCAGAAAACAGTCTGTGCATCTTTCTTCATTTATAACTTTTCTCTTGAAATCATTATTAAAACAATGAATGCAACATATTCCAATGGAAGGCTAATGTTATCAGTAAAAGGAAAATACACCCATTAAGAAAATTTAAGAAAACACAAATGTCAACGAGACAGCTAAGTCTCAAAAATGATGATTTTAATCCTGCCTTTCTTCCCCTGCAAACCTTTAAAAACACATTTTAAAAATTATTTCACCCATGTTTGGAAGCCCCATATTGACTACTGAAGTCTTTCTGCTTGAAGTTAAAGTTTTGCTGTTGCTTTTAGTTTATTTCAAGACTTTTAAATGTGTTTACAAACTTTCCAAGAAAAGATGCTTCAGTCTTTGTTTGTTACATGTTCTTTGCTCTCCATTGCTTCTTGCTAATACTTCTTCCATCTGAAGTCACTTTTCTTTTGCCTAAAGTTTATCTTTTAGAATTAGATTTTTGTAGGCAGTCTTAGTTTTTGTCTAAAAATGTCTTCACTTTTGTTCTTGAATGATTTGGTGGAGGTGGGTAGAGGATTCTTAGTTGGCTGTTATTTGTCTTCAGTAAATTGACAATACAACTCCACCCATCTATTGTCTTCTGTTAAGAAGTCAGCTATCAGTCAACTGCTGTGTTTTTTTCTCCAAAAAAATCTTTTTGCTTTTAAACTTTTCTAAACTTTAGTTTCCTGCGATTTTACTCTGGTATATTTAGGTTAAGATTTTTTTTTTAAATGCCCTGTTTGGAAGTCATTTAGCTTCTTGAATCTGTGGACTGACATCTTTCACCAGTTCTAGAAAATTCTCTCTTCATTAATGCTTCAAATATTGTCTCCTTCCTTCTCTCTCTCTCTCTCTCTCAATCTCTGTCTCTCTTCTTTCTTTTCCTTTCCTTTCTCTTTCTTTCTTTCTTTCTTTCTTTCTTTCTTTCTTTCTTTCTTTCTTTCTTCCTTCCTTCCTTCCTTCCTTCCTTCCTCTCTTTCTTTCTTTCTTTCTTTCTTTCTTTCTTTCTTTCTTTCTTTCTTTCTTTCTTTCTCTCTCTCTCTCTCTCTCTCTCTCTCTCTCTCTCTTTCTTTCTTTCTTTCTTTCTTTCTTTCTTTCTTTCTTTCTTTCTTTCTTTTCTTTCTTTCTTTCTTTCCTTCCTGTCTCTCTCTGTCACACAGGCTGGAGTTCAGTGGCATGATCACAACTCACTACAGCCTCAACCTCTCCTGGGCTCAGATGATTCTCCTACCTTAGCCTCCTGAGTAGCTGGGACTACAGGCATGCACCACCATGCCTGGCTAATTTTTGTATTTCTTCATAGAGACAGGGTTTCATCATGTTGTCCAGGCTAGTCTCAAACTCCTGAGCTCAGGCAATCTGCCTGCTTCAGCCTCCCAAAGTGCTAGGATTATAGGTGTGAGCCACCACCTCATTTTCTTTTATATCACTTAAAAAAGGTTTTAAAAAATGTATATTAGGTTTTCTCTTCCCCTCTCTTCTTACTTCCCCTCCTTATATTCTTGTTCCTGAGCCTTTTTTCTTTTCAATTATGTGCTCTGTGTGCTGCATTCTGGATAAATGTCTTCTATTCTCTCTTTCAGTTTACTTAGTTCTTTTTCATCTGATCTGTGGACCAATACTATACCTTAAGTTTTAAATTTTGGTTATTGTATATTTTATTTGTGGAAGTTCAATCATGTTCTTCTTCAAATCTGCTATGATATTTTGTTTAGTTTCCTATACCCTGCATTTATTTCTAAGTTTGTCTTTTATTTCTTTAAACATAGAACATAATTTTTAATAATTTATGTCTAATAATTGCAATATCTGAAATCCTTAGGTGTCCATTATTTCTGCTGGTTTTCACCCATGGCGTATTATTTCCTTAAGTACTTTGCTGTCTTTGTGAAGTGTTTATTTCCCTTAAACAACTCTATATGGGGTATTTCCCAATGACTGAATAACTATTTAAGTTAAAATCATAGTTTATACTTCTTGGATCACTTAGGTGCTGCAAAATTGGTGATGTAAATCCTAGAGAGAAAGTGCCCATGCTTCGCCTCCTCTCAGGGACAATTTGTCTATGTTTTCTCTTTCTTTCCTTCCTTCCTCTTTATTTCTCTTCTCCAGCTCTTCTTAGTCCAAGGTATCTCTCCCTGCAATCTACCCGGGTGGAAGGAGATAGGTAGATATATTGATTTATCCGTTCCCCAATACTGTATACCTTTGAGAGCTCGGGGTATTATAGATGGAGGTGATTTACTAGACACACGACATTGAATGGGCCTCATCCTTTAGTTATTGCTTCCTCCATACCACAAGTCCATTAAAAGGACAGCTTAGTTCCTTCCAAATTGGCAAATGGCTTCAGACCTAAAGCAACTACAAAGTTTTCCATTTACATCTTTTATTTTGGTACTTGGTATTTCCTTTTTCATTTTGCCAGCTCTTTGATGCTGTTAAAAGGACTAAAAATGTTTACTACGTCAGTTTTAGTTGTTTTTAGTGGAAGAGTTAGTCCAAATAACCTAATCTGTCATTGTTGACTCATCAACTTTTAAAAGCTTAAAAACTTTAATAATTTTTTCCTGTAAAAGTAACTTTTCCTGACTAGAAAGTAAGAAAAAAGCTAAGACATTAGGGAATTCTTCCATCTTTTATGTGATTTATAGCTCAGTCTTTTTTTTTTTTTCTAACTTGGAGATGATTTTCTACTTCTTGGGACCTGTACTATTTTCCAATGATGCCATCCATTTCAGAACGCTAACGGGAGATGAGGTGAACATATGGGAACTACGACAGAGAGATCTGGGCTTCGCTGTCATCTATACTGGATGTGGGATTGCATACATAGCCACATTTATTTTTGTAAATTTGGCCAAATTGGCTATTTTAACATGTTATCAGAATGAAAGTGGTCAGAAATATCCATGAAGAGGTACATTGGGAGGGGAAGTGTGAGCTACCCACTTCCTTAATAGGAATGCAATTCCAGGTTGCGCAGATTTTGCAAGTCTTAAAGTTAACTTCCTTCACTCAGCCTTTTCATTAACCTGTAGCTGTATTTTTAACATGCTCCAGGAAGTACACCTAGGACCTCAGTTTTGTTGTTATGAGAATGTTACATAAGCTGTGTTATCTTCTGTTTAGTGAGTTTTTTAAGAGTATGATTTTTTCCTTCACTCTCTATTATAAATGTCTTTTTTCCTTCCCTTTTAAATTATCTGTGGTTCTACTTCGATGTTTTATGTTCACTACTCATCTCACATATATTCAATTTGCCTTTTTTTTCCTAAACGGAAATAGTTTTGCTTTTATTTTCTCATTATTTGAGTGATGTATTTCTGTGAAAAGGACATCCTCTCTAACAGCCCTTTCCAGAGAAAATTACTATAACCTTTATTAAGAGTTTTGGTAGATACCATTCCAAACTCCACTTTCTCTTCTCTATATATCTGTGTAAATTTATGATACACACGAGCACACACACATGTGTACAGTCATGCACTGCATAAAGGTGTTTCAGTCAACAATGAACCACATGTACAACAGTGATCCCACAAGATTATAATGGAGCTGAAAAATTCCCGACATCTAGTGACTTTGTAGCTGTCTTAATGTCACAGCACAATGCATTACTGACGTGTTTGTGGTGATGCTGGTATAAACAAACCTACTGTGCTGCCAGTAGTATAAAAGTCTAGCACATACAATTATTTACAGTACATAAAATAAATGACTATGTTACTGGTTTATGCATTTACTCTACTTTTTATCATTACTTTAGAGCGTACTCCTACTTACTAAAAAAAAAGTTAACTGTGAAACAGCCTCAAGTGGATCCTTCAGGCAGTATTCAGAAAAAGGCATTGTCATCATAGGAGTCAACAGCTCCATGCGTCTGATTGCCCCCGAAGACATTCCCGTGGGATAAGATGTGGAGGTGGAAGACAGTGATATTGATGATCCTGACCCTTTGTAGGCCTAGGCTAATGTGTGTGTGTATGTCTTTGTTTTTAACAACAACAACAACAACAAAGGCTAGAAAGTAAAAATAAAAAAAAAGTTTTGTTTTGTTTTGTTTTGTTTTTTTGAGACGGAGTCTCGCTCTGTCGCCCAGGCTGGAGTGCAGTGGCGCAATCTCGGCTCACTGCAAGCTGCGCCTCCCGGGTTCACGCCATTCTCCTGCCTCAGCCTCCCGAGTAGCTGGGACTACAGGCGCCCGCCACCACGCCCGGCTGATTTTTTTGTATTTTTAGTACAGACGGGGTTTCACCGTGTTAGCCAGGATGGTGTCCATCTCCTGACCTCGTGATCCGCCCGCCTCGGCCTCCCAAAGTGCTGGGATTATGGGCGTGAGCGACTGCGCCCGGCCTAAAAAAAGTTTTAAAAATAGAAAAAAGCTTATAGAATAAGGATATAAAGAAAAAATATTTTTGTACAATTGTACAAAAAGTTTGTTTTAAGCTAAGTGTTATTACAAAAGAGTCAAAAAGTTAAAAAATGTGTATAAAGTTAAAAAGTTATTGTAAGCTAAGGTTAATTTATTAAAGAAAGAATTTTTTTATACCTTTAATGTAGCCTAAGCGTATAGTGCTAATGAAGCTTACAGTAGTGTACAGTCATGTCCTAGGCCTTCACATTTGCTCACGGCTCACTCACTGACTCAGCCAGAACAACTTCCAGTCCTGCAAGCTCCATTCATGGTAAGTGCCCTATACAGGTGGACCATTTTAAATCTTTTCTACAATATGTACTGTACCATTTAGATATACATAATGCATAATTGTGTTACTTATTGTGTTACAGTTGCCTACAGTATGCAGTACAGTAACATGCTGTAGAGATTTATAGCCTAGGAGCGATAGACTATACCATACAGCCTGGGTGTGTAGTAGGCTAGCCCATCTGGGTTTGTGTAAGTGCAATCTGATGTTCACACAAGGACAAAATTGTCTAACTATGCATTTCTTAGAATGACTCCCCATTGTTAAGTAACACATGACTGTAGATGTAATATATATCTATACATATATAATATATATAGCACATCATATATAAATACATATATGAAGTATGTGTATGTGCATACATACATATATATTTATAAAAATGTGTCCAAACTATGTGTAGATGTGAGAAAAGACAAACTGTACTAAAAAAATGTGCAGTCACATCTGTCTTTTTAAGGGATGGCAACACTTGTTTCTGGATTTGTTTATCAAAATATATTTATCAGTAAAATGATGGTCTCTGTACAATTCTTAAGGTAGAAAATGGAAACAAAGATAACTGAATTTTGGCCGGGTGCAATGGCTTATACCTGTAATCCCAGCACTTTGGGAGGCTGGGGTGTGTGGATCACTTGAGGTTGGGAGTTTGAGACCAACCTGACCAACATGGTAAAACCCTGTCTCTACTAAAAAAATACCAAAATAATAATAATAATGATAAAATAAATTAGCTAGGTGTGGTGGCAGATGCCTGTAATCCCAGTTACCCAGGAGGCTGAGGCAGGAGAATCACTTGAACCTGGGAGGCGGAAGTTGTGGTGAGCCGAGATCGCGCCCCTGCACTCCAGTCTGGGTGACACAGCGAGACCCTGTCTCAAAACCAAACCAAACCAAAACAAAAAAACCCAATAGGACAACTAAAAAACCATGGATGGCCAAAATCCAATCTTCAGCCAATCTCTGTAAAGTGCTGTGGGTACACTTCCCCTCCTCTGCCCTCTGCCCGTTCACTCTTTTCTAAGCCATCTGTAGAGGAACGCATATACTATCCTTTGTCTGGGTTGTGATGTGGAGTGAAGGCACTGGGGTGGTGTCCAGTGAGGCCTGACACTCTTCAGAAAAGCACAAGCAGGAAGGCGATTCGGAGCAGTAATGGAGAATTCAGAATGGATAGGAATGGGAGCGTGAGTTGGTGAGAAGACATGGACTCACACCCAGACTCCTGGCAAACCAAGTGCTATGCTCTTAACCACAAGTGTTCTGAGCATGTTGGCTCCGTCCTTCTCACCCCGTGAATTGCCTTTAGCTATAGTCTGAGACCAATATTGTTTCCCAACTGGCATTGCATGCCTCACCACATAGGGATTTCTCAACTCCACTTACTACTGCAGCCTCATCCCACACCTGTTCCACAATTCTCCCACACAGCTTTGACAAGTTACCAACAAATGCCATCTCTTCCTTTCCACATCATATATAAGGTAAGACACTTTTAAAATCGTTCTTATCCACTCAAATGGCAATATTTGAGGAGAAGATTTGTTTGATTGCAGCCCTCAAATATAAGAAATAAAATTTTTAAAAGTCAGCGAAAATACCTGGTATACTTTAAGCCCTAAAAAATACTAACTTTCCTTTTTTATTCTGTATTCATCTAACACATCACTACTTAGGGCAGGGGTAATGAATGGGGTTGAACACACAGAGAGACTATTTGAAAAAAAAAATGGAGCAATAAAAGCCCAGATTCCCTGTCCATTCTGCTTCACCAGTATACTCTCCTCTATCCACTCTCTCTATCCAACTTGATGAGAGACTAGCTGTTTCTTTTATTTTTTTATTTTAGAGACAGGGTCTTACTCTCTTGCTCAGGCTGGAATACAGTGGTGTCTTGACTTCCTAGGCTCAAGAAATTCTCCCACCTCAGCCTCCTGAGAAGATGGGACTACAGGTGTGCACCACCATACCCTGCTAATTTTGTTTTTATTTTTATTTTTTAGAGATGGAGTCTCACTATGTTGCCCAGGCTGGTTTTGAACTCCTGGCCTCAAGTGATCCTCCTTCCTTGACCTCTTAAAGGGCTGGGATTACAGGTGTGGGGCACTCTGACTGGCTGAGACCAGGTGTTCCTTTTCTGGAGAAACTGAATGTGAGAATTAGGTTATTGTATCAGCACACTGAAGTGAAACTCTCCCATTCATACAGAGCTTCTAATGTGATTTTTTAGTATTGCACTTTTTAGTAAGGACATCAAAAGATCAACACGTTTGAGGAAAGCCTTCAACTTGAAAGACAGAGACATTTCTATCTTCCTGGAAGAAACAGAAACAAAGTAAGAACCCAAGAAAACTTTGAAAAGAAAAACATAACAGCAGTAGCAGCAGCAACAACAACCAGTAATTAATTTCCTCAGAGATATTACAAGATACTGCATCCATGACATGAGAACAAGAGGCTATAAAAAAGGGAGAAATCTGAGAAAAAGAAAAGACTTTTGGAAATTAAAAAGCTGAAATGAAATGGAAACTAAAGCTGAAATGTAAAGTTCCATAGATGGGCATAACAAAAAGAAATGGACAAGAGAGCAAGGATAGGAAAATTAGACGATAATTCCAGGAGGTTCGGGATGCAAGTTACAGAAATTTCAGGGAGCAAAACTAGAGGAAAGAGAGGAAAGGAAAACATCAATTAATCAAGAAAAATGTCTGGAAGTGAAGGAGGTGAGTTCCAGAATGAAAGGAACTCATGAACACTACAGTGGCTTTGATATGGTCCCAAACGCCAGTGGGACCTTGATGCCAGCCAGTGTCCATGCTCTTGACCCCATCACAAGAAGGAATTCAAGGATGAGTAAAAAAATATTGAAAGTACAGACATTTATTGCAAAGTGAAAAATACATACTCAAGCCGTGTTCCTGCCACTGCACTCCAGTGTGGGCAACAGAGCGAGACCTTGTATCAAAACAAAACAAAACAAACAACAAAAAAAATGGGGAGTGTGGGCATACTCAAGAGAGAATCACATAAGAGACATACAAGAGGGTATGGGATTTCACCTTTATGGACTTTTTTTAACCAAAGGGTGGAATATTCACGAAGATTCCTGGAAAAAGGTGGAGATTTCTCAAAACTGATGCCACCCATTTTTACACCAAATATGGGTATTCCTGGAACTGTCATGGTGCTGGTGGGTATATGTTTAGTATGTTAATGAGCGTATAATGAGGTTCTAGGTGAAACCTAGGACAAATTCAGTGCCATGTTGAGTCCAGTTGGTCTTAGCCAGCTTGGTCCACACTCTGTATTTTAGGGTCTTAGCCCCTAGGTTCTGCAGCTATTTCAACAGTTTCCTTTTGCTAGTCATGTGAAACTGCCCCTGGAATTTTCTATTCTGTGACCATCCTGTATTATTCCTGTCTCAGGTTGAATGGTGTCCCCCCAAAATTTATGTTGACCTGTAACTTCAGAATGTGATTGTGATACTGTGAAATATATATTTGGTCTTCAACCCCGTTTTCTGGCATAAAACTGCTAAAATTCTTAGAATTACCAAAATGATGTCTGTTTATATGCTACTGATTGACTGGTGGCTGGCCATCCAAGGGTAGCTTCAGGATGGGGCAGATCACAAGAAAGATCAAGGCAGGATTAGAGGGCTGGGACTTTCAGCCCCACCCCTAACCTTCAGGGAGGGGAGAGGGTCTGAAGTGCAAGTTGATTACCAATGGCCACTGGTTTAATTAATCATGCATATGTGATGAAGCCTCCATAAAAACCCAAAAGGACAGGGTTTGCAGAGCTTCCAGATAGCTGGACATCATGGAGGCTACTGGAGGATGGCTCACCAAGGGAGGGCATGGAAGGTCCATACCCCTTCCCATACCTCACCTTACGCATCTCTTCATCTGTATCCTTTGTAATATCCTTTATAAGAAACCAGTAAATGTAAGTGTTTCCCTGCATTCTGTGAATCACTCTAGCAAATTAATCAAACCCAAAGAGGGAAGCATGGGAACCCCAACTTGGAGCAGTTGGTGAAAAGTTCCAGAAGCCTGGACTTGCCACTGGGGTCTGGGGGAGGAGGGAGGCAGTCTTGAGGGACAGCCCTCAACCTGTGGGATCTTACTCTATCTCCAGGTAGAGGGTGTCAGAATTAAATTAGGGGACACTCAGCTGGTGCCTGCTGCTTGGTGAGTAAGGAAAAACTCCCACTCATTTGGTCACAGAGGTATTCTGTGTTGGTGGTTGTTGGTGGTGTGAGAGAAGAAGATAAGACAGTTTGAGTTTTTCCACGCCTTGATCTTATTTGGAAATATAGTTTTTCCAAATAAGTAGCAGATGTAATCAGTGAAGCTAAAATGAGGTCACACTGGATTGGCATGGGGCCCATATCCAGTGACTGGTGTCCTTATAAGAAGGCCATACAAAGAAATAGAGGAGACGCACAGGGAAGAAGTCCTCATACAAATAGAAACTGGAGTGATAATGCGAATTTAGCCAAGGAATGGCAAGCATTGCTAGCAACCATCAACCCTTGGAGAGAGGCAGGGAACAGATACTCCCTCAGAGCCTCCAGAAGGAGCCAGGCGTGTTGACATCTTGATTTTGGACATCCAGCTTCCAGAACTTTAATAGAATACATGTCTGTTGCTTTAAGCCACTCAGCTGGTGGTTCTTTGTAACAGCAGCCCTAGGAAATGAATATAAGCACCTAGTGCGATGGATGAGATCAGACCTGCATGAAAGCACATCATCATGAGGTTTCAGAACCCCAAAATTGAAGAGCCAGTTCTGCAAGCTTTAAGAGAAGAAAATAAGTCATGTGGTATTGGGAGTCACGTATGGGTTATCAGGAGTCATTTCTCATCAGCAGCAATCCAGAAAACTGGAAGCAATAGAGCAACACAATTTTGAGTGAAAAGAATCTTCAAGCTAAAATTCTACTCAGCCTATCAACTTAGAATAGACAAATGGTGTTGTCATACTTGTGAGGATTCAAAATATTTGCTTTTAGGGCAGCCTTCCTTAGGAAGATTCTGGAGGGTGTGGTTTAATAATGGGGTCAACAAAGACAACAAAAGCAAACATGGAATTCAGAAACAGACACTTCAAGACAGGAGAACTGCAAAGGACAGGACCCAGAATGTGACCTGGACAGCAGGCACGGAAAGACAGGTCCAGAGTAGAGGAAATGGATGTGAAGTTCTGGGAGGGAGGTCTTTGGGATAGAAAATAGTGGAACTGATGTGTCTAAGTAAATGGAAAACATTATTCATAGGTGAGAAGGCAGAGGTGTTGGGGCATTTGGAAAATACTAGCAATTTGGGCTTAGAAAATCAGACAAATTAAAAAAAAAAGACAACTCTGAGACAATGATTGCCTCCAGGAAAAATGAAGGATTGCCCAAGGAAGAAGTTATGGTGACAGTATACAGATTGATTCAAAAGTAATATAAAATGTATAGATAATGTGTGAAATTGCTAAGTTAAGAAACAATAGTACACGGATTGGTTAATGGGTACAAAAGTACAGGTAGACAGGAGAAATAAGTTCTAGTGTTCTATAGCCCTGGAGGGTGACTATGATAAACGATAACTTACTGCATATTTTCAAATAGCTAGAAGAATGGACTTTCAGTGTTCTCAACACAAAGAAATTATAAATGTTTGACGTTTTGGATATGCTGATTACTCTGATTTGATCATTGTACATTGCATACGTGTATTGAAATATCATACTGTACTCCACAGAAAAAAGGAGTTGGCTGGTCATGGTGGCTCACACCTGTAATCCCAGCACTTTAGGATGCTGAGGTGGACAGATTCCTTGAGCTCAGGAATTTGAGACCAACCTGGGCAACATAGTAAAACCAGTCTCTACCAAAAATATAAAAATTAGGTGGGTGTAGTGGTGCATGCCTGAAGTCCCAGCTACTCGGGAGGCTGAGGTGGGAGGATCACTTGAACCCAGAAGGTTGAGGCTGTAGTGGGTCATGATAGCACTGAAGCCTGCGCAACACAGTGAGACTGTGAGACCATCTAAAAAAAAATTGACATAAGTGTAATTTAACTTCATAGAGCAATTGAAAATTTTCCATTTAGTGTTAGGAAAATGTTACAGTGTTTCATTTAATCAATTATCCAAATAGAAACAATAAAATTTTCATTATACCAGAAAAAAAGCAAAAAGGCATAGTTTTTTTAAAATAAATATGAAAGTAAATATTAAGGGAAAAAGCTAGAAGGATTGAGGGCTTGTTGCCTATGGAGAATTGGACTGAAGTATCCAGAGAGGTTGGGTAGAGGAATGCTATTTTTCATTATAAGTCATTAAGTATGCTATTTAGTATTTGAAACAAAGTGCTACATTAGTCTGATAAACATTAATCTAAGAAACAGACAATGTATTTTTTTTTTTTTTTTTTAGACGGAGTCTCACTCTGTCACCCAGGCTGGAGTGCCATGGCATCATCTCGGCTCACTGCAACTTCTGCCTCCCAGGTTCAAGCAATTCTCCTTCCTCAGCCTCCTGAGTAGTTGAGATTACAGGCGCCCTCCACCACACCTGGCTAATTTTGTATTTTTAGTAGAGATGGGGTTTCACCGTGTTGGCCAGGCTGGTCACTTGTCCAGGCTGGCCTCGGACTCCTGACCTTGTGATCCGCTCATCTTGGCCTCCCAAATTGTTGGGATTACAGGCGTGAGCCACTGAGCCCGGCCAATGTATGTTTTTAATACAGCATTTTATACAGCTTATTTTAATATACAATTTAAAAACTTTATCTGGTGTTCAGCTGAGAAGTTTTTCAACACTCAAGTAAGATAATTTGTTTTGGAATCACTGAGAGATATAATAGCACAATGATATAAAATCAAGTAGACTTGATTTTGAGTGATTTAAAAGATTTCACATGATAATTTTTTAAGATAGGCAATTTTTGCCTTACTCACCAATTAAGAAACTAACCCCATGTGAGATAGGATTTTATAGCAGCAGAGACTGGAGTTGCAAGATTTAGCAAAAACAGACAAGCAAGCAAGCAAGCAGACAAGCAAGCCAGTTACCAGTTAGATTCAAGTTTCAGACAAACAGTACCTTTCTTTAGTAGAAGTATGCCCCATATACTCACTGGGACCTTTTTATACTAAGACCTTATTACCTTGGGACCTTATTTTACTAAATATTACCCATTGTTTACCTGAAACTCAAATTTAAGAGGATGTCTTGTTTCCTATGTGACAACGCTAATAGAGGTTCAATAGGCAATCGTTGAACTTTTTTTCTTCTTGATAACCCATTAAGATCTGTTATCCAAGAATTGTCAAAATCTGCTTGCAATCTGCCTCTATTTTCAGGCTGTATCCAATTCTAGTGTTAATGAGTTCCATAAGGTAACCAACCGCCCACAACTTCAGAAGAGTGGTTCCATCGATGCTGCTCCATCATAAATTTATCTGACACTAGACAATGGCCAAAATAATGACTTGAATGCAAAACTTAACACAGCCAGGTAAATGTCAGGGTAAACAAATATGGTAGCATTTTTTTTTCTTTGGTGGGTAAGGAAAGGACAGCATATATGAAATGGAATGCCGTATCTGAATAAGTTGGCATATACTTGGTAGAGGGTGGTAACCTTGTCTAAAGGTGGCCAAACATAAAGTTGCTCTTATACTCTCTTTGAACTCAGGCTCAATATTGTAATAGTCTGGGCTGTCACCAGTCAAGCTTTTATCCCAAGTCAATACAATTTTTGTTAGAATTGTTCCCTGGGACCTCTTTCACCTTTAATAGAATTGCAGAATAATTCATTCTTCTTCATTGGCAATTAGATGGTTAGGGTTGGTATGCCCAGTTTTCAAATGCTTTCCAGAAATCAGCTCTTCAAACAGCTTGGAGTAATCAAAGAAACCAGAAAGTGGTCAATTGCATGCTTCTGTTTTCAATTATTTCTAGCATTGGTAAAGATTCTATCTATGATGGCCTTATGAGTATTAAATCTCTAACTTTATAATGTGTTGTTTTCTGGTTATCAAAGAACTGTCTGAGACTAAATGTGTCCTGCTGTAATTACTCCCCCAGCTTGTGCTGTTCTTCCCTCCTCCTGCCCCTCATTTCTAAAAGGCACATTTTCTCCTTGTAATTCCCATGTCTTTGGTTTTCCATATCTGTCCAAAAATGTCAATATGCTTCTCTGTCTGAAGATTGTTGGCTTCTGAAATTCTTGTAACTTCAATTGTGTAATCCCTTTATTTTTTTTCAACTTAGTCTGTTTCAGTTACTTTATTCCCCTCCTAAAACTTCACCCCGAACTATGAAACCCCAAATGGCCCGTGTTAGTAAGACTTCTTTTTTTTTTTTCTTAGAGACAGAGTCTTACTCTGTCGCCCAGACTGGAGTGTAATGGTGTGATCATAGCTCAATACAGCCTCTACCTCCGGGGTTCAAGCGATCTTCCTGCCTCATCCTCCCAAGTAGCTGGGATTACAGGCATGTGCCACTCTGCCTGTTGAGATTCTGAATTGAAAATTATAAGCCACTGGTGGAAAGAGCCATACAAATCCAAATTGGAATCCTGGCTCCATAATTTTCTGTGTATTTATTCTGATTACCCATTTTCCCCAGCTATAAAATAGCGATAACAGTACCTGCCACAGAGTTTGGGCTTAAATAACGTGCGAGTAAAGGGTGCATTGTAGCATCTCTCACATACGGGTCACACAATAAAATGTAGCTATTTAAAAGCACTTCCACACAAAATACCATGTTTTTTGGTCAATCCCAGCCCACCACCCAAACCCATAATGTTGGCAGGAAATATCTCAACCCCACACAGATGAATTGCTTCATGCCTAAGGGCTTATACCTGGAAACATGGGGCTTAGGATTCAAGCATTCAGATGCTCTCTGCTTTTCTAACACACCATACCACCTCATGACTTCATTGGTAAGAAGCTCTCTTAAAAAGCATCTACTTTTCCTGAATTAACTGAAAAAACTCTCTGTCTTGCACTTTTGTTAGATTTTAAAATGTTTTTCATTGTAGAATGTATCTCTAGAGTCTCTCTGGCCCAACCAGGAATGAGAAATAGTAACCCAAAAAATCAAATTTGAAAAATAATGAAAAAAGGGATTCATTCTATGCTAAATGCTAAGGTGCATGGTATCTGTGGTTTTGAAATGTGAGAACATTTTGTGCTACCTCCCCAGACTATGAAGTGGTCTCCTGAATTATGATGGTGAGTGAAGCAAGATCAGAAGTATGTAGGGGCAGTGACAGTATGCTTTGGTTGAATTGTCAAGTGGTTTTATTGGTTGATGTCCTTGAAGAGCCTTCAGCAAGAAGAAGCCAGATTTCACTTATCCATCTGCCTCTGAGAAATGATGATGTAAAGAAGGTTAGATTCTTCCGATGGGTGAATGTGCATTTGCCCTATGGCTCACCTGCAAGTTTTGTCTCTCTGACATAGAAGCTTGTCAATTATGGTAACTCTTTTCAGTTATCATGAAAGTATTTCACTTTAGATGAGTTTGGCCTGGCAGGGGTGGAATAAACCATCATAATTTGTGGGTGCTTTTCTGAAAAAATGGTTTTTTCAGAAAAAACCACTAGGGCAGCAACGTGCTGAAGCCTGGGGAGTGAATCGTGATTGACTTAAACAATACCCTTGCCACTTACCCTTGTGCTAGGATAACCATTGGCAAAGCTCTAACTTATCAAGTAAAGTAGAGTGTGCTAAAGCATCTTGGAAAAAAGCGGGGCTTGTTGGTGTCACCCTCATCCCTTCCTTTACTGTGGATGTGTCACCTTTTCTGGGAGCCTTTCTCTGCTCTACTTAAAACAGACTCCCCTCTCCTGCTATCACAAAACTACTTACAACATTTTCTTCTCCTTAGCCCTTAGCACCAACTAAGGTCCCTGAGAACAGTGTTGTTTTACTCTGTTTTAGTTAATGCCATAGCCTCAATACCCAGAGCAGTTCATGCTAGAGGCAATATTTGGGGAATGAATGAATGGGCGTTTTGTTCCGTAACCTGCACTCAACAGCCTGGCTCCATCTCCCACCTGTCTCACATGCAAAATAATACATAAAAATATCCACTGGCGTGTCAGACTTTTGTTTTTGAATCTGAATAACCCTTTTGCGATAAGAGAATACTAACTTTAATCCACATGACTGTCAGTTCTTACTCCTCCTCTTATATCTTCTTAGTCTAGACATCAATAAAATGGAAAGAATTTTAGGTGAGATGTCTACCAAAACAAGCAGATCCTAGTTTTCTAAAAATGGTGCCTATTTCATCAGCATTTATACTGTAAAATTTGCTTAATAAATTCCTGATGATGATCTTAGGGAAAAATAAAGTCCAGAAGGGTTGTAATTGCTTGGTCTTGTCCTCAGGGCTAAGAGTTGAAGGAGCCTTAGACTAAATACTTGGAAGATTACAAAACTAGTTTTCAAGGCCTCACATTGGCCACCACAATATAATTTGTCAAAGAATCAAGGCCAGGGGCATCTACCCAAGGCTTTGATCTAGAATAATTGCTAATCTAATGAGGCTTTTATATTAAGGGTATTATTTCACCCAACAAACTCTTCTCTATGGAAGGAAGTAGAGAAGAGGGTGATGTGATAATAGAGTTCAATTCATATGAGCAGCTTTGGAAAGAATTATTTAAAACATTATGCTTTTTGGCTGCTCAATACCGGCTATTCTTTGTCATCTATTCTCTGTTCTAAGGAGTTTTGCTAATATTTGGATCATTCTGTGTTTTTGTTAATGTTTAGCTCATCTGTTGTAAGTAGTTTACACCCTTCCTGTGTCTGAAACTGGCTTTTGTTAAAATTTTGGGTTAGTGGCCATCTGGTATCTTCCTCTATTTCTCTTGCAGTCTCTCTCCCCATCTCTTTCTCTATCCCTTTTCCTCTATATATCTTAGGATATCTCAATTGAAAGTAAGAAAATCCTAGTTCGAGCTGCTTTTGAAAATAAGGAGAATTACTGGCTGGCATACGTGAAAAGTCTAGAGATAGAGCTTCAGATGTAGTTTGATCTAGAAGTTTATAATATCACCTGATAACCAGATCCTTTTCTCTAAGATTCACTTGCTTCTACTGTCTTTGTCATCCTAAGATTATTTTCCTTATGATTGCAAAAATGGCCAAGTTCCCACTTCAGTAAACCGTACATCCTGGGGGAGAATATGCACCTGTTTTTCAGGATACCAAACCAAAACATGAGGACCTAAAATAGTCTAGGCCACAAGCCTGGAAGAGGCTACTGGGTTGACCTCTCATATCTTCTATCCCCTTCTTTTCTAGTAATGGAATTTTATCCAGGCACATAAATGCCTGATAAAAAGACTATATTTTCCATCTTCCCTTGCTGCTAGCGTGGCCATGTGACTAAGTTTTAGCCAATAAGATATAAGTGAAAGGTATTGTGTGCAATTCTGGTGTTTTGCCCCTAAACTAAAGAAGAGGAAACATGGGAGCTTTCCTAGTTGTCAGCAATCCTGAGACCACACAGACAAGAGCAGCACTCTTAAGAATGGAACAGCAACAAGATAGAAGGTGCTTGTGGCCCCCTGATGACTCCACAGAGCATAGCCATTATACGAACTTGAGTTTTATGTGACAGAGAAATAAGCTTTGATCTTGTTTAAGCCAATGGTAACTTTGGCTCTCTGTCCCATTCATAGCCAAACCAACATTTTTTCTTAAATACTTACCTGCTCCTGAATTGTGACCAAGTGGATGGAATGTGTGGCTTGGGGTGGGTGGGCTCAGCTTCCCAGAGCCATGTGGGTCTCTAAATGAAAATGGAAGCCTGTAGAGAAAGAAGTGGGAGGAAGCATGGGAGATGACCATCAACTGTCTACTCATTTCTTTTCCTTTCTCTATCTGTGTTATTTTGGTTTTAATACCCATGACCATCTTTGCCTGCAACCCACAGATTGTTGTTGGCTTAAGTAGCTCAGACAGACAAGCAAACAACACAGAAACCAGGAGGTTGCCCCAATATCTTGGAAAATGGCAATACTCAAATGATTATTTGAAGACTGCTGCTTCTTTAGCAGAACTAAGGAAGACTGAGATGCACGCTTTACCTTGATTTTAGGTTTTTATGAGTAGGAGCCGTGTGTTCTTCACAAAGGATGTGCTCAGTACATGTTTGTCACTCGAATGTGCTTAAAATAGAGACAAGGAATAGATTGTAAAAATATGGAAATAACGCTTACTAAAAGAAAATAAATTTCCCCAATGGCACAAAAGTGTAAGTTTAGGACACATAGTTATATTTAGCACGTTTATGTAGAGAAAAGAGAAATAGGGATAGAAAAATCTTATAGTAGCTATCCCCTAAGTTTGCCTGCTTATATTTACTTTCATGGTTTTTGCTTGTTCATCTGAAATTCAGGGATGGGGTATTTAACATGCTGGTGGCTTGTTTTAAATACATATTCCAGGCAGGAGTGGAGGGAATAGAGCTGAAAGGCAGTTTGCTTTCCTGCCTGTTCACATCCTGAAGAGCTCCATCTCACAGATTGAAGTAAATTGCCACCAAATAGCATTGCTTACCCTGAAACCTTCCCTTGTGCAGAAAATAAGGCATTTGAGCCTTCAAAGGGCATTGCCCCTATGCTTCTTGAACAGAGTTAAACATCTGTATGAAAAATCCATGAATGTCAGTGGAGGAAGTCTCAAAATGTACTCTATCAAGAAGGATGAAGCAAAAGTAATAGTATGGAAAAACCACCAGCCTATAACGAAGAAATTGCCACGAAGGTGCTAGTGTTTATATTTGCTCAAGGGCTCCAGCTATATGCATTGTTTCAACTAAATATTTTATAATATGTCACCTTGGGCTGTTTCACACATCAGTCAAAGCTGGGAACTTTTTCTCAGTGTCTCTCTTTCTATTGTTGTGTGAACAATGTGCTTCAAACGCTTGTCTAAACAAGTTTTATTGCTGTGCAGGCAGCAGCAATGACTGCTGGGAAGTTATACTAGAAAAGGGGGAAAGAATTTAGCAGCTGAGTGGTGTCACTGCATAGACAGTCCAGGCTTGGATTAACCTGGTGCCCATTGACTTTGGATGCTGTTGGATGCATTTTCCTGAGTTATTAATCTATAAGCATAGGTGCCACACACCTTTAATGACTTGCTGGGATCATATGGTGAAAATGGTTGCTTCGTTTGGACTGAGCTGACAGCCACATGTACACAGCCCTCAGCTCTGTTGGTTTTACAGATTATAGAGAACAACTTCTAGTCTTGGTTAGCTGCCTGCTGAGAGCAAAGTTCATTTTAAGTGTTTCCAAAAAATCAATAGAGCTTTTACTTGTTGCAGTGAATTTGTGCCAAGCATACAACAAGACCACTTACACCATTAACTCCTCTGCTCTGAGCCTGCATGGAGAATCACAATGGGACCTTTTGGCCTTGAGTCACGTGGAGAAGATTGGTTATCTCCTTGGCCCGACCATGATCTGGGGGACAAGGGATGGTTTTTAATAGGTAGCCTAACATTGTATGAGAGAGTGGGATGAAAGGAGGAAGAGCTAGGTCACAGACTTCATCTGTCTATGAAGCTCAAGATATTTTAAAGGACTATGGTCACAAGCTACAACTCATGATTTATAATGGGACTGAAATTAATATTTGAGTGGCCCTTATGCCTGGGCAGAGAAAACTCTTGCCTTTGATGTAGAGAATTGGCACCTGGAGTGAGTCCCTGCCTGCTGAGTTATACCTGGTCCCAAGTGAGTTTGTACTGCAGGAAAACAATTCTTTGATATTGGTGGGAGACATGGCTCTGTCTACTCTGAAGGCCATGGTGAAGGAGGGGGGCTACAGTTAACTCTCTTCCAGGGCCTTGGTTTTCTACAGCTGGGGTTTCTGGATTCTTTTTATCTCTAGGATCACCTGGAGAGCTTTAAACATACTGATTCTTGGGCTTCCCAGCAGACTTACTGAATGGGAGGCTCTAGATCTGGGCCTTGAGATAAAGTCTTTGAAAAAGTCTCCAGGGGGATTCCTAGGTTTGGACAGACCTGAGGAAGTGTGGGGAGTTTGAATTAGATGTACAGAGTCAATCCCTGCTTTGCTACTTCTCAGCTATATGAGCCTAAACTAGTAACCTAACTTCTTTATACTTCAGTGATGGCATCTGTACATGGGGGTTATAATAGAACATCCTCACTGTACAAGGACTGAGGACGAATGTTGGAAAGAGCTCAGCATAATATCTGGCACTCAATCAATACTCTGTAGAAGATAACTATTATTTGGCTATTAAGGTGATATTAGTCCTTAAGAGCCCAATCTATCCATACCTTCCCTACCCATCAAAGTCCCTACCCATCAAAGTGCCAATGATAGCAATGGCAATAGCTAAGAGTCCTTGTTTACTGTGTACCAGTAAACACAAAGTTCTTTCCAATTATTTTCTCTTCATCAGAACTAGTCACTGAAGTAGGCAGTATTAATATTGCTGTTACTTAAAAGTGGTGTCTGATGCTCAGAAAAGTGAAGTAATATGTCCAGAGTCCTGTCCCTTGAAGCTTGTGAGTGGCAGTGTTGGCATTCAGACACTGGTCTATTGGACTGACCCCAAAGACCTTGTCCCCAACAAGGTTACTTTCCATCACTACCCTGGGTCTCTCCTCTAGATGAGGCATTTGTAGGCCTTTTTAAAACCCGAGTTTCCTCTATATTTTTCACTTTCTTCTGTGTTTCTGCACCAGCCAAATAGTTGTCATTTTTTTTGGTTTATGATATGGAATCCTTTTTCAAATCTCACGTGTCTCCTTTCTTTCTGCTGAGAGTCACTGTCCTTGAACATGATTTGTCTATTTCACAACTATGTTCTTGGATAAATGCATTACTCCTATTGTTCATTGCTGTGAGCCTGTTAAGGACAATGATAGTGCTCTATGGTTCTTCAGCCTCCCACAGGAGGCACTGGGGCCCTGCCCCTTGCTGGGGACACAAGAGGAAATGGGCAGATGCTCATGGAGTTCTTCCTTGAGAGCAAACTTAACCATGTTTGGGGTCGCTAAGGATTTTCTGTCTGATAGGTCTTTATTCAGAGTGTAGACGGTGTTCCTTTCTCTGGAAGACTTAACTTTTCTTATTCTCAACTATATCCAAGGTCTATGTTGGGAGTCTTAAAAAGGAGGATTCTCAAATGAAACTTACCTAGCTGGTTTGGCTTGCCTCTCACTGCCCTTGGTCTGTCCTAGAGCTGACTCTCTATTGCTCTCTAGCATCAACATTCTCTTTTTAACTTCAGACATTTCATAATTTTCTTTTGTGTCCAGGGATGGTCAGAGGGACCTTCCTTACAGTCTCATAGCACTCTATTTCTCATTGCCATTCATCATAATCACTCCAAGCATATTATCTGTATGTTTACCTGACTAATGTCTCCCTCTAGCCCCAGTCTCCATGTCTGTTTTGCACATCACAGCATCCCGGTACCTACCAGAGGGCCTGGTGTGTGACAGGTGCTCAGTGAATATTTGCTGAATGAGTGAATGAATTTGTCATTCTTCTACTTGTGGAGAACAAGCGTGGACAGAAATACAACTCGAATTGGCTCTATTATGAAAAAGGAATTATTGACTCACACTATTGAAAATTCAGGTGTAGACTCAGGAATGGATGCACTAATGAATGTGTCCTAATGCTCAAGTAGGGAGTTTCAAAATCTGCTTTCCTCCATCTCTCAGCTCTGCCTCTCTTTGTTATCTTTATTCTGAGGCAGTCTATTACCATATGGTGAATAGATTGCCACTAGCTGAGATAGCATCCTCAGACTTTAGTCATCTGAATGTAAAAAAGCGACTGTTTTTCAAATCTTCCATCAGAAATCCCAGACTTAAATACCACTGGCCCAACTTGGACAATATGCCCATTTCCTGAATGAATCATTATTGCCAGAGGGAAGGATGATGACAGTTGTCCGGTTTTGCTCATGCCCATGCCACGATTAAAAGAAGGTGTGGTCAGACCCACCAGGACCATGTAGTCTGAGAGTAGAGGAGGTGTGTTTCCTTCCTGGCAGACTCAGATGCTATTTCTGGAAGGAAGACCAAAGGGAGCTGGATAGGCAAAACTAATACGTCTCCACTGTGGTGCCAAAATGCCTCCACGTCTGATAAATATCCCTGAAGCCAAGAAGTGGACCTGCCATTAGCAAGAAGAGCTGATAGGCTGGTGCAATCCAGGCCTCACTAGATCACTGGGTATGGACCTGCCATTAGCAAGAAGAGCTGATAGGCTGGTGCAATCCGGGCCTCACTAGATCACTGGGTGAGGCCCACAATGACAAACTCCAAATTAGAGGGAAAAATGACCTGTGAAGGTTTAGTCTTCACTTCTTTCCTATTAAGAACCCCACTATAGTTATGAGCTGTGGCTTCTTATGGTGAAGTGAAGTGGACTGAACTGGGAGAGCCTTGTGATAGATGTTGCAGTGCTAAGCAGGGCTTAACCAACACAAGCCTTTGTAAAAGCTTATTTCTTTAAGGAGCACTGAAAATGTCTTCCTCTCTGACTTCAGCACATCTCACAAGGCTAGGAAGGTGTTGTGGGGTTTCATGTGTCCTACTAGCTTCTGTTTTCACTACTTTAACTAATGGACCCCAAGAAGTATCCATGTAATGGCAGGTGGCCCAGCTCTCTCCTTCTAGACTTTAACTTCCTAGTAAAATTATCTTGGAGAATAGATTTATGTATAACCTAGAATAGCAAGCACTTGACTTTGATTGGCTCAATAATCATTCATCTTCCTAAAGCTTAGTGCTAACAGTTTTTTTTTTTTCCTTTTAGAGAATTACTCCTTCTCCATGGGGTGTGGGCTTCTGTCTTATTACAGAAGCTGGAACACGGAGGTGGGAAAGAGAGAACCAATTCTGCCTCTACCTACTCCTGCAAGGCCAGGAGCTGGATCTGTGACTTGAGCTCAACCAATCAGGCACTTTCATCTGAGACATTAAATCTTGAACTAGTGATAAAAACATAAAGAAAATGTTTGGAGGAACTTTCATGACAATTGGGAGTAACGGCAGTAACAAGTGCTGTTAGCTGCAATATTCTGATCAAACTATTTCTGAAAGGAGACAGTTGTTGTGCTTTCTGCTCCCACAAAATCGGCCCCCAGAATCCCAATATTCCTAAACCCCTCCTTCCAGCCATCTGTTGATATGGAGCCCTTTATATTTATATTCTTCCAGTAAACCCTTCTCTGTAAAGGTGGTTACAGTTGGTTTCTCTTGGGAAATCCAAACTGATACACTTAGGTTTTTGTTTTTTCTTTTAGATGGAATTTTGCTCTTGTCGCCCAGGCAGGAATGCAATGGCGCAATCTCGGCTCACCGCAACCTCTGCCTCCCGGGTTCAAGTGAGTCTCCTGTTTCAGCCTCCCGAGTAGCTGGGATTACAGGCATGTGCCACAATGCCTGGCTAATTTTGTATTTTTAGTAGAGACGGGGTTTCTTCATGTTGGTCAGGCTGGTCTTGAACTCCCCACCTCAGGAGATCTGCCCGCCTCAGCCTCCCAAAGTGCTGGGATTACAGGCGTGAGCCACCGTGCCCAGCCGCAGTTAGTTTAAAAAAAATTGCTTAACTGTATTTCGTAGACAAACTTCCACTTTAAGAAAAAGCCACTGTGCTGGGAAACAGTAGAACTGAATTTAAATCACAATTCGGTAGGTCCTTAGCAATACAATTTCCATTATGTTATTTAATGTCCATCTCAGTTTCTTCACCTATAAAATGAGAGTTGGAAAATTTTCTGCTTGTGGGGCTGTTATGAGTGGCAGTGAGACAGTGTGGCAGAGCCATGAGAAACATAAATGCCATATCAATTATAAATGTGCAGTGCGATTATATGGGTCATCCATAAGTGGATGGATTTGATTTAATCCTTTAGTGTTGCAGTTGTACTCTACCTCTACCCACTGCATGCTAATTACTGACATTGAGATTCATGAAATCATTCTAGAGAAATTTATTAAATACCCACTATGTGCAAGATATCAGCTTTTAGTTAGAATTTTTATGAAATATCGATCATCTGCTGTCTGTCTGTCATCTTCTTCCAGTTCTATGGAACACATTACTCAGATCTCTATGCCTACAGGAGGAAACGCTGACTACTTCACAGGTGTCTTGCCTTCTTTGCCAAGAGTCATTTTTTTCCTCCAGAGAAAACACTGATGAAATAAACAAAGGCAACCAGGAAGCAGCCTTTCTTTCTTGCAATATCCTTCCTTTCCCCAGGAAAAAACTTTCAAGATGTAAGTGGCTTTCTTGGTGCCATATTCCCTTCGGGCAGCTTCTGAAGGTGTGCTTGCTGCCCAGGGGAGAAGGCCATGATTAGCAAGCGTTATGACTCTTTTGTGAGTAAGGATTGGCAGAGCCAGTGAGGGGCAGATGATAATTTCAAACATCAACCGCAGCTGACACTGCTTTTTGGAAACAGAAGAAAAACCATGTAACAATGTCATAAAGACGTTGGCAAATAAAAAAATAAAAACCAGCCTCTTAAGCATAATACCAAAAGAACTGTTCTTAACTAATGAAGTTTTTTTTTTTTTTAACTTTATTGCTTAGTTAACAGTAGACAAAAAGTGAAAAAAAAAGAGGCGAGGACTTCAATTCAATTAATGAGTACAGTGCACATGCCCTAAAATCAAATGTCTTTGATACACATTGAGAGCTACATTATGTGAGCAAGCATTCAGAATTTCAGAAGAGGGTTGTGGTTAACAATGATGGCTGGGAAAGCTCGGCAAGTAGGATTTATTTGGAATGTACTAAGTATCTCCTACTCCTATGAGAGCCTAAGTGGTCTCTTCTTTCCTAGTCAAAAGTAGAGACAATTTAGCTGGGAGATTTATTTGTCTGCTTTAATAGAGCTTTGAAATTACACTATCTTCAAATGTTAATATCTAGCTAATCCCCCTGAATTTTGCCTGGTAGCTGGGATGAAGAACCATGTTTAATGTCGACTATTTATAATTCTAAAGAGAACACAAAGAAGAGAAAGTTTCCTTGCTGCATAATTATTCGAGGTGATTCAATGTTTCTGGAGTGCCAGTTCTACCGCTGGCATGCAGGAATGAGCACAAAAGCCCCCATCAAGAGGGGCCATTAGCTTTTGTTCCATGAAGCTGATGGTTTTCGGTGAGGTGGACAAGCCTATGCTGGGACTACTTTTGGTTTACCATCTAAAAAGCAAGCTCTTGCAAAATCTGATGTGTTAAATGTTGATTCACAGAATGTGAGAACTGAAAGGGACATTGGAGATCATCAAATTCAGCCTCCCCCTTTTTCCAGAAACTGGAAGCTAGACAACCTGGATACTAAGAATAGTGACAAATGTCATACTGGAATCCAAGACTTTGAGAATGTCAAAATCCTGCCCCCTGCTATATTGTCTTTTCATTCTTTTAAAACAGACCCATTTGAAGATGTAGCACAGTTTAAATGAGTGACTGCAGTGGCTATTTCAATCTACCAGGGGAGGTCTTTGCATCTTATTTATTATGGATTATCTTGCATCTTTAAATAGATTGCTTTCTAAAGTAATGTGGAGTGGAGAAAGGGAGGAGCAAATGCCATTTTCTATAAAACATCTCCTGTGAGAGCCAACAGAAGAGAAGCCTGGAAAGTGTGAGAGACTTGGCTTCCTGAAAGAGGCTCTGTGGGCTTGATGACCTTGATGTTCATGCTATAGTTGTTATGGCAACAGGAAAGTGAAATTATGGTTGCTAAGGGACACTGAACTAAAGAAATCTCCATCACTTGCTGGTCACTCCACTCTGCAACTCAGAAATCCACCCAGAGCAGGGATGAATCAGCAAAACAAATTTTAAAGATTGAGCTAAAATCGAGCTGTATTTAGTAGTATTTGTTCTTGAAGAATGTCCCAAGGTTTTGAAAGAGTGTGGCAATTGTTTTTAAAGTCTTAAATGACTTAAATGTGATAATCTTCCAAATGAAAGGAATGCTCCGAGGCACCACAGCACCATTTCATTTACAAACAGATGATTTTTGAAACAGGAAATACATTCACAGTGTAAATCTTTGCCTCCAGAAAGGTCAACATAATCAGTGAAGAGAAAACTCAGGCTATACCTGAAAATGATTCATGAGTCACTAAGTGGAACATCTCCCAGTACCATCCTGGGAGGACAGTCAGTGACATCAACGTCCATTTTCCTGAGTGATAATCCTCGCTCTTCCACACATTTGTCAAAATGCACCGTGTGCATGGGATTTTTTGTTGACCAAATCGTGCAGGGGAAAACTTGGATATCCATTACATACGGTAGAATCAAATGTCTCTGTATTTCCATGCCCAGGTTGGAGACCACATATGTAAGTCACATGTTATCTTTCCATCTGGCACATAGCAAATGCTCAATATATATTTGTTAACTGTTGGGTGGATTACAGAAAAGGGCAGGCTACTGTATACATGCAGCCTGTGGAAGAGCATTTTTAAACATCAGCTGTGAGCTAAGTTATGCCAAAAATGGTTCCCATCCTTTAACTCTTCCTCCTTCACTCTGTTCTTCCTGCCCTTTCCTTCCTCCAATATTTGCTATTTGTGTCTCATCTACCAGGTACTCTGACAGGTGTTGGGGGATACAGAAATAAATATGGGTGTGCCCTTAGTCTTGGAGGAGCATGTTCAAGTTGAGATCATGGACTTGTGAACAATGATGACATGGTGCACTAAGTGTTAACACAGAGATATGAAAGGTGCAAAGGGACTAGAGAAGAGCTAAAGCTGCCTGGGGTGTGGGTTTAGCTTGCTTCATCCAGTGTACTTAGCCACAAGTGTGCATGCACACAAATACCTTTTTCTCTCATGGGTGTATAGGAGAACTTATAGGTCTGTTGAGTGATGTGTGACAGGTTCTTTGAGAAGGAGATACAGGTAGAAGTGTGAGAATTATTGGGGATAATGCCTATGAGTGGTAAAGAGGAAGGAGGCAGGAGCAGGCAGGTAAAGGCTTCAGACCTTGAAGTAGGTCTGTCATCTATGAAAGGTAAAGAGAAAAGAAGGAGGAAGAGCCACAGACTGCAGAACAGCCCACAGGGAGAAGTGGCATGAAGACTGGCTGTAGAGGCATCTGATGTTAGTGAGCGCTTGGCTGGAATGTGCTTGGGAACTGGGTGGTCTTGGCTGAAAACTGGTGCAGATTCTGAAACACTCACAGCTTAATAGCACTCCTTGAGTCCACATCTCTCTCTCTCTCTCTCTCTCTCTCTCTCTCTCTCTCTCTCTCATTATGGTCAAAAACCTATAACGTAAAATGTACCATCTTAACTATTTGTAAGTTTACATACAATAGGGTTAACTATTTGCAACTTGCTGTCTAACAGATCAGATCTCTAGAACTTTTTCATCTTGCAAAACTGGAACTCTACATCCTTTGAACACGACTGCTCCTTTTCCCCTCTCCCTAGCCCCTGGCAACCACCATTGCACTTTCTGTTTCTGAGTTTACTATTTTAGATACCTCATATGGGTGGAATCATGCGGTGTTTGTCTTTCTGTGACTGGTCTATTTCACTTAGCATAACATCCTCAAGTTTCTTTCATGTCGTAATGTATGACAGGAGTTTCTTCTTTTTAAGGTAAAATGATATTCTATTGTATGTATATACCACATTTTCTTTATCCATTTATCTGTTGATGGGCCTTTACATTGCTTCCATCTCTTGGCTGTTTGTGCCGTGTTTACTGCACAGTGAACATGAATATGAATATGCGAGTATCTCTTCGAGATGCCAGCATCTCTCTTGAAGGGACATCTGAGTAGTGTAACCCCATGGCTGCAGTGCTGTTAGAGTGCACATTTCTTTTTTGGATGGATTGTCATAATGCATAAGTGAAGATGCCCATCATTGAGCTGTTTAAGAGAAGCCAGACGATTGAGACAAAACATTCATTTTAACATCTAAGGGTATTCTTGGGGCTACTTTTGGGCTGCCCCGTTTTCTGAGAAATTGTCATTCTCCTCACACAAAGAAACATGACCTTGTAGACATGATTACATTACCTAATTATACTCCTCCCTGACTCCAACAGATTGGATGAGGATAGACAGCTGAATAAGGTGAGTCCATCTATTGGCTGGTGTCAACCAATCAGATGTTCTCACCTGGGAATTTGGAACTGGGATACAGGAATGGTAGTTAGCTAATTGGAGGCATTAGAATTGGAAAGCAGTGGAAGGCATCCAGGCAGCCACGTTTTAATCATGTTTTTGAAGAGGCAGAGAAAGCTGGGTTTGAGGAAATGTGCACACGTAGAGAGAGAGAAAAGTGAGAGACCAGGAGACGATGTGGCAGCCAAAAAGGGAAGAAAGCAAGATGGAGAAAATAGCTTCCTCAGTCTGAGTTAGCCTTTGGTTTTCAGTTTCTCAAGAGCCTTGAGATTACATGAAATATTCCTGATTCTTTAAAATGAATCTCCTCTTATTTAAGGCAGCCTGAGTGGGTTTCCATTTCTGGCAACCATGTGACTTTGAATCTTTGCCAAAATGAAATTAGCATTTATCTCATCTTTTTTGACGTGCAACCTAAAGTTTTCACCATGAGTCTGAGAGAAAGGTAAACTGGCTATGAAATGATGTGGCCCATTTGTGGGATGGAGGAAAGGATTTGGGTTCTAGACTCGTATAATCTGAATTTTAGCTACCACTTTGCTACTTTTTGACTGTGTGACTTTGGAGAATCACTTATTCCGTGGGCTGACATTACCACATCCTTAAAATAAAAGTTGCTTCCTGTCTTAGTCCATTTTCTGCTGCTATAACAGAATATCTGTGACTGGGAAAGTTATAAAGAAGAGAAATTTCTTTGGTTCATGTTTCCAGAGGTGAAGTCCAGGAGCATCTGGTGAGGGCCATCATGCTGCATCCTCCTATGTTGGAAGGCTGAAGGGCAAGAGAGTATGCTTGAGAGAGCAAGAAGGTGCCAAACTCACTTTTATAACAACCCACTCTCACAATAACTGTTCTACACCCAAGATAACAACATTAATCCATTCACGAGAGCAGAGCCCTCATGACCTACTCATCTCTAATTAGGTCCCACTTCCTAATACTGTTGCATTGGGGATTAAGTTTCCAACACAGGAACTTTGAGAAACACATTCAAACCATATCCCTCCCGGTTCGTAAAATACTGTTTCAGTAACACTTACAGGGCAAACTGTATTAATGAACCTTGACAGTCTGTAACAATAGCCAGCATACAAATGGGGGCCATTTTTTTGATACACAGTTGGGTGAAAGGCAAACAGGTTAGCTGGTGCTTTGTAAAAGGTGATGTGATAGAAATATATATTTAGGCTTGCATATAGTAAATACTAAACATTTTTAGCAGCTGTTTTCAAGCCCATTGCTCGTCTCTTTACATACCTTTTCTTCCTAACATGATCATGACCATCATTTCCCTTAATAGTTAATTAATATTCATTAAAATGACTTTGGTATGCCTAGCACTGTGAAAGTGAAAATGATGGAAAAATGATCCCCTATTAAGTGACCTCTGTGTGGCAGATAATGTAAATTTTTCCAAATGTCTTATTTCATGTAATTTTCACAATGATTTTGCAAAGTAGGCATTTGTTCTTTTACAGATGAGGGAACTAAGACTCAGAAAGGTTAACTGACTTGCAAGGTCACCCAGCTGGGAAATACTAATACGAGGACTGGACCCTGGCTTTCTAACTTCTACTATTCTGTACTCTGTGGTAGGAGTAAAGATGCAGCCCTGGCCCTCAAGAAGCATATATCTAGCCTAGGGCAGAGTCAGGTGGGTTGGTGGATGGGAGTTCTAGGCAGAAACAAAACACAACCACCCAAGGAATAGCAGGAGAACAAAACCTGACTCTGAATCCAGTTAGTGTATTCCCATCACTACACTAGCTTAGAGAAGAGTCAAAGGGCATTGGATGATTCTCAAAGGACATCATAGAGGAGGAGGTCTAAGGGAACCTGGTCCAGTTATCTAAGCTCTCCAAGACAGGGATCCCCATAGGTAAAATAGGAATAACAATATTTGTTCTTCTTTCTTCATGGTCATTTTGTGAGATCAAATCGCTTGAAGTGTGTTACAGAACTTTGAACTATCCAAGTGCTTTCTAAATGTGAGGGAATGATTTTATAAATAAGGATAGGTAGGATTTTATATGGCCAGAGAGAGAGAAAAAGAGAAGGAATTCTAGGAAGGGAGAAGAGCATAAGGACAGAGAGAAGTAGAATGACTTCAGGGCTCTCTCTCTTAATCTCTGAGTCTCTTGATCTCCACATCTATCTAATTTCTATTTCCATTATGATTGCTATTTCTATCATCTCTAGAGAAACAGCTAATGGAGAGAAATATATAGATCTAAATATATGAAAGAGTGAGCTAGGGAGAATGGGGGAAGGGAATGGATGAATGGGGGTAGAGAAACTGACTTGACTCCATAGAAAAGTTCTAAATGAAACTCTAAATTGTCAACTGTTAATGGCAGCATCTTACTTGATACAGAAAAGTATTTGAGCATGCAGTGGACATATGCCATTTTATTTGATTGCCCAGTATCCATGCCCTGTCTTATTTATGCACAATATCCTATTATGTGTAGTTCTTTTTGGAAAACTGAAGGAGGCTGTCAAAACAGATCCTGAGACAGATGTTTGCCTGCAGGTGGTTCGCTGGGGAGTACTCTTAGGAACAACACAGGTAGGGGAGTGAGGAAAGCTGGATGGGGCAGAGGGTGAAGTTGAACTGTAATGTAGTTTGCATAAAGGCCTCAGTCAACTCCACAAGGAGCTCTGAGACTAAGATGGCTCTTCAGAGATATCCCAAATTGAGGCACAGTTTGCAGGCATTTGTATTCCTTTATCAACTGTCAGAGGCATTAGAATCAGAGGGGAATCCATCTTCAGTGAGGGCTAGGAAAAATGAGGCTGGGGCTTGCGGGAATGCATTCACAGAAAGTGAGGTATTCCTAGCCTCTAGATGTTTATGATTAAGGGAACAGATTGATAATGTTTACTAAACAGACCCAGACTCAGGAAAGTCCTGATATCCCAATACCTTGAGAACAGAAGCATTCCTAATTTTGCTTTAAAGATAATAATATCGATTCTTGCAAAATATAGTAATAAAATAAATTCTTTATCACAAACCCTTGTAGCAGAGCACTTATCCCCATGACTTTTTGTTGTTGTTGTTGTTGTTATCATGTATATAAACAAGCATTGTACCTAGACTGGGTGCGTTCTTCCTGTTACAATCGGGAACACCCTACTCTGTCTATGGAGCAGCTGTTCTTTCACCACTTTGCTTTCTTAATAAATTTGCTTTCGCTTTGCACTTTGGACTCGCCCTGAATTCTTTCTTGCATGAGATCCAAGAACCTTCTCCTGGGATCTGGATCAGGACCGCTTTCCAGTAACATACCCAGGCATTGAATGCAGGCTGCCCCCAGTACAGAGTGTACCCTTGGGTGAGGCAGCTTCTCCCAGTGGAGGACAATTCCAGGGGAGGGATTTATCTGGGAACCATCAGCAGGCAATATCCCCAGCAGCTGGGGGAATTGAGAGCCTGGGTCTTGAGAGATCTGTCAGTGTACCACAGCATCCCCACCAAGGGTCAGCTTCCCCTTCTCCATGTTGCCTGCCTGCTGGGTTAAGGGCACATGAGCTAGGTTTGGCCCATCAGATTCTCTCACCAAGGACTTTATCTTGAGTAGATGACACAAAGATGAAAGATCCAATAACATTCACTTAGGCAGCAGTAGTAGGCACGGTTATCTTTTCAGTTTTGTGGCAGTAGTAGCTGGCCAAAATATTCCTGAAACACAGCTTTTGCCAGTGTCCTGTGGTTCCTTAATATTTTCTAATCCTTGGTCTTAAATCTCTGGTTGATGCTGTGAGTCTTTTCTTTCTTTCTGGTAAACTTCATTTTATCTTTAGATATTGAAGCTTGGTTTTGGTTTCTTAAAACTAAGGAACTCTGATAAAGGGAATAAATGACAAAAGAGAAAAGGAAAGAACATTAAATTTTAGAATAATGCTTATTACCTATGCTAGTATGAGTACAAAGAAGGTATCATACCTTTTAATAGACTATGACAGTGGTAATAGTAATTTGATTATTATTTTCCTTCAAGAGTTTCATTTTTTAACCCCAGAGAAGGGTATATATATATATATATATATACAGAATCTTATCTCTTTTGACAGGCTGCTTGGCAAAGAGATACTCTCCATTATATATACTTCTTTTGCATCATATTCTCAAGCTTGTTTGTAAAAATGAATGAGTTTGCAGAAGACAGATCTCACTAAACAGGTTAATTAGTTGAGAAAAATGAGAAGCCACTACTGGGCATTTTAAAATCACTTACAGGGCCAAGGTGGGTGAAGTCAATTAAGAAGTACAAAAATTCACTAAGACTACGGTGGCAATTCTTTTAAGGCCCCTTTGGATAATGCAGAGTTCAAGGCTGAAGAGTATGTGTGCAGAACATAAGGTGAGATGGAGATGCCAGTAAGGTGTATAGCAGATACCCAGAGGCAACAGCCTCCAGAAATCATTCCAAGAAGTGGAACAGGAGGGTGAGAAGTAGGAAGGTAGTTTAAGTATTAATGACAGCATGTTTAGGGTGTTGAAATCTTTGACTAATAGCTTAATAAATCATGGATTAATAGTGAGATTTCCAGTAGGAAAATCAAAGTTCTCAACCAATTTACTTACATGTAGATAGAGTGCTCCCTGGGTTAGGTCATTAAAACTTCGTCAGAATGTACTTAGTAAAGCAAGTGGTACTAAACATGAGGCTAAATTGCCTTGCCTTGTTGACCGGATTCAAAGCAAATCAGCTCAAGTGGGTTCCTGCCATCCCTTTTGGAGTGTGCCTGCTGACAGAGGAAATGGATCCCAGCAGGAGCAGATTTCTGAGTATTTAATCTCCCATTGCTACTGTTGCAGCATCCACAGGCTTGAGATGGCTAGGGTAAAAACTGAGATTTCTGTTTTTGGTCTCTTTGAAGCAAGGGAATAAGGAGGAAACCCTAGAAGAAGGTACTAAGCTTTCTCTTTTGGGGAGGTGGTGTTGCAAGATGTTGGGTTTTGGAGGAGGAAACACATGTTCTTTGGGATGGGTGGTCAGAGAAAGGCTCATTTACGAGGTAGTATCTAGGTTGTGACCAGTAAGATCAGAAGGAGGAAGCCGTAGAAGGACACCAAGAGTGAGGCTGGGAGAAGTGAGGAAGGATGTTCCAGGAAGAAGGGACAGAGCATTGCAAATACTCTGGGGGAGGAAAGAGCTTGGAATCTTTGAGGAAGTGAAGGGTGACCAATGTGGCTGGAATTAGAGGGTGAAGATTATGGTGGGGAGTGGGGTATTTGGTACCGAGACCCAGGTAGAGAGGTAGGAAGGGGCCCATTATTTTGGCTAGCTGGATCATGATATTATACAAAGCTGGGATTTTGTTTGACGTGCAACAGGAAGCCATGGAGGAGTTTTAAGGCAAGGAGTGACATGATCAAATTTCTATTTATAAGATGCCACTGTGGCTTCTACAAGGAGAATATGTTGGAGGAAAACAAAAATGAAATCAGGCAAAATAGTAAAGAGGCAATTACGAAAGTGTAGGGGAGATGTGGTAAGCGTTTGATCTAGGGAGGTGGCCAATTGTTGTCAACAGAAGCCGACGGATTAAGGGTATAGTTAGGAGGCAGAAAAAGAAGATTTAGTGATGAATTGGCTGGTGCAGAGGGATCATTAGAATGAGATAAATCTAGGATAACACCCACATTTCTGTCTTGAGCTACTACTGGTATGTAGCAGTCATTTTCTGGCTTGCCTTCTAGCCATTGGCCCCGTTTTTAAATTCTGCAATTTTATTCCCTTCACCTCTTGCTAAGTCAAGATCTCAGGCACTGCTCTTCTTGTCACCCTCATGCCTGCTTGGTGGTCAGAGAAAAAAAAACAGCTCCTCTCATGAGTGAGTTGTGTCTCTTGTCAATAGAATTAAAAAACAGAGCTCCTTCTCGGGTATCAGCACCACGCGACTAGCCTCTCTCACATGCAGTGCTGGATCCTTGAGTGATTTAGAATCAGCATTTCTTACTCAGCCTTGATATGAATGCATTGCCTGTTGATTATCTCAGACACAACTTATTACCCTGAATTTAAGACTCCTTCAGCGCTGTTTCAATTAATGTGGTGGTGAGTGTGAACATTAGAATGGCCAAGCACAGCCAGGATTTAATTGATTTAATTTGCATATCTTATTCTGAAAGAATTATATGTTGTAAATTCACCCACTGGCAGGACCTGACCACTGCTACCTTCTTTGTGAATACAAAATTAGCTTCTCTGAAGGTTTCCCTAACCCTGGTTGTCTTTAGATCACTTAAGACCTTTAATGTTCGTTCCATCTTTTTAGAGAAGAGTACAGAACCCTCTTGGGAAATAAATGCCAGTTTGGGGGAAGGCTGTGAGTATGACTACATTGCTTATAAGAGGAGCATGTGCACTGAGAATAGTGTCATTTTGGAGCCATCTGCAAGGGATCTTTTGGGGACTCTGGTTTTGGGAGCTGAAGTCAGAGCAGATGCTTCTCTGATGGAGACTAGGTTGGGAAAAGGAGTTATTGTATCTTTCTAGGCCAAGACACATTTCCCAGAAATCTTTCTGGGTACTGTTAGAAGTTTTATTATAAAAAATGTGTAAAAGACAAGCTAATGGAAATCTTATATTGCATACATACCTGTGTATGCAATATATTTAAATATGTTATACACATGAACACCCACACAAATAGCTATACATCTGGTAATCACCAAGTATGCATCAGTACACCTGTACCAGTTGATGACATATTGAAATATTTTCATTGCACTTGGTAAATAGATGCTGCCCCTGAGTACCCCTCTGGCTACCTGCTGTACCCTCTGGGGCTCCCCTTGATCTGCTTGATGTGTCCAAGTGGAAACACTTGGCTCTTGAAGGATGCCTCCAGGCCTCTGTCCTGATTCTACAGCCAGAGTCCTTTCTGATGAGTCTGTGAATTTACAGGTTGTTAGCCATTTTGAATACCACCTGTGTGCATGTGTGTAAATGTTTGGGATTTGACCTCATGTTGAAATTTCTTTCATTAATTCATTTGCACACTGAGGCTGACGAGGCTGATTTCTTTCATTAATTCATCTGCACAGTGAGGCTTGCCTACTATATGCAAGATACTTTGCTAATTTCAGGGGATATGAAGTTGAGTTAAATAGTCCCTGCGCTCAAGGAGTTTAGTCCAGGAGTGGAGACTGACACATCAATGTGTAAGTGTCATGACAGAGATAAGCAAACAGAATCACAGGATTGTTGGGGGCTCCTAATCCAGCATGGGATTATGGTGATATAAGTAGTCAGGGAAAACTCCTTGGAGGGAGGATAATTGAGCTGAGTCTTACAGGATGAGTGGGGATTACCCTTATGAAGGGGTGGGGGTGAGGCAGGGTGTCCACTGAGATTCACTGGCAGGGAGTGTCCAGAGGAGTGGGAGAAGAGGGTGAGGCAAGAACAGGGAAGATCTGGCATATGCAATAATTGTTATTTTGTCTGCACAGCATTCTTTCTCCTAACAGAATGTATCTCTTTCTTTTGGGTTACTCTACCTCTCTACTCTCAGACTGGTAGTTTGGAGGTGATGACTCCCACTTCCTGTTATGCAGGTGGGTATGTAACGGAGGTCTGGGTAAATGTATCCTCTGTTGCTTTGGCACAGGGATTGGTTCCAAGATAGGCATGGACCCAAGTCAGTCTGGTAAGAATCAGCTCCAAGATTCATGATGGATACATTGGAAAAAGGAACCCTCTCTTTTTCTGCTCATGGGGCTAAGCCCCTGTTGGCCAACTTGCTATTGTTAGGAGAACCAACCAACCAACCACCATTCAGGAAGGCAGAGTTGAGACATAACAAAAATAGATTACTGATAGATACATCTAAGCAATTGGATTCCACTGTGCCAAAGCCCATATACCCTGGGGTTTTTTAAATTATATGAACAATACACTTTTCAGTTTAAGCCAAATCAAGGGCAGGGCCTAGAGTGTGCAAGTGAAGGAAACCCAATGAGCTCATGTCATCCAGCAGAGTGAGCCACGAGGACTCTTGGAAACAGTGCAAACTAAGAAGTGAGTGGATGCAGAGGACTTCACCAAGGATGCAAAGATGGAAATGTCAGAGAAATGGGAGGAGAACCCAGACAGTTGCTTGTACAGAGAGCTTTCTGACAACTTGAATATAGCTTTTCCTTTTAAGTATGTCTGAGCAGAATCACGTTTGCATTCTGGCTTCTTGTTTCTGTTCAGATTGGTCCTATTCAGTCTATATAATCTGCATTTCACCATTTTATTTGCTTAAAAAACATTTTTTTAAAAATCAGCACTTCAGAGGGAAGTGTCAGTGAGGCATTTTCCTTAACATCACTGAATTTGAAGTAGTGGATTTTGATTTAAGAAGGTTTATCAAAATGCCCCCAAACCTATCTTAAAACACTGTACTCCCTCCCTCCTTAATTACTACAAGTTTGTCTGGGGACCACTTTATTTTGTCATTTGCACTTTGGATTTCATGGCAAGCTAACTTAATAATGTGGTAATATAAACAATAACAATATTAATCACTTATTCCATGCCCAAGAGTGTTCTAAGCTCTCTGTATGCAACTGGCCTGTGAGATGACCACCATTATAAACCCTGTTCTATTTTATTTTATTTTTTGCTTTTTTAATTAATCGACTTTATTTTTTTAGAGCAGTTTTATGTATACAGAAAAAGTGAACAGAAGGTACAGAGGGTTTCTATTTATCACCCCTAACCACAGTTTCCTATATTATTAACATCTTGCATTAATGTAGTAAATTTGTTATAGTTGATGAACTAATATTAATGCAATATTATTAACTAAAGCACATAGTTTATATTGATTCACTCTTTGTTGTACAGTTCTGTGAGTTTTTATAAAAGTATGATTCATATATCTACCATCATGGTATGGTACAAAATAGTTTCACTGCCCCCAAATTCTCCTGTACTCCAACTATTCATTCCTCCCTCCCTCAACATGAATGCCTGGAAACCACTGGTCTTTTTATTGTCTCCACAGTTTTGCCTTTTCCAGAATGTCATATACTTGGCATTATCCAATATGTAGCCTTTTCACACTGGTTTCTTTCACTTAGTGATATGCATTTCATGTTCTTCTATATCTTTTCATGACTCTGTGGCTCATTTTTTTTTAATCACTGGAACATAGTCCATTGCATGGCTGTACAACAGTTTGCTTATGCATTCACGGATTGAAGGACATCTCGGTTGCCTCTCAGTTTTGACAGTTACAAATAAAGCTGCTATAAACGTTCATTTACAAGTTTTTGTTTGGATATAAGTATTTATCTCATTTGGGCAAATACCAAAGATCGTGACTGTTGAATTGTAAGGTAAGTGCATGTTTAGCTTTGTAAGAAACTACCAAACTCTTCCAAAGCAGTTGTGCCATTTTGCATTCTCACCAACCATGAATGAGGGTTCCTGTTTTTCCACATTCTTGCCAGCATTTGGTGTCAATATCGTGGATTTTAGCCATTCTATAGGTGGTAGTGATATCTCGATATTGTTTTAATTTGCAGTACCCTGGTAACATATAATGTAGAGCACCTGTTCAGATGCTTGTTTGCCATCTGTATATCTTCTTTGGTGATGTATCTACTCAGACTTCTTGCCCATTTTTTAATTGGGTTGTGTGTTTTCTCATTGTTGAATCTTAAGAGTTACATTTTTAAGAGGTATCTAATTTATCAAATTTGTGGGCATAGAGTTCTTCCTAATATTTATTATCCTTTTAATATCCATTAAATCAGTAGTGATGGCCTCTCTCATTTCTGATATTAGTAATTTGTATCTTCTTTCATTTATCCTTAGTTAGCCTGGCCGGAGGTTTAACATCCTATTGATCTTGTCAAAGAACAAGCTTTTGATTTCATCATTTTTCTCTATTGGTTTCTTATTTTAAATTCCATTGATTTCTTCTCTGATGTTTAGTAATCCTTTTCTTCTGCTTACTTTGGATTTAAATTGTTCTTCTTTTGCTACTTTCCTAAGGTGAAGCTTAGATTATTGATTTTAGTTCTTTCTTCTTTTCTAATATTTGCATTCAATGCTACAAATTTCCCTTTGAGCACTTCCTTTGCTGCATTCACCAAATTTTTATAAGTTTAAAAAAATTTTTTTTAGGTTTGGGGGTACGTGTGAAGGTTTGTTACACAGGTAAACACTTGTCACTGGAGTTTGTTATACATATTATTTCATCACCCAGATATTAAGCTCAGTACCCAATAGTTATCTTTTCTGCTCCTCTCCCTCCTCCCACCCTCCACCCTCAAGTAGACCGCAGTGTCTATTGTTTCCTTCTTTGTGTTCATAAGTTCTTATCATTTAGCTCCCACTTATAAGTGAGAACATGCCGTTTTAGTTTTCTGTTCCTGCATTAGTTTACTAAGGGTAACAGCCTCCAGCTCCATCTATGTTCCCTCAAAAGATACGATCTTGTTCTTTTTTATGGATGCATAGCATTCCATGGGGTATATGTACCACATTTTCTTTATCCAATCTGACATTGATGGGCATTTAGGTTAATTCCATGTCTTTGCTATTGTGGATAGTGCTTCAGTGAACATTTGTGTGCATGTGTCTTTATGGTAGAATGATTTGTATTCCTCTGGGTACATACCCAGTAATGGAATTGCTGGGTTGAATGGTAGTTCTTCTTTTAGCTCTTTGAGGAATTGCCATACTGCTTTGCATAATGGTTGAACTAATTTACCCTCCCACTGACAGTGTATAAATGTTCCTTTTCTCTGTAACCTCGCCAGTATCTGTCATTTTTTCAGTTTTTCATGATAGCAATTTTGACTGGTGTGAGATGGTATCTTATTGTGATAAACTCCATTTTAAAGATGAGAAAACTGAGGTTTAGAGAGACTGAAACATTACCAACTCATACAACTAGTGAGTGACAAAGCTGGGCATAAAGCTTACCTTTATTCCATTTTTGTGAGGAAAATATTTTTTCTATTACAGACATCCATAAGAAAACAACTAACCTTAAAGGCCTATATTTTTATTTTATTTTATTTTATTATTATTATACTTTAAGTTTTAGGATACATGTGCACAATGTGCAGGTTTGTTACATATGTATACATGTGCCATGTTGGTGTACTGCACCCATTAACTCGTCATTTAGCATTAGGTATATCTCCTAATGCTATCCCTCCCCCCTCCCCCGACCCCACAACAGTCCCCGGAGTGTGATGTTCCCCTTCCTGTGTCCATGTGTTCTCATTGTTCAGTTCCCACCTATGAGTGAGAACATGTGGTGTTTGGTGTTTTGTCCTTGAGATAGTTTGCTGAGAATGATGATTTCCAGTTTCATCCATGTCCCTACAAAGGATGTGAACTCATCATTTTTTATGGCTGCATAGTATTCCATGGTGTATATGTGCCACATTTTCTTAATCCAGTCTGTCGTTGTTGGACATTTGGGTTGGTTCCAAGTCTTTGCTATTGTGAATAGTGCCGCAATAAACATATGTGTGCATGTGTCTTTATAGCAGCATGATTTATAGTCCTTTGGGTATATACCCAGTAATGGGATGGCTGGGTCAAATGGTACTTCTAGTTCTAGATCCCTGAGGAATCGCCACACTGACTTCCACAATGTTTGAACTAGTTTACAGTCCCACCAACAGTGTAAAATTGTCCCTATTTCTCCACATCCTCTCCAGCACCTGTTGTTTCCTGACTTTTTAATGATTGCCATTCTCACTGGTGTGAGATGATATCTCATTGTGGTTTTGATTTGCATTTCTCTGATGGCCAGTGATGATGAGCATTTTTTCATGTGTTTTTGGCTGCATACATGTCTTCTTTTGAGAAGTGTCTGTTCATATCCTTCACCCACTTTTTGATGGGGTTGTTTGTTTTTTTCTTGTAAATTTGTTTGAGTTCATTGTAGATTTTGGATATTAGCCCTTTGTCAGATAAGTAGGTTGCAACAATTTTCTCCCATTTTGTAGGTTGCCTGTTCACTCTGATGGTAGTTTCTTTTGCTGTGCAGAAGCTCTAGTTTGATTAGATCCCATTTGTCAATTTTGGCTTCTGTTGCCATTGCTTTTGCTGTTTTAGACATGAAGTCCTTGCCCATGCCTATGTCCTGAATGGTGTTGCCTAGGTTTTCTTCTAGGGTTTTTATGGTTTTAGGTCTAACATTTAAGTCTTTAATCCATCTTGAATTAATTTTTGTATAAGGTGTAAGGAAGGGATCCAGTTTCAGCTTTCTACATATGGCTAGCCAGTTTTCCCAGCACCATTTATTAAACAGGGAATCCTTTCCCCATTTCTTGTTTTTGTCAGGCTTGTCAAAGATCAGATAGTTGCAGATAAGCGGCATTATTTCTGAGGGCTCTGTTCTGTTCTATTGATCTATATCTGTGTTTTGGTACCAGTACCATGCTGTTTTGGTTACTGTAGTCTTGTAGTATAGTTTGAAGTCAGGTAGCGTGATGCCTCCGGCCTTGTTCTTTTGGCTTATGATTGACTTGGTGATGCGGGCTCTTTTTTGGTTCCATATGAACTTTAAAGTAGTTTTCTCCAATTCTGTGAAGAAAGTCATTGGTAGCTTGATGGGGATGGCATTGAATCTATAAATTACCTTGGGCAGTATGGCCATTTTCATGATATTGATTCTTCCAACCCATGAGCATGGAATGTTCTTCCATTTGTTTGTATCCTCTGATTTCCTTGAGCAGTGGTTTGTAGTTCTTCTTGAAGAGGTCCTTCACATCCCTTGTAAGTTGGATTCCTAGGTATTTTCTTCTCTTTGAAGCAATTGTGAATGGGAGTTCACTCATGATTTGGCTCTCTGTTTATCTGTTATTTGTGTATAAGAATGCTTGTGATTTTTGCACATTGATTTTGTATGCTGAGACTTTGCTGAAGTGGCTTATCAGCTTAAGGAGATTTTGGGCTGAGACAATGGGGTTTTCTAAATATTCAATCATGTCATCTGCAAACAGGGACAATTTGACTTCCTCTTTTCTTAATTGAATACCCTTTATTTCCTTCTCCTGCCTAATTGCCCTGGCCAGATCTTCCAACCCTATGTTGAATAGGAGTGGTGAGAGAGGGCATCCCTGTCTTGTGCCAGTTTTCAAAGGGAATGCTTCCAGTTTTTGCCCATTCAGTATGATATTGGCTGTGGGTTTGTCATAGATAGCTCTTATTATTTTGAGATACGTCCCATCAATACCTAATTTATTGAGAGTTTTTAGCATGAAGTGTTGTTGAATTTTGTCAAAGGCCTTAAAGGCCTAGATTTTTAAGTTTTCTGAAATTTATGTTATATGGTCCTTGTCAATAATTTACAGGACCTCTCAATAACAACAACTAGTAATGCTCTTTTTTCTATGCAAATGTGATGACCTGCCTGTCTAGCTGTTTCCGCACCTGTTAAAAGTTACATGAACCATTTCATGTGATTTCCAAAACCTTGCAACTGATATTTTATCTTTGGTTGTTTAATAAATATAATCAACACTACAACCTTTAGCATTTTGTGGAAACTACTCTAATTTCTCAGCAATAATGAATCCATCTACCAGAGGAATAGCCTTGGGGGACTCTATTTATTGTAGAACAGAATGAAAAATTTTGCCCATAAAGCAAAACCAGAAAATCTGGGACTTCCCTTGGTACTATTTCATGATTTTTCACTGCTCAAATGGCTTTAAGCTCTGTGATTGTCATTCCTCAGTGTCATAGCAGAAGCAAATAATTTCTCAAGTGACTGTTCAGAGATCTAGGCTTAGTCCAGGTCTGATCTTTGATGAGTACTAAAAGTAGGCATGGCTTTCTCTGGAGGAGCATTTTTTTGCAAAATACCAAAGCAAAACATACACAAGATGGTGAAATTTCCTATATTTTGAAACCTTAAATTCTTTGTAAAACATGTTTGAATGAAGTCTCCTACTTACTTTTATTGTTTTATTTTTGCTCACTGAGCAGAAATTGTTTTTATCCCAATCATCTTTTCTGTTCTGCCAAATAAAAATGAAATATGATCATATACACACACACAAAGCTTCCTGAGAGAATCATTCCAGAATCTCTCAGCTTATTAGCAGTGAGGAGGAAACAGAGCAGTTGTCAGAAATGAAGTCATTCCTAGCAGCTGCCTCATGTGGGAGAATTGCCTGTCTCACCATGAAAAGGCTGCTCCTTGACAACAGCGTTTTAATCACTGTTTTGTTTGAGGGAAGACCAAAGTTTTGGTTATTATGTGTGTTAGTCTATTTTCATGCTGCTAATAAAGACATACCCAAGACTGGGTAATTTAAAAAGGAAAGAGGTTTAATAGACTTATAGTTCCATATGGCTGGCAAGGCCTCATAGTCATGACAGAAGGCAAAAGAGAAGTAAAGGCACACCTTACATGGCAACAGGCAAGAGAGCGTGTGCAGGGGAACTTCCCTTTATAAAACCATCAGCTCTCATGAGACTTATTCACTATTACTAGAACAGCATGGGAAAGACCCGCCCCCATGATTCAATTACCTCCCACTGGGTTCCTCCCACAACACATGGGAATTATGGGAGCTACAATTCAAGATGAGATTTGGGTAGGGACACAGCCAAACCATATCATTAAGTTTTTCAAAACGATTCATCCCTTGACTGTATCCAGACTTATTTTCTACCACTTTGGATAAAATCGTTGGGACATTGTATACAACTTTCTAATGTTTTGTTGTTTCGCTGTATAATCTGAGTGGAATGGGTTTGAAATGCTATCTCTGGATCCCAGAAAAGTAAAATGCCCCTGGATTATGGCAGATTTTGTAATTTGGACCAACCCTCCCACTGATGACAAACCAGAAAGCTGGACAAAATATCATCTATTAAAAAATCTGTTTTAAGGCTTTAGGGAACTAACTAGGTTGTGAGGAATTATTGAGCCCAGATTTAAGAAACAGAAGTACTCAAAAGAGGCGCAATAACATTTTTGGCTGCTGTAACCCTGGGTGGGCTTGCAGATTCCAGAAGAGGCAGCTGAGACTGGAGCAGCACTTTCAACAGCCTAATGGAGTTGGAAGTAGGTGGCAAAAGTTAGAGTTCAGGACCTGCTTATGGTAGAAACCTAGTAAGAGCTCTACACATTGAATTGGGAATGTAAAAGCCTGCCCCTTAATTAGAAAGTGTGTACCAGAAGCAAAACTGTATTCTTAGAATCCACATCTTTGGATTATCTGGGTGGTTCCTGAAATCAGATAGATACTATTCCAGATTTCTAATGCCTCTAGTTGCCTGACAAAAATAAATAAAAACTCCTCCTTAGAAGAAAATAGCATGATTTGAGTTCAAATTATTTCTACAAACACTTTTTAAAATGCATTTATAGGCACACAACTCACAGATAGTCAGGCACATAAGACTACACATTGAGTGAGTACAGACGGAACAGCTGGCACGAGATAGGCCCCACCCAGATGTTGGAAAGTTCAAAAACATTTAAAAATAACTGCTTAGAAAATTAAAATGTTTTGTCAGAAAATTGGAAAAATGACATAATGTATTTTAAAACAAAATAGAAATACAGAAATTGAAAATAGCAATAACCAAAATTAACATCTTAAGAGATGAGTTTAACAGTTGATTATAAAGAAGAAGAGAGAATTATAGAACTCTAAGGTGTCAAAAATAAAAAGAAAATGGTATCTCAAAACTGCTGGGGGCCACAAATGATGGGATGAACTCATGGAAGGTATAGCCTGATTCTGCTAAGATGGATTCCATGAATCTATCATTTGTAAAAAGGAATCAGAACAAAGTTTTATTTGTACAGCATTCTTCAGAAATTGTAGTGGATAACTGCGTTAGGATCCATACTCTACCTGATTCAAATAGAAAGGGACTAAATATACAGAGATTTAGGGGCTTACACAATAATTGAAAAGACTAAGCAAACAGGCTGCAGGCTGGGCTTCCAAATGGTCACAGAGGTGGTTTACCAAAAAAAGTTCATCTTTTGTAACGATTAGGAAGCCACCACCACAGCTGGTGGCTCCAAGACTACATTGCATTAGCCATGACCCTTAGTAGCAAATTAGGTTCCTGAGCTCTATTTCTTGCTACACATGAAGCTGGGACCATCTGTAAGGATCTCACAAGAGCGTCCATGAATGCTCTTGCTAGAATAAGTAGTGTAAGCAGCTAGATTTTGCATGATTGTGTCTGTTGGCAGAGGCTGCCCATTGTGAACCTGAGTTGGAGGGAACCGTGAATGAGTAGTTTTTAGCTTCTTAGCCTCTAGCATCTGTAAGGCATACTACAAAGGGAGGAAATAAAGAGGCATGAGTCCATCTGCCACATCTACCACATCTGTTGTTTGTGTTTGCCTGGCACCACATCATCCTGTTTCTTATGGAAACAGAACTTTTTTTTTTTTTTTTCCTGTAAGGGAATAATGCAGTCAACGGTATACACTGACTCAGATCTACCAGTTAGACTAATCTGTCCCCTAGACACTGTAATTTGTTTATAGATGTGCCATTGATCCATTTTGGTTCTGGAAGACTCGTCCCCAAGGCTCCTCTGCCAAAGCTATGAAAAGAGACTTGTTCTTACTACCAAGAATCCTAAACATGCAGGATATGAATGTGGGCTGCTGTTGGTGGTTTCCCACCATGAATCGAGGGCATATTTGAAAGTGAAATGAAGTAGATTCCAGAAGAGAAAAGAAATGGGAGTGGGGAGTGTTCCTTTGATTTTGCTTAAACCCTGGGTCAAACTGTGCCTAAGCCTGTTCCCCTTTTGATTCCTCAGTTATATGATCCTATAGATTCTCTTTCACTTTTTCTAGTATGAGTTGGGTTTCTGTCATCTGCGATATAGAGTTCTGATTAGGAATTATGTGAACTAATGTGTTTTGATATGCACCATCTTTACAGCTGGAAAACATCTCTCTTTGTAAAACTGACGTAAAGATTGTGGCATCTTATTTCCCTTAGAAATCTACATTGTACTGGTCAGAGGTCTGTGGGAGGGATTCTGAGAGCTTCCCTTCAGGCCTATCCTGGACCTCCCTGTGGGTGGGAGTCTGAACAATCCAGCCCTTTGTGGTAGTAAAGTATTTGGCAAGTGAGGTTGTGCCATTTAAAACTGGGGTGACCGGACCAGCAATAAGCCTTACATTATATCTTGTACTTGTCTCAGGAGTCTTCTCAAGAATTCACCTATTTTGATATAAGGCTTGTTTCTGCATTCGTTCATTTATTCATTTAACATTTTGGAGTCTCCACTTTGTAGCTTAGGGCAATTAAGTTTCAAAGAAATGGCTATCCAACTCCACTGTTTACAAACTTTTAGTGGCTCCATGCTGCCTAGGGAAAATGGCCAACATCTAGATCCTTCTGCATCCAAGCCTGACCTGCGTTTGCAGTGATATCTTGGCCTGCGCCTTTCTAGAGGGTCCATGTGGCAGGTGCTTTGTGATATTCACCTCTATGTGGCAGGCGCTTTGTGATATTCACCTCTGTGTGGCAGGTGCTTTGTGATATTCACCTCTATGTGGCAGATGCTCTGTGATATTACCTTTATGTGGCAGGCACTGTGATAGCTACCTCTATGTGGCAGGCACTGTGATATTCACCTCTATGTGGCAAGTACTTTGATATCCACCTCTATATGGCAAGTGCTCTGTGATAGTCACCTTTATGTGGCAGGCACTTGGATATTCACCTCTATGTGCAGGCACTGTGATATTCGCCTCTATGTGAAAGGTGCTCTGTGATATTCACCTCTATGTGGCAGGCACTTGGATATTCACCTCTATGTGGCAGGCACTGTAATATTCACTTCTATGTGGCAGGTGCTGTGATATTCACCTCTATAGGGCAGGCACTGTGATATTCACCTCTATGTAGCAGGCACTGTGATATTCACTGATACGTGGCAGGTGCTGAGATATTCACCTCTATGTGGCAGGCGCTCTGTGATATTCACCTCTACGTGGCAGGCGCTGTGATATTCACCTCTACGTGGCAGGCACTGTGATATTCACCGATACTTGGCAGGCGCTGTGATATTCACCTCTATGTGGCAGGCACTGTGATATTCACCTCTATGTGATGGGCTCTGTGATATTCACCTCTACGTGACGGACTCTGTGATATTCACCTCTAAGTGGCAGGCGCTCTGTGATACTCACCTCTATGTGGCAGGTGCTCTGTGATATTCACCTCTATGTGGCAGGCACTGTGATATTCACCAGTACGTGGCAGGCGCTGTGCTATTCACCTCTACGTGGCAAGCATTGTAATATTCACCTCTATGTGGCAGGCACTCTGTGATATTCATTTCTATGTGGCAGGTGCTCTGTGATAGTCACCCCTCTCCTAAGGAGCCACAATTCCCACCCACACCCCCACTCCCTTGCTTACATGACTCTTGGATATTGATGCATTTCCTTGCCTATTCATTTTTCATAATTTGGATCAGGTGGCACTGATTTCAGGCCCTGATCTTTACATTAAGATCAACCTTTCCTTTGTGCTCCCAATGTATTTTTTTCATGTCACTCTTGTTAGATTTATCACATCCCAATGATGTCATTTTATTCTTGTTTTTCCTTTATTACCCTGTAAACTGCTAAAAACTAAATGTAGTACCTCATTCACCCTTTTATCTTCAGTGCTCAAAACAAATACTAGGTCAATTCCTCATTCCTCAATTATACACTTTTATAGCATCACTTACTTCTTTGTAATATTTGTCAAGATTGGAATTTTATAGTTGTTTTTGTGAGTTTTGGATTAATTTGTATCTTCTTTACTAGATCAAAAGCCTAAAAGGGGTAGGGTCATGACTAATTTTGCTTGCCAACATATTCCTCCTGCCTAGTGTAGTGGCTGACACACAGTAGGTGCTAAACACATTTATTGAAGAGATGAGTGAAATCTTTGTTGAATAAATGGATGGATGATAGATAACAGACTGTGTTAATCCCCTTCAGGAATACTAGTAGTTTAAAAAGAGTAGCCTAGAGGAGTTTTCTTCTAATGGAAAGGACCAGTAATGTCACTATTAGTGGAATTTCAGGTACCATAAGACCCTGGGTGATTTAAAAACAATGTTTAAATTTCTATCTTACAGAAAAGTTGAAAAAAGAGTACAAAGATTTTTTCCCCCTGTAAGTTGCAAACAGTCCCCAGTCATCCTCTCATACTTGAGTATATCTGATCTAAAGGAGAATATTCCCCTATATAATTATAATACAACCATCAGTATCAGGAAATTGACATTAATAAATGACTACTATTTAATCCACAGGTTCCATTCAGCTTTTGTCAGTTGTTGCAATAATGTCTTTTTTTCCCAGTCATCAGGCTAAAAATTTATTTTTTTTCCTTTTAAAAATTTTAAATTCAGGGGTACATGTATGGTTTTGTTGCATATTGCATGATGCTGAGATTTGAGCTTCTAAAGATCCTGTTGCCCAGGTAGTGAACATGGTACCCAATAGGTAGTTTTTCAAGCCTTGCCATCCTCTCTTCCTCCCTGCTTTTGGAATCCTCCGTGTTTGTTGTTCACATCTTTGTTTTTGTGTGCACCCAATGTTTAGTTCCCAGTTATAAGTGAGAATATGTGGTATTTGGTTTTCTGTTTTTGCATTAATTCACTTAGGATAACAGCCTCCAGCTGCGTCCATTTTGCTGCAAAGGACAAGGTTTTGTTCTTTTTTTTGGCTATGTAGTATTCCATGGTGTATACCACATTTTCTTTATCAAGTCCACCATTGATGGGCACCTGGGTTGATTCCATATTTTGGCTATTGTGAATAGTGCGGCAATAAACATATAAATAAGGTCACGTGTCTTTTTGGTAGAATGATTTCTTTTCCTTTGGGTATATACTCAGTAATGGGATTGCTGGGTCCAGTGGTAATTCTATTTTTAGTTCTTTGAGAAATCTCCAAGCTGCTTTCCACAGGGGCTGAGCTAATTTGCATTCCCACCAGCAGCATGTAAAGTGTTCCATTTTCTCCTCAACCTTGCCAACATCTATTTTTGACTTTTCAAAAATAGCCATTCTGACTCGTGTGAGATGGTTTCTCATTGCGGTTTTGATTTGCGTCTTTCTGGTGATTAGTGGTGTTGAGGATTTTTTCTGGTATATTTGTTGGCTGCTTGTAGATCTTTTGAGAAGTGTCTTTTTTTTTAACTTCCTTTTTTAAATTATACTTTAAGTTTTAGGGTACATGTGCACAACGTGCAGGTTAGTCACATATGTATACATGTGCCATGTTGTGCTGCACCCATTAACTCATCATTTAACATTAGGTATATCTCCTAAAGCTATCCCTCCCCACTCCCCCCACCCCACAACACGTCCCAGTGTGTGATGTTCCCCTTCCTGTGTCCATGTGTTCTCATTGTTCAATTCCCACCTGTGAGTGAGAACATGCGGTGTTTGTTTTTTTGTCCTTGCGATAGTTTGCTGAGAATGATGGTTTCCAGTTTCATCCATGTCCCTACAACGGACATGAACTCATCATTTTTTATGGCTGCATAGTATTCCATGGTGTATATGTGCCACATTTTCTTAATCCAGTCTATCATTATTGGACATTTGGCTTGGTTCCAAGTCTTTGCTATTGTGAATAGTGCCGCAATAAACATATGTGTGCATGTGTCTTTATAGCAGCACGTTTTATAATCCTTTGGGTATATACCCAGTAATGGGATGGCTGGGTCAAATGGTATTTCTGGTTCAAGATCCCTGAGGAATCGCCACACTGACTTCCACAATGGTTGAACTAGTTTACAGTCCCACCGACAGTGTAAAAGTGTCCCTATTTCTCCACATCCTCTCCAGCACCTGTTGTTTCCTGACTTTTTAATGATCGCCATTCTAACTGGTGTGAGATGGTATCTCAATGTGGTTTTGATTTGCATTTCTCTGATGGCCAGTGATGATGAGCATTTTTTCATGTGTCGTTTGGCTGCATAAATGTCTTCTTTTGAGAAGTGTCTGTTCATGTCCTTCGCCCACTTTTTGATGGGATTGTTTGTTTTTTTCTTGTAAATTTGTTTGAGTTCATCTTTTATGTCTTTTGTCCACTTTTTGATGGGTCATTTTTTATTGCTGATTTGTTTATGTTCCTTATAGATTAGAGGTATTAGTCCTTTGTTGGATGGATACTTTGCAAATATTTTCTCATTCTGTAGTTTGTTTACTCTGTTAATATTTGACGTGGCTGTACAGAGCTCCTTAATTAGGTCCCAGTTAACAATTTTTATTTTTGTTGCATTTGCTTTTCAGGACTTAGTCATAAATTATTTGCCTAGGCCAATGTCTATAAGGGTATTTCCTAGGTTTTCGTCTAGGATTTGTGTAGTTTGAGGTCTTACATTTAAGTCTTTAATCCATCCTGAGTTAATTTTTGTATATAGTGAGAGATAGGGGTCCAGTTTCATTCTTCTGCATATGGTTAGCTAGTTTTCTCCAGCACTGTTTATTGAATAGAGTGTCCTTTCCTGTGTTGATAAAAATAAACAATGCAGAAAGAGTATCCTATTCAGGAAGTAGGAATGCCTTTATTTCAGTGGTTTCTATTCTGTTCCTTTGGACTGTGTATCTATTTTTGTACCAGTACCATGCTGTTTTGTTCACTGTAGTCTTATAGTATATTTTGAAACCGTATATAGTATATTTTGATATTTAATATCATGCCTCTGTTTTTTTCTTTTAGCCTAGGATTGCCTTGGCTATTCAGGCTCTTTTTTGGTTCCATATGAATTTTAGAATAGTTTTTTTCTAATTCTGTGAAAAATAACATTGGTAATTTGACAGGAATAGCATTGAATCTGTAGATTGCTTTGGGCAGTATGGACATTTTAACAATATTGTTTCTTTGAATCCATGAGCATGGAATGCTTTTTCATTTGTTTGTGTCTTCTGTGATTTCTTTTAGCAGTGTTTTGTAGTTCTCCTTGTTGAGATCTTTCACTTCCTTGGTTAGATGTATTCCTAGGTATTTTATTTTTTGTGTGGCTCCAGTAATGTCTTTGTAGCAAAAGGATTATCCAATAAAGGATATTATTGAAAAAATTGACGAAACTTGATCTAATCTTGGATCACATGGTACATTGGTTGTCATATCTCTCTTAAGTCTTCAGTCTGGAAAAGTTCCTTAGTCTTTCCTTGGCTTTCATAAGCTGGAGACATTTTTCATTATTACACTTCATTTACTTTGTAAAGTTTCCCTTGATTTGTGCTTGCCTGATGTTTTCTCATGATTAGATTCAGTTCATTCCTCATTGGCAGGAGTATCACAGAAAGCAGTGCTGTGTTCTTTTCATTGCTTCCTATTACAAGAGAAGTTTACTTTGATCAGTGGTTTCTTCACTGTAAAGTTTTTCTTTTTCTTCCTTTTATAATTAAGTATTTTTTTAAGGAAAGAGACTTTGAGGTTATGCAAATATTTCACTTCTCACCAAACTTTCAGTGAAGGAGATATATTTGAGCAAAGAATCCTTTCTGGCATTCTCAGATGCAGTTTTACCCTTAGACTTAGACAGGAGGGACTCCTTGCTATGGGTGAGCCCTTAATTTAAAGGTACCTCATCTCCTTTTCCCTTCCCTTCCCTTCCCTTCCCTTCCCTTCCCTTCCCTTCGCTTCCCTTCCCTTCCTTTCCTTTCCCTTCCCTTCCTTTCCCTTCCCTTCCCTTCCCTTCCTTTCCCTTCCCTTACCCATCCTTTCCCTTCCCTTCCTCTCCCCTTACCCTTCCTTTCCCTTCCCTTCCTCTCTCATACACACACAGAACTTCTTAATGTAGGTCCCAGTTATCAATTTTTATTTTCATTGCACACACACACACACACACACACACACACACTATTAGTATATATGAGTACATCTGTCATTTATGATCCAGTGCTCAGCTTTGCTACAGGGAGAGTTGTAATCCTAAACGTCAACTGCCATGACTAGCACCTCTCAGGTCTCAGAGAACCACTTCACAACTTCTCTTGCCCAAGGTTCCTGAAGCAAAAGATGACTGAATCTCAACGTCACTGAACCTGGAGCTTTGTGGATTGTGCTGCTGCCTACATCAGGGACACTGCTCCACGGTACGGGAGGGCTTAAGTGACAGAAGGTAAGACAGAAGTAAGAAAACAGATATATTATTTAACATGTAAAATTCTTCCTTTTGGATAACATTAATGCAAGAATAGATTTTGCATACCAAGAATCTTGTTTTAAGGCTACTTAGGAGTCAGCTGTGGATTTATAACAGTCACATAAGGCAGCTAAGGGATAATGTACAATATTAAAAAATTTTCAATTTATTTAGTTCTAGATAAAATGTGAATGAAGCATAATACCAATTATTTGCACACTTCAACAGTAAGCATTAGAATTGTGAGTAGTTTTATTTCTACACACTTAATGAGATTTAAAAGAAATATTAAATATTTAATAAGAATTTAAAAAAATTAAATAAAATATGTGTTTTATTTAGTGTTGATTTAAAATTTGAATACTCCATTAATTATTTTAAATTTTGTCTTTTAATTTTAGTAGATAATTTAAAACATTTTAGAAGACAAAATGTGAAGGCAATACTTTAAGTAATATTAAATAGTTTATTAAATAATGTATAATAGACATAAAAATGATAAAACATTAAGTAATAATTTAAATAATTCTTTTTACCTTGTTACATTTACTTTAATATAACTTTTGAATAAAAATATTCTCAAATTTTGTGTATTGTGCATATAATTTACATTTTATCTAGAATTCTTTAAATTATTATTGTTAATAGAACATAGATAATGTGAAAATCTTGATAGTAATATTAGTGAAATGATTATAAAAGTGATTCTGTGGAAATAAGGGCAAGAAAAGTAAAGCTTATGGCATAGATAGGTAACAATTTATGACTATGTATGGCTTTATTTTATTACTCATTCAAATGCTGCTGGCCCATTTACAGAATACTCAGAGCTGTACAATAATCTTTCCATTCAGTCATCTTTGATATGTTATTGATTTGTGGTCACTTAAAAGCCATGGTTTTACATATTTTCCATTTCATCTTTGTGGAAAAAGTAGTCATCAAGGTAGGGAGACAGAACACATTTTATTTAACAGTTTTTAAGCCTGATTTATAAAATAGACATACAGCTTATGGGCTTCCATTTGAATTCTTACCCCAGGCTCTGCAAGTGTTATGGGTGAGCTTTCTCAGACCCCCTACCCACCCCACCACTTATGTAACTACCTAGATTTATGATGATCCTGAACTCTGGGGACAACTCATATTATTTTCAAATTCTGTGCATCAGATAGGATTGCGTATTTTTGTCTGTAGAGTAGCCATTGGCATCTATTTCATCATCAGATAGCTTCGTGGACTATTGGGGGACTTCTGTGCACATTGCATCTTCTTTTGGGGAAGGTCTGATGACCATTAACAGTTGAAGCTGAGCTTTAACAAGAAGGTTAATAAACTTCAAAAGTGAGTCCAGTGTTTTAGGGCCGGCTAGTGTATCCTTTAATGCCCTCTCCATTGGTTGGCATGGATCTGCAGGATGGTTGATATGGTTTGGATATTTGTCCCTGCCTAAATCTCATGTTTAATTGTAATCCCCAATGCTGGAGGTGGGGCCTGGGGGGAGATGTTTGAGTTATGGGAGCAGATCCCTCATGGCTTGGTCCTATCTTTGAGGCAGTGAATGAGTTCACATGAGGTCTGGTCATTTAAAACTGTGTGGCACCTCCCCACCCCCCACTCTCTCCCTTGCTCCTGCTTTCACTCTGTGATGTGCCTGCTCCCTCTTCACCCTCCTTCATGACTATAAGTCTCCTGAGGCCTCCCCAGACACAGATGCTGCTATGCTTCCTATACAGCCTGCGGAACCGTGAGCCAATTAATTAAAATACCTGAGACTGGCCAGGCATGGTCGCTCATGCCTGTAATCCCAGCACTTTGGGAGGCCGAGATGGGTGTATCACTTGAGGCCAGGAGTTCAAGATCAGCCTGGCCAACATGTCGAAATGCTGTCTCTACAAAAAAATGCAAAAATTAGCTATGTGTGGTGGTGTATGACTGTGATCCCAGCTACTTGGGAGGCTGAGGCACAAGAATCGTTTGAACCTAGGAAGGAGGTGGAGGTTGCAGTGAGCCCATATCATGCCACCACACTCCAGCCTGGGTGACAGAGCGAGACTCTGTCTCCAAAACACAAACAAACAAATAAACAAACAAAAAACCACCACCAACAAAAACCCTGAGACTGGGTAATTTATATAAATTATATGTTAATTAAATTTATATAAATTATATAACATATAAATTATATGTTAATTAAATTTATATAAATTACCCAGTCTCAGGTATCTTTTTTATAGCAATGCAAAAACAGCCTAATACAACAGTGTTGTGTTTGTGCCCCACCTCCTCCTAGGAGGCCCTGTGGGATTGCAATTTGAGCAGTGCAGCAGGAAGGTCCAGTGTTCTCTCCCTTCTAGTAAGGGGCTAGTGGATGTTGAAAATTGTCTCCATTCTACCCTTGTCTCCGCTTGTACTTTGACGGTGTGTGAGGATTTTTTCTTTTCTTATCACAAAAGCAATACATGTTTATAGGAGGGGGAAAAAAAGATAATGAAAGAGAAGAAAATAAAAACACCAATAATTCCACCAGGCAGAGACAGCCTCTGATAACATATCTGTTTGTATCTTTAGAATCACTTGGGGAGCTTTTAAGGAATATCAGTGTCTGTTGCCCATTCCCAGAGATTCTGATTCAAATAGTCCGGAGTGTGCAGGACTAGTTTTTTAAGGTCTAATATGTAGCCATAGGTGAAAAACCACGGGTCTAGACATTTAGTGTATAAAATGTATATTTTTACCAAAATGGGCATTCTATAATACAGTTTTATTACCTGATCTTTATAATTTTATTACAAACATCTTTCTATAGAAGGATGAGAGAGCAAACCCATCTTTTTTAATGACCTCACAGTAGAATTTAATTTGCTTACTCATTTCTTTGTGGTTGGAAAGGCAGAATGTTTTCACCTGGGCTGGGGAAGGGGGGTGGGGTGGGGAGGTTGTGGGCAAAAAAGGACTGAAATATCCATACTGGCATCAGAAAGCTCACAGATGCAGAGAAAACTAAGACAAGCTCAGCTTGGGTTATGACAGATGACACAAATACTAGAATTGTTTGCTATAAAGCTATGGTTGTCAGTGGGAAAGTCTCCGTATAATTGCTTATTAGTCATAGATACACCTGGAAGTTTATTCCGTTACTTATTTCTCATTCATTCATTCAACACATACTGAGCATTACTTAGGGCCTAACACTGGGAATACAAAGATAAGATTTTGTCCTTTAGTTCAAGGAATTTATAATCTAAGAGAAAGCACAGACAGATATACAAATAGCTACATGTGTATTTATTGAGCGCTTAACTCTGTTCCAATAACTCTTCAAACCATGCTCAGTGAATTTCCTCAATTTTCACCACTACCTAAATGAAATCAGTAGTATTATTATTATCCCTTCATGCAGATGAGGAGACTGAGGCACAGAGAGGTTACTTTGTCCATGGTTACTTAGCCAGTAAGTGGTAGAACTAGGAATCAAGACAAGGCACTCTGTCTCCAGAGTCCAAGCTCCTAATCTCTATTTTCTGCTGCATCAAAGAGTACATCAAAGAACAGTAGGTTCCAGGACAGGATTCATAAAGGAAGAAGTGGTAAGCTCTAATGTGGGAAGGGATTAGAAAAGAGGAGTTTCAGGAAAGACATTGGAACTCAAAAAATTATTTCATTTTAAGAGAAAGTCCAATAAGGAGGGAGAATATGTAGATGCTTGGCATACATACCCACAGTACTGTAACTCTGGCTTGTCAGAAATATTTTATTTTCTATTTGTCCTGTATCTGCCTACTGTGTCCCAATATTCCATGGGAGCTGCAAGAGGACCAGTTGAAGTAGTCTGATAGCCCTTCGAGTGTGGGTGGGCCCACAGATGTATCAGTGTCTGGTGGGACAATGGAGCCACTGGGCTGAGGAGAAGGATGGAACACTTGCATTGGGAGTAAGGCCAACTCTGTGGCCTTCATCCAGCAGATAAAAGTGCATCACTGTATTAGTCTGTTCTCATGCTGCTAATAAAGACATACCTGAGACTGGGTAATTTATAAAGAAAAAGAGGTTTAATGGGTTCACAGTTCCACATGGCTGGGGAGGCCTCACAGTCATGGCAGAAGGTGAAGAAAGAGCAAAGACACATCCTACATGGTGGCAGGCAAGACACAATGAGTGCCAGCAGGGGAAATGCCAGATGCTTATAAAACGATCACATCTCGTGAGACTCACTCATTATCATGAGAACAGCATAGGGAAAACCACCCCCGATGATTCAATTACCTCCACCTGGTCCCTCCCACAACACATGGGGATTTGTGGTGTTGGGTCCCTCCCACAACACATGGGGATTATGGGAACTACTATTCAAGATGACATTTGGGATATGGCCAAACCATATCAACCACCAAGGAAGGAAGGTAGCATCATTCAAAGACCCTCCTCACAAGAGGAAGCTATTGAACCAAGTGCAGAGAAGATAAGACTCAGGAGAAAATTTAACTTATGCTAGATCTGAGGCGAGTGCTCAAGGAGCTCTCATTAGTGAATTTATCTAGAGGGATATCTCAGAATGCCTACCATTAAAATTCACATTGCTATAGGTTCCTTGGCTAGCTGGAAGAGGATGCTGCTTAGGAAAATTCACTGTACCCATCAAGCAGAAAAAAGCACAGAAATAGATCTTCCCAAAGGTGAAGAAAATCCCATTAGAAAACAGCCTATATCATACTGAATGGGCAAAAACTGGAAGCATTCCCTTTGAAAACCAGCACAAGACAAAGATGCCCTCTCTAACCACTCCTATTCAACACAGTATTGGAAGTTCTGGCCAGGGCAATCAGGCAAGAGAAAGAAATAAAGGGTATTCAAATAGGAAGAAAGGAAGTCAAATTGTCTCTGTTTGCAGATGACATGATTATATATTTAGAAAACCCCATCGTCACAGCTCAAAATCTTCTTAAGCTGGTAAGCAACTTCAGCAAAGTTTCAGGATACAAACTCAATGTGCAAAAATCACAAGCATTCCTATGCACCGAGAACAGAGAGCCAAATCATGAGTGAAGTCCCATTCACAATTGCTACAAAGAGAATAAAATACCTAGGAATACAATTTACAAGGGATGTGAAGGACCTCTTCAAGGAGAACTACGAACCACTGCTCAAAAAAATAAAAGAGGGCACAAACAAATGGAAAAACATTCCATGCTCATGGATAGGAAGAATCAATATCATGAAAATGGCCATACTGCCCAAAGTAATTTATAGATTCAATGCTATCCCCATCAAGCTATCATTGACTTTCTTCACAGAATTGGAAAAAACTACTTAGAATTTCATATGGAACCAAAAAAGAGCCCACATAGCCAAGACAATGCTAAGCAAAGAGAACAATGCTGGAGGCATCATGCTACCTGACTTCAAACTATACTACAAGGCTACGGTAACCAAAACAGCATAGTACTGGTACTAAAACAGATACATAGATCAATGGAACAGAACAGAGGCCTCAGAAATAACACCACACAACTACAACCATCTGATCTTTGACAAACCTGACAAAAACAAGAAATGGGGAAAAGATACCCTATTTAATAAATGGTGTTGGGAAAACTGGCTAGCCATATGCAGAAAACTGAAACTGGACTCCTTCCTTACACCTTATACAAAAATCAACTCAAGATGCATTAATGACTTAAATGTAAGGCCTAAAACCATAAAAATCCTAGAAGAAAACCTGGGCAATACCATTCAGGACATAGGCGTGGGCAAAGTCTTCATGACTAAAACACAAAAAGCAATGGCAACAAAAGCCAAAATTGACAAATAGGATCTAATTAAACTAAAGAGCTTCTGCAGAGCAATAGAAACTATCATCTGAATGAACAGGCAACCTGCAGAATGGGAGAAAATTTTTGCAATCTATCCATCTGACAAAGGGCTAATATCCAGAATCTACAAAGAACTTAAACAAGTTTACAAGAAAAAAACAACCCCATCAAAAAGTGGGCAAAGGATATGAACAGACACTTCTCAAAAGAAGACATTTATGCAGCCAACAAACATATGAAAAAAATGCTCATCATCACTGGTCATTAGAGAAATGCAAATCAAAACCACAATGAGATACCATCTCATGCCAGTTAGAATGGTGATCATTAAAAAGTCAGGAAACAACAGATGCTGGAGAGGATGTGGAGAAATAGGAAAGCTTTTACACTGTTGGTGGGAGTGTAAATTAGTTCAACCATTGTAGAAGACAGTGTGGAGATTCCTCAAGGATCTAGAACTAGAAATACCATTTGACCCAGCATCCCATTACTGGGTGTATACCCAAAGGATTATAAATCATTCCACTATAAAGACACAGGCACACGTATGTTTATTGTGGCACTATTCACAATAGCAAAGACTTGGAACCAACCCAAATGCACATCAATGATAGACTGGATAAAGAAAATGTGACACATATACACCATGGAATACTATGCAGCCATAAAAAAGGATGGGTTCATATCCTTTGCAGGGTCATGGATGAAGCTAGAAGCCATCATTCTCAGCCAACTATCACAAGAACAGAAAACCAAGCACTGCGTGTTTTCACTCATAAGTGGGAGTTGAACAATGAGAACACATGGCCACAGGGAGGGGAACATCACACACCAGCCCTTTCGGGGGGTGGGGGGCTAGGGGAGGGATAGCATTAAGAGAAATACCTAATGTAGGTGAAGGGTTGTTGGGTGCCGCAAACCACCATGGCGCTTGTATACCTTTGTAACAAAACTGCATGTTCTGCACATGCAACGCAGAACTTAAAGTATAATTGAAAAAAAAGAAAAAGAAACTAGACCACCCCTGGAGAGTGTTAAAAAAAATTCTTACATTCATTGATTATCTTCTTTAACAGAGTGGATCCTGGCCTTGGTTCTATGAACGTCCTGATGGGTTTGTTATACAAGTATGAAGGTCAGAACTGTAGAGATGTGAATTACTGTTAAGATGTTTTAGGCTGAAAAAAGGAAAACAATGCCCCAAATGAGCTTAAGGATTAAGTAAAGTATTATCTCATAAGAGGAAGGTTAGTGGTTGAAAGACTTCAGAGTTTGTTGATTCAGGAGTCAAGGAATGTGGTTGTATTAATCAGGTTGAGTAATGATATGTGCTATAACAACAAATTAGTCCTGAGATCTCAGTGGTTTAACACACAAAAAGACACTAGTCATTCATGTAATCATTTAATGGAAATAGAGGCCTCTACTACATTCAAGAACTTTGGCTTCTTCTATGTGATAGCTCTGTCATCTTCAATATGGCTTCACAATCACCCTATCATCATTCAGCCTGCAGATGGGGAAAGAGCAAGGATAGGGAGGATGAACCAGGCCATTTTAAAGGCCAGGCCTAGAAGCTGTAAACATTACTTTCATACACAATCCATTGGTCAGGACTCAATTTTCTGGTAATGCCTGACTTCAGGGGAGGGGGCAGGGTGGCTGTTAACTGTAGTTTATTCTGTGCTCAGGAGAAAAATAAAATGGGTTTGGTGAATTCATTGTCTCTATCTCCTGAGCTTTTTCTCCTTTTCTGCTCTGTCATTTTCAAAGTCACTCCTTCTCTTCTGGTAGCAAGATGGCTGCAGCAGTTCCAGGTGCCCTATCCAACTACCACAGCTGAGAGAAGAAAAGAAATAATTTCTTATTTGTGTGTCTCCCATGAATGAGGAAACTTTTCCCAGAAGCCCCCAGCAAATCTTCCCTTATGTTTCATTGGCCGGATTTGGATCACATGCTTTTTTCTGTAGCAATCCCTGAAAGGGAAATGGGATTGCTGTTTGACAAGTCAAACCTGTCCCTGAGGCTGGTAAGGGGCAATGTCCTCTGGAGCACACAGTTGTTTGTACATGTGAATCTCTAAAAAATTTCAGGGTTCTGTTAGGATGCAAGAGGGAAGTGTTGTCTGGTATCCATGCAGCAGGGTCTGGTGTAGTTACTGTATGTACTCAGGAGGAACTAAGTTGGTTTCTCTGGGCACTGAGTGAGGAGGACTGTGAGGAGAAAGACGGGTGATGTGGCAGGAGATCTGAGGTGACTGCTCTCTCAGTTCCGTGTCCTTCAATACATTCTTCCTCTTTCTCAGACTGCTTTTGTACAAACTGGCAAGGGGCTGAATTTCTTATCTAGGTTGACAAGGAGGGAAAAGGAACAAATGCAGGAGCTAGGGATAGAGGAGATCTAGGGAAGTGGTAGAAGCCATTGGGAGGGCAGTGTAGTTGGGTTTTAGCCAAGTTAATCTACATTGCAGGTTGCAGACAGGTTGCACACATCACAGGTGGTTGCAGACAGGGCCTCAGCAACCACCTGGGTAACAAGATGGCAGCCACAGACTGTGTGGATTTTAACCTGATAGCATCATTCTTCCAGAAATTGTAAGTAACACTGAGAACAAAACCTTGGGGCTGGGTGAATTCTTTGGTTAGTTTAATTAATGTACCATTTGCTAACCACAAAACACATGCTGATTTTGACTTCTTCCCTTTGTGTTGACAAAAGAAGACATGGAAGTCAAGAAATAGAAGACCGTCTGGGAGAGTGAGATCCTAGAAGTATGGATGGGAACTGGGCTAGGTGAAGTGTGATTTACTTCCTAGGAAGTGATGCAAAGATTTCTCAGTCACAAAGTTTTCCATGATGAAAATGACCCATAGTCATCCAGTGAAAAGGTGACAGTCTGAAAGTCTACCCAGTGAATGTCCCAAAGGCTTTGAATGCTGTGCCCATGGGTGACCAGAGCATATTCCCTGGGAAGTGACACAGAGGTTCAGAGCATTGCCTCTGGGGTGAGACAGTCCTGGGTCTCAAGTTTCGTCCTCTTTCCTAGCTCCTTGATCTGAAGTAGCTGTCTTAACCTCTTTAGACTCAGTTTCCCATTGGCAATATACATTAGGGTCATTGTGCAGCTTGTAAGAGATATTTAACGTAAAAGTGATTGGTAGAGTCCCTAGATGGCAGAAAATGCCTAATAAATTCTAGCTATTCTTTCTCCTGAAATTTTAGTCTGTAACACAGCAGCTATGGTGGCAGAAACTGAGATGCACTTTGTGGATGACAGAAAGGTGAATAAAAGTGCATGCATGGGACTTTGGAAGAAGGTAGTCTCAAATGCCTTTTTAAGAGAGATTATATTGTCACTTCTCTGACAGTGTGGAAGATAAAACTGAGGGTGCAGCACTCTTCTTGGGAGGAAGAGCCCTGCTTTGACCTTGACATCTGTTGGTGCATTTAGCAAAACTTATTTTAAACAACTCCTAAGAATTTTATTCAATGTAAAACTTCTATATGTATCTGGATGGAAATACTGATCTACCCTTGATTCATTTTATCCATCACCTATCTTACCTTATCCCACCTCACACTATATCTTATCTTATCTTATCTTATCTTATCCATCTAGTCTTGTCTTGTCTTTCTGTCTGTCTGTCTGTCTATCTGTTTCATACATCATCCATCCATCTGGTTATGTCCATAGGATGTAAATGATAAAGAACTTTCTGCCCTCAAGTTGCTCCTAAGCTTGGAGGGAGACATTCCAATAGACAAAACAAGAGGACCAAAGTATTCATGGGATGCTTTAATGCAGCACAGAGGGTATCCACTGCAGATTGGCAGTGGACCGAGAAGGCTTCCGAAGGGTTAGTAAGAAGAATCCAGGTAAAATGTATAGACAAGAGGTGGAGAAGGATGCTGGTAAGGACATTGGTAGTAGAATCCCCAGTCAATGCAAAGGCCTGGGGGCAGGCAGGTGAAAGACACCTTAGGAACACACTGAGTAGTTAATCATGGATAAAGCAAGGGCAATGCATCCTAAATGCTACTGAGCATAGAAGGCACCGAGAGAGCTTGTTAAAATGCAGATACACACACAAAATATATTTGAAAAAAATACAGACACCATGACCCACCACAGAGATTCTGAACCAGTGGATCTGGGATGAAGTCCAGAAAACCAGCATTTGACACAAAAGGCCCTAGATAATTCTCAGGCAGGTGGTTATCCTACAGTCCACTAAGAAACAATTGTGTGATGTTACAGAGACAGTTTTATATGTGGTATATCTGAAGCGAAAGCTGTGGTCCCTTGCTACTCAAAGTGTGGTCCTTGAAGGAGTAGACTTCGCATCCCCTGGGAGCTTGTTAGAAAGGTAGAATCCCAGGCCTCACTCCAGAACTTCTGAATCAGAATCTGCATTTTAAGAAGACTGCCAGGTGATTTGATGCACATTAAAGTTTGTAAAGCACTTTATCAGGCAGGGATAGCACCTTAAATTGTTTTATCAATAATAGTGAGATACTTTATATAATAGGTGATGGCAAGTCATTGAAAAGCTGTAGTTGAGGGAGTGGTGTGGTTCAGTTTGCTCTTTAAATTAAATATTTAAAAAAATTTTTTTGAGGAGTCTGTATTCTCCCTGCCTTTTCCCTTTTCTCTGTTCCAAGAAGGAGTCATGCCCTTGATATTTCCTTAACTAAGCTTTTTAAATTTTCATTTTTGTTCTCCGAGATTGAGAGCCAAATTTGCCTAAACAAAATACTGTTTCTGCCTCTCCAAAAAGCCTAAGTTTGTAGAAGAGATGAGACAAAGGGTCGAAGCATGTAGAGCAGAGGGAGGGTGTTCAAGGTCAAGGATTGAAAGTAAGGATGTGTTTGCAGGAACTGGAAGTGCCTAAAGATGGTGAAGCTCTGCCGGAACTGAGGTTAGCAGATCCATCTAAGGTTTTTTCCCTAGACTGGGGAGGAGTGATGCCTACCCAAGGCACCCAGAGATGGGGTCATAAACTCAGGACTCAGGACTAGCCCAAGATTCTCAAGTCACCAGCATGGCACAGCCGCCACGGAACCTCTCCTTGGAAACAGTGTGCCACAGATGCCCTATTGGGTAGACGAAGTGTCACCTCCCACTCTCTTGCTTGGGGTTGGGTAAGACCCTGGGATGTTGGTGCATCCCTGGGAGGGCAGCAACAGCAATAAGCACTGAGAGGTATTTGAGCCCATGGTCAGATGGGCACTGGGAATCAGACAATTTGATTTAAATAGAAAAAACCATTTCTTGCTCATCTGAGATTAGGAACTAGATTCATCTTCCAACATTTAGAAGGTTCACCTTGATGCTTTTGTGAATTTCAAGAAGGGTTAAAAAATTGTAGTGACGTAAACACAGTTGTCTTTGATGGCAGAGTCTGGGCTGTCTTCTCCTGTATTTCCTCTCCCTCTCAGCAATGCAGAAGCATAGAGAAGCAATCAGAGCTCCCTCACTCACTTTGGGATATTCATGGAGGACAATGCACATGTCAGTCCTGCTGTCACGGTCACATCATCCATCTGCCCCCTTTTCTCAGCTGAAAGGCTGAATGCAACATTTCTGTTAACAACAGGATCTACTTTTTCATTTTACCATTTTATAATTCTAAACTGCAGAGCTGTACTAATTCCAAACTTCCAACAGTTTTAAGTCCTTTCTGGTTTCCATCAAGCAGTGCTTTACCCTTGGTGGATGGAATATCAAGTGCTTCCTTGCATATCTGAGTTTGATAATTGTCTTTAAGTATTTCTAATATCTTTCACTGAATGATTACTGTGTCTATTTAGTTCTCTAAGGATAACTAGTAATTTGCTTATCTGGGCCTGGGTATATGGATGATATCACATATATGTTCTACCAGCATATATACATATTAAAATGTCATCTTTTCAATGAAGCCACCCTCTCATTCTTTCCTAGAGCAAATAACTTCATGTTTTTCTGAATCTCCATATCTGTCTAGCTATACCAATCATTCTCAAACATGGCCACACATCAGAATTACCTGAGGATACTTTAAAAACAAATATTCAGAGCCTTGCCCCAGACAGATGGAATCAGGATTTCCAGGGGAGGGACAGAGGCATCTGCATATATATTTTTTAAAACTCTCAAAGTGATTCTGATGCATACTGAAGGCTAAGATCCACCGATCTCCACCTCTCTGATGGTACTGATGCTTTTCTACTTGGTGATGCAGTTATCAGTGGATATGACTCTTCTGCTTTTCTGGATTTAAAACTCTGAATCTCATTAGTCTCTGTCATTTCTCCTATTCCCAATACATGTACACTGACTACCTCAGTGCTATATACATAATAGGTAATGATTTATTGGGTGAATATGATTATCACCCTACATCTAATAGTAATAGCTACTGCTGCAAAAGAAAAATGTCTATAATATATGATAAAGGGAAAGGTATGATTTTAACATCCAAAATTTGGTACAAAGTTCTTAAACAAAAAATTGCAAATATCCAAATCCATAAAAAGTCTTTGAAAAATGGAAAGTTTGAAAAAAGTTTTAAAAACTTGCTTGTTTTTCTTATTGCAGAAACATTTTATGTTCATTACTGAAGCATTAATAAATACAAGCCAGGCAAAAAAAAAAAAAAAAAAAAAAAAACCACCAAAAAACACTTTTTTCGTGGCTCTCTCCCAGACAAATACTATCATTTTTATCCAAAGAGGCTTTCTGGTAGTTCAAGACATTGAAAATTTTCAGAGCCTTAGGCAAAGCTGAAAGTTCTGGACATAGTAAAAAGAACTGATCATAAAGCAAAGCATGACCTAAAAGGGAGGGGGAAAAAACTCATGGGCCCCTTTTTTCTAAGTACATAATCTTCAGACATCCATCACTGACCAAAGCATACATTTTCAAAGATAATCATGGGGATGGAGGCTAGATAAAGAAAACCGAATGGAAATGGAACAGTCGTCAGAAGCTCTGCTCTCCTGGAAGAGCGAGCAGCACACCTCCAGAGGCATGGCTTATGCAATTCCTGTCTTTATCTTCTTATCTTAGAGGTCAGCTCGGCTGCATTTTTTCTGCCTCAGTGATTTATAGAACGTTCAGCATTTTCAGAATCATTTTCCTACCCGTCATTTCTTGCCCAGAGTGCTGAGGAGTGGCTAATCAAGAGAAAAATACTAAGACCCAATTTTTGAGCTAGAAATAAGGCTCAAAAAGTGGCAATTTGTGCGTTATCTGATGTTGGGTTATGCCCTTAAATTACTTATTCCTTACAAATACTTTACTTTTTTGCAAACCAGAATCACTGACTGTCAATTTTATGAGACACACTGCTCAGAAGTCTCCAGAGCATGCCCCCATTTAAAAAAAGAATTCTCTGATCTGTCTGACTGAGTTGAGTTTTAGGTTGTGATTAGAACTCCTAGTTAATCTCTGCAAACATGGAGATGTGGAAAGGAACTCAGCAGAAAAGCAATTGAGGGGCTCTCTATGATTGTTTTTCCCATTAACCAAGTCTATTGCAATCCCTAAGCCAGCTGTGGCAAGTCTATTTAATAACTTTATTTTCATTTCCTGATTTTTTACTCAGTTTCTCCTGCAGTCCTCATTCCCGGACAGCCTGGATTCATTGTTTGTTATTTCCGTCCATATGCTACTTTAAAATAATCACATGTGGATTTATGTTGAAGTCTGTCCTTAGCATTGGTTTCCTTGGCCAGCAGTTATCAGTGATGGAAATCAATGTAACAAAAGACTTGGATAAACCATGAAGGGAGAAAAACAAGAAAGACATCCACTTCTCCAGCATAATGTTCCATAGGGTGCTGAAATGTTACGTTTTATTTTTAATTGAAAATAAATTTTTCCACACAAAGGCCCCTTGTGTGGTGAGGCACAAGAGGGCAGTGTTACGTTAAATTACGTTAAATTAAACTTTATGAAGATGTGATTAGTTGTGGAAACCTGGAGGGATTCAATTAATCATAGTGTTGGAAATGCAACTTCTGTGCTAGCGGCAGTGAGAACGTGAATAGGTGAATAGTGCACAAGGAGAGATCAGAACCCAAGTCCCAGGGCTCAGATCTGTTGACCGTGCTTTGTGACCTTGGCAAGTGGACAGAGATCTGAGAAGAGATAGGACATTAGCCCTCTGCAACTGAGCCATATCAGGGATTTTGCAGACCATGACCTCTAGAATACATTTCTCATGACCCTTGGATTTCGGAAGCCTTGCTTTTCTTGATAATTTGATATTGCTTTAGAGGGCTCTAGAGAGCTGGTACAGGGCCAAGAAGAAGGGAGAAGATGAATGGTTGAGATGAAAGTGTTTGCTATCAGTGTTTTAGGGTCAGAGGGTTCCAGGGCTTCACTTAGCTTCTGGGCAGCTAAAGGTTTCATTCAAGCTCCAAAGCCAGGAAGCGTTGGTGTTCCCACGTCTGCAAGGTGCTAGCCAAGGGGTATGATTGGCCTTGAACCAAGCCAACTTCCTTGTCTTTGCTTTGTCTCTCTTGCCCTGTCTCTTCTGCTATCTTCCTCATTTCCTCCTGGATGCCTTATCTTTCCTCCACAGTATCCCATTTGCTCCCTGAAGATTCCACAAGTCACTTCCTTGTGCTTCATTTCCACATTTGTGGAAAATGGCCCCAAATGAAGCTATAATATTTACACATGAGATAAAATGAGGAAAGCACCTGTCAGAATGACTAGGATATACTTTCTTTTTAATAAATAGTAAACAATTTTATTATTACCGTGACTGTCAATCTATAATATAGATGATGTTGCAAATGAGTTTAACTTCTCTTATATTTTAAAATATTTTCATGAACCCGGGAGGCAGAGCTTGCGGTGGGCAGAGATCGCGCCACTGCATTCCAGCCTGGGCGACAGAATGAGACTCCGTCTCAAAAAAAAAAAAGAAAAAATTCAGCATCCAAACACTCATAAACTGTAAAAAAAAATTTAAGGAGATTTACTACGATTAGGTTGATTCTATAGGTATAATTTATCATTCAAGCTGGGACAACTTTGAAAGTGAAAAGTATCGCTAGTAATAATTACACTAGGACAACAGGTATAAACCAGGACTATCCTCGCCCAATCAGGATGTATAGCCATGCTAATATAATGTGCAGATTTTACTGAAGCAATAAATTCAGATTTGAAATGCTGGGGGACTGTTAAGTGCACAAGCATGCAATGGGAAGTGTCTGTTGGGATAGAAGCTCTATCCTTAGGGCTTTTGGTATGAATATCTCTCATATCCAAGGAAAGAAATCCATGGCCACATCCCTATGTTGATCCCCCGGTCCCAATGCCTTAAAAAATAGGAGTTTCTTCTCTTCCTGGTGATATTTTCTTCACTCCAGTTTTCATAGCCCTTAAATCTGGGTAAGGAGTTGTGCTTTTGTTTCCTGACACCTGTGGAGTGGTATTTGCAGATCCTCTTGGGAAAAGAGCTAGGCCTAGGGAGAGGAGGCCTTTTAAATATCACCCATTCAGGGTAAGACTACCTGAATCTAAGCCCACTCCAGTGTCCCTCCTCTGTGGCCCATGGGTTTGTTTTTTCTTTCTTTCTTTCTTTTTCTTTTTTGCACTGATCACGTCACATTGTGTGTGTTGTCCATGGAGGACAAGAACTGTGTCTCATTCATCATTGTCACCAACCAGGAGGACAGTAGCTGACACACAGTTTAATATCCTTGACTTAAAGGAGGAAGAAAATAATGACTGGAGCCCTTGAAGAGTTAGAAATGAAAAGGCCAGCCAACTCACGTAGAGACCTAGAGGACTCTTCCAAGCAAGACATACAATTTATAATGATAACAACTAAATATTTATTGAGCTCTTGCTATGTGCCAGACCTTGCTAAGCACTTTACCTTTTTATTTCATTTAATATCACAACAGTTTTATTTCTGGTTTAGAGATGGGGAAACTGAGTCTTACAGATTTGGGGCAGCTTGCCTTAGATTCTACCTCTGCTAAGTTAATTTAGATCAATGCTGACTGTTCCAGACAGAGCTACAGAAGGAACTTTTGAGAGGTAACAGAGACAATGAGGCCTAAAGTAGATGAGAGCCACTCAGATGCTGCAACTAACATGCGACCATCACTGCGAAAAATTTTATGAGCTTTTCCTTCCAAAAAATGCAGACCTATCCACCAAGTCATCTGCCTATTCTTCCTCTGTTCTCAGAGAATCTTTTTTTCCAGGTTGAATTCGGACTCCAAGTGACTTCTCCACTTTTTAATGATTTCTCTTTGGAGAGATCACTTGTGCTACTTTTAAGAAATCCAATACTGGCCTATCTAGGGCCTCTTGCCACAGTGGATAATGCTTGTGGACTTGTGCAAAGAGTTTTGAGTGGTTAAGAAAGATGCTCTCTAAGTAGTTAAGAGAAGTTATTTACTTCTCTGGTTGGTACTGCTGATGAGTTCACTCCAATCCCACTAGCCTATTATAATTCTTCCTTAGAAACTTCCTAAGAACCGGGTATATTTTCCCTTTTTCTTTGCCTCACAGTTTCGCAGATTTAATGGACAGTGGTTTACTTTACAATGTGCCCACTTCTCTTCCCTGCTCATTGACAGGCAATGGGGCTTAAGAGGACAGATTCTAGAGTTTTGCAAATGTTCTTGTCACTGCTCTGACACCACTCTAGAATGTATTTTTGGTGGTTAGGAAAGAAGGAAACAGCAATTGGAATCATTTTCCTAGTATTATTTAACAACACAGTTATCTTAAAAGAGTGATCACATGGTGTTTGGTATTGAGCTACAATTTAATTGTAACTTTGAAACAACAACAAGAAGAAAATCAATATTTTAGCCTGCTCTGAGTATGTGCCTGAAGGCTCCTATTTGAGCTAAGGGTCTAGGAGTTAAAACTTCATGGTTAAAGCTTCCAATTATTTAGAGGATGGAGTATTGTTTTTCTGCACAGTATCTATTCTATATCAGTTAGGATAATTCAGGTTTTGCCGCTGTAACCAACAACCCCCAAATCTTGGTGGTGCATAACAAGAAGGACTTATTTCTTGCTTAGATGCATGACCATAGCGGTTTGTCTGAGGGCTGTTCTCATGTGGTCTCTCAGAGACTGCGGTTGAGGGAGATTTCCTCTTGATATATGCTTCCTTGATTTCTCTGCAACAGTGGGTGGGAACATAGAGAATCACAAATTGGCCTACAAAGCTTCTTCTAGAAATGATACTAGCTTATATCTCATAGGCCAAAGCAAGTCACTTGTCTACATCTAAATTCAAAGAAGCTGGGAAGTATAAACTCACCATGTTCTTTGATGGCAGAGAGCTGAAAATTTTAATGAATGGTGCTCATGACCTCTGTGACATTTTTCCCTGTAACACAAAAGTTACCGACATTCAACATTCATTGAAAATGAATACATGGAACATCCATATGCCATTTATGTTTAGACTCAACAATTGTTAATTTTTGCCATATTTATGCTCCTCTCTATCTTGCTCTCTCTCTCTCTCTGTGTGTATGTGTGTGTGTGTATACGTGTGTGTCTTCTGCTTCCTCTTCACATTAAAATACATGAATTTTGCTTTGAGGGAAATGGATTACCCATTCTTAGTAATGTGCCTTTGGGGGATTGACGGCCTCAATTCTGGCAAGCTCTTTTGCAGGAACTATCAGAGAAGACTTCACTTCCTTCTCTGCATGATGCAGTACACGGAAGTGATGCTCAAACTGCTGCAGCCATTTTACATCCATGAACAGAGAGCTCAGAGCTGCCAAGGGCCCACTATGAGACAGGCAGCACTGGAGGAATCAGATTGTAGAGACAGGCAGGACTTGGGTGCTTGATGGCATTGTTTGCGTCTCCCCTGAAATCATCTTTAGACTTTTCTTTTAGGTAAGAAAATAATTTCCTTTTTTTGGAAAATACTTAAGAGTGTCAGTAAAAGACCAGTGGAGAGGACCCACGTGAGTGCCATGACATCTTAGGTGTGTTAAATGGCATTTGGTCTGTGAATGATGACAGAGTGAATGATGCTCATATATCATACCCGTCTTCTTCATGTGCCATCATCAGTTTTATAATAATACAGAGAGTGATGATTTATAATAAGAGCACTATCCTTATCTAGGTCTTTGTTTTCTGGTGTTTGTCAGGCAGCTTGAAGTTGGAAGTCATCAATTCCCAAATGACTATAAGCCAAACGTGGCTCACTTAACTGGTAGGTTTTGTGTTGAGGAGCTGAATTTACACGTTCAAATTGTATTTCCCTCATCCTACATGAAGGATATGCAGAATATCTCTCCTCGAGATGAAAGGAAAAGAACTGTGACCATTCCAGAGTCACATCGTCCCAGTTAAGTCATCTCAGCAATAAGAGTTGCTTCTCTCTACCTGTATCCATTTATGACTACAGAGAAGGCATCTGCTTGAACCATCTAGCCCTTGTGGATCAATTGCTGTTGCAGGGAAATCAGGAAACAATTTTGCCCAGGTGATCAGGGAGGGGAGTGGACGACATGCTCAACCACTCTTGGAGTAGGTGGTAATGGTGGTGGAGAAATAAGAAATGAGGATGTCTGGCAGATCAAAACAGCAAGGCCCTCTACCTACCTACTCATCCATTTTTCCAGCTAAGACAAACAAGCAAAAATAATAGACATGTACTAAAATCTTACTATAGGTAAGGCAATGTGCTAAGTTCTGTGTGAGACTCCCAAGGAGTATTGGGCACAAATATTGCCATTTAGGAGCAAATAGATCTCACAAATAAAGATAATGCAAAATCAGAAGTGCCAAGAAGGGGAAGACGGGTATAGTTGAAAGGCTACACATTTTTAGAGGAAAGAGTTATTTCCTATTGCTGGGGAAATTAGAGATGACTTCTCAGAGGTAATGCTGACATAATGATTAAACACATACATTACTGGTCCCTAAAAGACAAGGGTTTGAATCCTGGCTCCACTGGTTATTAGCTGTGTGACACTGGGCAAGTTATACTCTCTGAACTCATCTCCGTATCTCCTAAGTGGGAGTAATATAGTATCTGCCTCATAGGGATGTGGCATGGAGATGAGACACGTGCGGTCCCTCAGCACAAGGCCTGGCATGAAGGCTCAATGGATGACAGATGTCGTGGTTTTGTTGTAATTGTTTTTAGAGCTTTATTTGAAAACTTCCACCTGGAAAAGAAATACAGCATCCTTAATGACAGTTGTGAATGTGCTGAGGCTATTGAAAGCCGGTATGATTGTAAGAACACCAGGGGCTCGTCTGTGGGAATGAGGGAGGTAGGGGGTCCTTGTTTTCACATGATGGACAGTAGCCACGTGGTGGGTGGCAGCTAGATTGTGTCATACCCATTTGTGTGCCCAAAGCTTTGTGTTTTCTATTGGAGAGGACAAAGAGACAATCAAAGAAAAATAGACATGAATTATAGGCAAAAGGATGCTGGGTCTGTTTTGGATTAGTGGAAATAAAATGGGTGGAAAACATTTGGTTGTTTGATCATAAGGAGAGCTATTTTAAAAAGCCCCAGGTTTGTATGTTCTCCAGAATATTTATTCTTAGTAATAATGCCAGGAAGTCATGTGATGTAGGAAAAAAGATGTAACTTGGAAGATCTAACCTGAGTCTTGAATCCACCAGGCTCTGTTATGTGAATATGGGAGGGCCCACTTAGAGTCATCAGCATCAGTTTCCTCATCTGCACTTTAGGGTGATGCTCTACTTTCCTTGCAGGATTTCTTTGGTGGGGGTGATCAAGTGATTTAATGAGATATAAATTGTTGGAAGAGTCATTAGCACTGTGGAATGAGCTGTGGAATAGAGCAAAGAGTATCGGATGCAGGGGTCAGAGGAAGTGTGTGGTCAAGTGAAGACAGCACGGGTCGAATCATAGAGTGGAGCTTTTCTAACTAGGGGATTTGCTAAAGTTTGGAAATGTAGCCCTGTCTTTGGAGGGTGACTTGTTTGTTATGAGGGTATTTCAATACTGTATTTTTCATTTTGATGAAAATCTAACAAAAACAATATAAGCCTGTTTTGGATCATCTGGTTCTCCTTATAACCAAGTACTGCCATGCAATGCCAGTGCCTACATTTGCACTGGTGTTTACAACAGTGTTGGAGCCAAGACAAGAAAGACCACTTTGATTATCACAGGCTAAAACGAAGGCAGATCTTACACATAAATGATGAATTTTAGCCAAGGGAAGGCCATATACTATTGTGGGGTGCTGTATAAGAAACTCATGTAAATTTACGAGTGGTGATTTAGGGTCAGCAAAATCATCATGTTTCATATTATTACTACTAGTAGTGGGAATTTTTAGTTTTGTTTGGATTCAAGTTTTAATTTTTTATAGTCGTATAAATAAAAGTATAATTTATAAATAAAAATGCCTGGTTTTATGTTGCTATGTATTTTGTTCATATTATAATAAAATTAAATATCATTATAAAAGTAAAGGAACTTTGGGGATTGATATGGTTTTATTTTTTCTTTTAAGAAGAATCATACTGTATGTGTTTGAGAAACAGTGATGTTGAGTGTAAAAGCTTGCACTTGAAATAAGCACATGAAAAAATGCTCAACATCATTATTTATTTAATGGGGAAATGCAAATTAAAGGCATAGTGAGATATCACAACATATCTATTAGAATTGCTAAAATTAAAAGACCTGGGTCTTACCAAATGTTGGCAAGGCTGTGGAGCAAATGGAATTCCCTAAGCTGCTGGTGGGCATGGAAAATTGTGCAGCCACTTTGGAAAACAGTCTAGCCATTTCTTGAAAAGTTAAATATATAGTTTCAGTCATTCCACTCCTAGGTGTTTACCCAAAAGAAATGAAAGCATACATTAACATAGAGATATTACATGAATGCTCACAGCAGTTTTATTTCTAGTAGTCCAAAACTGCAAACAATCTGAGTGTCCATGAACAGTGAACAGATAAACCAATTGTGGTATATCCATACAATGAACGATTACTCAGCAATGAAAAAGAATAAACCATTGATAAATCCAAGAGCATGAATAAATCTCAAAATCAATGTGCTGAGTAAAATAAGCCAAAAAGTATATGTAGTGTATGATTCCATTTACATAAATCTCTCGAAAATGTAAACTAAGGTATCATGACAGAAAGATTAGTGGTTGCCTGGGGATGGGGTGAAGACAGGGAGGGAGGGATGGCAAAGAGCATGAGATAACTTTTAGAAGAGATGGATATAGTCATTCTGTTGATTATGATTATGATTTCCTAGGTATATACATATTTCAAAACTCATCAGATAATACCCTTTAAATATGTACAATGGATTTGCCAACTGTAGTTCAATAAAATTGTTAATCAGTGGGCAAAGGACATGAACAAACACTTCTCAAAAGAAGACATTCATGTGGCCAAAAAACTTGAAAAACAGCTCAACATCACTGGTCATTAGAAAAATGCAAATCAAAACCATAATGAGATACCATCTCATGTCAGTCAGAATGGCGATTATTAAGAAGTCAAGAAACGATAGATGATGGAGAGGTTGTTGGGAAATAGGAATGCTTTCACGTGGTTGGTGGGAATGTAAATTAGTTCCACTATTGTGGAAGACCGTGTGACTATTCCTCAAAGATCCAGAACCAAAAAAACCATTTGACCCAGCAGCCCCATTACTGGGTATATACCCAAAGGAATATAAATCATTCTATTACAAAGACACACACACACATAAGTTCATTGTGGCACTATTCACAATAGCAAAGACATGGAATCAACCCAAATGAAATGTCCATTAATAGTAGACTGGATAAAGAAAACATGGTACAGCCGAGCGCGGTGGCTTACGCCTGTAATCCCAGAGCTTTGGGAGGCTGAGGCTGGGGATCACCTGAGGTCAGCAGTTCGAGACCAGCCTGACCAACATAGAGAAAACCTGTCTCTACTGAAAATACAAAATTAACTGGGTGTGGTGGCACATGCCTGTAATCCCAGCTACTTGGGAGGCTGAGGCAGGAGAATTGCTTAAACCTGGAGACGGAGGTTGCGATGAGCTGAGATCATGCCATTACACTACAGCTTGGGCAATAAGAGTGAAACATATACCACGGAATACTGTGCAGCCATAAAGATGAATAAGATCATGTCCTTTGCAGGGACATGGAAGGAGCTGGAAGCCACTATCCTCAGCAAACTAACACAGGAACAGATAACCAAACACTGCATGTTCTTACTTATAAGTGGGAGATGAACAATGAGAACACATGGACACAGGGAGGGAAATAAGACACACTGAGGCTTGTTGGAGGGTGGGATGGAGGAGGGAGAGCATCAGGAAAAATAACTAATGCATGCTGGGCTTAATACCTAGGTGATGTGTTGATAGGTGCAGCAAATCACCATAGCACATGTTTACCTATGTAACAAAGCTGCACATCCTGTACATTTACCCTGGAACTTAAAATTAAAAAAACAAAAAACAAAAAACAAACAACAACAACAACAACAACAACAAACTTCACCAAACTTTGCCATCAGAAAGACCTGGTTTTGAATCCCAGCTTGGCTCTCACTATTGTTCACTTGGGTAATCGCTTAACATTTTGAGTGTCACATGTGAAATGAGTCTAATGATACCTACCCCAGAGGGTTGCTGTAGAGCCAAGTGAAATATATGTATCTTCTAGCAAAGAATTAATAGTACACAGTAAGTAACCAATAAGTGGCAGTTGTGGGTTGGAGATTTCACCTGGCAGAAAGCAATTTGGACCTTATTTCCGTGCTGACATCTATTTTCTGGTTTTGGAGGATCATGCTGTGCACTTATGATCTGTAAATACTCCAAAAAAAAAATGTGCTGCCCTCTCACCTGAAAGCCTACGTGCGGCTACGAACAACAAAAACTGCCATTGCTTATGCTGGCCTCTACATGAGTGAAATCAGAATCTTGAGGGTGAGGGAGTGAGAATCCCACATCAGTATTTTATAAACGTCTGCATGATTCAAATTCATAGGGACATTTGAGAACTAGGGCTCTCTCGCTGTGCTACTCAAAGTGTGGTCCTTAGACCAGCAGTATCACATCATGTGGGACCTTCTTAGAAATGCAGCATCTCAGGCTAAAACTCATATATGCTGAATCAGAAGCTTCATTTGAGCAAGAACCCCAGGTGATTTATATGCACATTAAAGACTGAGAAGCAACAGATGGGATGATCTTGGAGGATCCTTTTATTTTTTTTTCAAATACTGTGCCAAAGTTTTGAATGTGATATGATAACATAATCTCCCATGTTAAATCTTATTGGGAGGAATCAAGGAGACCAGAAGATTATACCTCAGAGAGTAAAGCAGGTCAGAGAAAAATTTACCAGAGGAGATGCTTACTTCTTGGAACAGAAGGCCCTCAATTAGTCCCTTATAAAATGATAATTGGGGAAGATTTGGGAAAAATTGACCTCAATAGAAACTCTGTATTTACATATTTACCATTTATGTGGGTTGTTTTCAAACTCTTTCCAAATATTGCAATTAACGTAGTTTTTTTCTAAGAAACCTGATTTCATGGCCAACATTGCAGTTTGCTTATCGTTAACTTCTATATATTAAATATGTCTATCTGCTAGCCTCTGTGCAAGAGCTTTTGCTACCCTGTCTTGTTTAATTTAACCCTCATATTAACGCTATGAAATGGTTACCATCAGTAAACCCATTTTTACAAATAAGGGCAGTGTGGCTTAGGGAGCTAAGTGACTCCCTAAAAGTCCCATCCAGCTAGAAATTGGCAGCACAGGGATTTGAACCCATGTTGGATTTGTGTAAATCAAAGCTTGGGTGTGTACTAAAGCTAGCAGAGCAGAGAGATGAAGACCATGATGCTGGAGCTGGCCTGCCTGGGTTTGAGTCTTAACTCCATGTCGAATGGAAGAGTGAATGAATGATTTTGTTGTGCATAAATAAGTGTGAGTCAGGGGACAAGGTCTAGACCAGCAGATGCTTTAGACTAGTAGAGATGAGGCAGTGATTTCAGGGAAAGAAAGGGCAGAACAGTGGCACTCAACATCCAATCTGGAGGGTTTTTTTTTTTTTTTTTTTTTTGAGACGAAGTCTCTCTCTTATCCCCCAGGCTGGAGTGCAAAGGTGCCATCTCGGCTCACTGCAACCTCTGCCGCCCGGGTTCAAGCGATTCTCCTGCCTCAGCCTCCTAAGTAGCTGGGATTATAGGCGCCTGCCACCACGCATGGCTAATTTTTGTATTTTTAGTAGAGACGGGGTTTCACCATGTTGGCCAGGCTGGTCTCAAACTCCTGACCTCAGGTGATCCACCCACCTCAGCCTCCCAAAGTCCTGGGATAACAGGCGTGAGCCACCACGCCCAGCCCAGTCTGGAGGTTTCAGAGTAGGGCATGGAGTAGGAGGTGGAGGATGGAGAAGGGGAGGGGAATAATGTAGTTAAGAAGTATAGAGTTTCAGGGAGATGGAGGTATTGATCACAAACATCCCTGCATCATATCTTTGCCCAATTTAAGTGACAACGTGTAACAATTCTGTTTGGCATATGGCCCGACACCTAGTGAGACTTAGTAAATGGTAACCTATCACTAGATCCAAGGACAAATCTACTGTTACTATTTTCTATCAAACAAGAGCCTCTGCAGGAACCAGCTGCTTCATCTCTTGTCATTCCATTATCTTCCGTTTCTAAAGAAAGTTACTGCAAACTGAAAGCCCAGTTCCACCCAGTGCCATTTAGTCCCATACTAAGACTCTACTTCAAAGATTATGAAATACCTCTTTGTAATTGTTTTCCTGTATTCTTTATTTATTTAACTTGATTTTCATATCACCTTATTTTAAAAATATATATATTAAACAAGAAATATAATTTTGTGAAAAAATAGAAAAAACATGTAAGCAAAAATAAAGAAAACATAATATGTAAATCCAGTCTTTCATTGTGTAATATTTAGGTAATTGGCAATATGTTACCATTTACAAATGATGCTGGTATGAACATCCTTATCTGCAAACCTTTGCACGTATCCTTTATTATTTCATTAGGACATATTTTTGAAGCAGAGCCAACAAAGCCATTTGTCACTGGTTTTCACTGTGTCCTCTAGCACTAGGTTCAGGGTATAAACCCCCAGGTCGAAATTTTGGGGAAAATGACTTAATAAATGGTAAAAATTTGCCCTTCCTGATTTACATCTATAGCTTCCCCTGAGACTGAGTCTGCTCTGGGATATTTCAGAGGTAACATTTCAAAATGGTATTTGGGAAACTCACCTATTAAAAATGCCCAAGAGCTGCATTTAATTCTGGAGTTCCTGGGCCCCCACAGCCCCCTACCTTGGGTTTTCCTGCATAGCTGCCTCTAGCTCCAAGGTCTGAAATGCCAATAGGAATCACGATCTCTCTTTTTTTTTTTCTTTTTTTTTTTTTTTACGTCTTTTTTTTTTATTATACTTTAAGTATTAGGGTACCTGTGCACATTGTGCAGGTTAGTTACACGATCTCTCTTTTGAGTATACAAGTTTCTCCACGCTTTGAGAGAACTCAAGCTACTATTTTACTTTTATACAGCCTGAATCCTGGAAAGTTGTATAATTTTACCATAAATGAAGACAAACTAGTTCAAATTGGTCATTCCAGTGATCACAGAGAGAACATCCATATGAACAGGAACCAGATTTAAGTCAACCAGTCATATTTGTTATAAAATAAACTTTCTCTAAAAGCAAAGTAAAAATTAGAAAGAAAATCAATACTCTTCATTAGGAAAAGAAAGAACAAAAAAGAACATTGCAAGTCTTGATGTTGGAGAAAGCTCACCTGGGCCTACCAAGAAAACATGAGCGCTGATGAGTGATTTCCCCAGAAGCTGACAAAAAGATTATTTTTGAGGCCCAGTTTGGTTTATAAGCACCCTGAGTCATTTGTGCTGTGTTCAAATTTCTTATGAGAAAGGAGAGAGATGTGGTTGCTGACCTGAAAGTTAAGGAGCAAAATCCTCCCCAGCTGGTTCCTGGGGGAAATTCCACCCCCAGGACGGAAATTCCACCCCCACCACTGCATGACGGTGGCAGTATCTCCAGTTTTGTGGCCTGAAGTGGACCTCTAACCTCAAGACTCGGCTGTCATGTGTTTTTTCAAGGCTTCTGTCTGTCCAATAAACAAAGGGAGGTAACCTAAGCATATAGCAAAATAGAATTCCTGTTTTTATCCTCTCGTTTATAGTACTTGAACAGCTAAAATGTTTATCACGTGATTTTTATAAAATACTTATGTGGAAAACCTGAAACTAAAACCATGTTAGAGATGGCAGCCTAATTGTTTTTTAAGTGGACAGAAAACTTGTACCAACACATTACAAAAGACGATAACCAGATGGACAATAAATATTTGAAAGATGACCTACATCATTTATTATCATGGAAATGCAAATTAAAAACACAATGAAACATACTACAAATCCACCAAAATGGCTAAAATTGACCGTATGTCATCAAGGTGAATGCATGTATATTCAGTGACCCAGTAATTCAGCACTGACTTACACATCCAAAAGGAATGTGTATACCAGAAGGCATGTACAAAAATGGTCAAAGAAACAGTCTTTTTAATAGCCATAAAATTGGAATCCACCAAAATTTTATCAACCGTAGAATGGATAAGTTGTGTTGTATTTCTGCAAGGGAATACCACACAGCAATATAAAAGAACAAAGTATAATGACACACAACCACATGGATAAATCTCAGAGATGCAATGTTGGACAATATAAGCAGATGTACAGTAAATACCATGAGATTCCATTATATTAGGTTGGTGCAAAAGTAATTGTGGTTTCTGCCATTGCTTTCAATAGCAAAAACCACTATTACATTTGCACCAACCTAGTGTAATATTTAAAACAGACCAATCTGATCAGTGATGTTAGAGATCAAGACTGATTACCTCTTGTGGGGAGGGGCAGTTACTGGGAGGGTAGATGATAGAGGCTGGTCACATTCTGTTTATAGTGCCTGATTACCTTAGTGGGAACACTTTGTAAAAATTAATTGGAGCTGGCCAGGCATGGTGGCTGACTCCTGTAATCCCAGCACTTTGGGAGGCTGAAGCAGGCAGATCACAAGGTCAGGAGATCGACACCATCCTGGCCAACATAGTGAAACCCCGTCTCTACTAAAATACTAAAAAAAAAATTAGCCGGCTGTGGTAGTGCATGCCTGTAGTCCCAGCTACTTGGGAGACTGAGGCAGGAGAATCGCTTGAACCTGGGTGGCAGAAATTGCAGAGAGCCACGATCGCGCCACTGCACTCCAGCCTGGTGACAGAGCGAGACTCCGTCTCAAAAAAAAAAAAAAAAATATTGGAGTCATACATTTTTATGTACGGTGCTTTTCTGTAGTATGTTACAGGTCAATAAAATAGTTTATTTTTAAAAAGAGATCGCAAAGGAAGATGTCTGATAAATAAGTAGACCATCCCATTTTATCAGGTGAAGAAAATGACTGTGATTGATTCAGGGATGATGATTTTCATAATTATATCTTATTTTGCTCAGTGAAGAAAATTTGTGGGCAAACATTTTGCTAAATTGCATCTATTCTTTTTAAGGAGATCCTGCTATAAATCATTTTGAGAAGGTCCTTGCTGTCTAATTCATCTCATCTATGAATTAAGACTTTTATTCATTAGGCTTGCTTTCAGCAAGGTGCATCTGAAATGCTTCAAATATAGGTCGTTTGCTCTTCTGTTTATGTTTAAGTTAAGCTCTATGCTCCAGTAGCATCTACATTCCCAATAGCACTAGCTTCCTAGGGCTGCCACAACATATTACTGCAAACTGGGCAGATGAAACAACAGAAATGTACTCTATCATGATGGTTCTGGAAGCCAGAAGTCTAAAATCAAGGCATTGATGTGGCCTTGATTTTTATCATGTAATCTTCTCGACAATCCTGCTGTTTTGCAGATGTCACAACTGCAGTGGCACAGAGAATTTACGTAACTTTCTCAAAATCACATGACTAATGAGTGATTGAGGTTAGGTCCATCTGCTCCAAAAAGCAGATGCCTGCTCTTAAAATTGTACCACGAGGCAAAGAGCATTAATTGCATGCGCATTGCAGACCAGGCCCCAAATTAGACCACAGGAGATAGAAATAGACCATGGGCCCTGGCTCTGAGAAGCTCATAACCTATGTACTTAATTAACTTGAGAGTATAGATGGCAAACCATTCAGTCAACAAATCTGCAATGAAAACCTTGAACATGCTAGGCATGGGTTTAAGCACTTATGTGACTTTAGTAAACATGACCCACAAGACCCTGCTCTCTTGGGGTTTATAAGTCTATTGGGGAAAACAGAATACTAACAAGTAAGCAAAGAGGAAATCAGATGTGTCCAGATTGTGATAAATGTTCTGAAGGAAATGAGCTGGGAAATTAATAATAGCTTGGTTTCACCCCTTCTGGGCAAGTAATAATTTAGCAGTGACCTTTGAGAGCAGAACCATGTGTAGGCACTGGAGGTGCTAGAGGCTGGTGGTTAGGTTATAAAGCTCCGCATAAAGACTTGGGTAACCCCTGGCAAGTTACTTGAAACCTCATCTGTAAAACAGGGATAATAATGGTCCTCACCTTGGAAGGTTGCTTCACCAATTAAATTAGTTAATAGACTAAAAGGACTTTGCATTTTGCCTAGCATGGAGCAAGGGTTCAACAAAAGCTGTGACTCATAACTTCCATGGTTATTATGAAGTAGGCAATAAGGCTAGAGAAGGGGATGGGGTGGTAAGGAGTTGCTAAAGCACTCCTGTCTCTCCCTGCTCATGAATGCCACTGTGCATGTGATTTATCTCCACAGCACGGGAGGCTGGGCTTCGTAGCAAGCGCATACTCAGTTTAGGGAGACAATGACCAACCATGAGAGAGGATGAATGAAGTGTTCTCTTTCTTAGCATCCTGCTTTTATTACTCCTGATGGCGTACAGCCTTTAAACTAAGCCCTTTCTCACCCTGTGTTCATTAATACTGTTTCCTACCTCCTCAAAGCTGCCCATGGAGCTCCCCGGCCCACTGGCTAGAACTGTGTTGCACTGCCATTGCTGATAGCATCTCATGACGCATGCAGGGCAAGTTTAAATGTTGACAGCAGTGACTGGTCGCTAGACACACCCCACAATTGCAGAGCTGATTTCTCTCTCTGCCCCTACAGTAACGTGATAGATTTTGTTCCCAGAGAGCTCTGCAGGCAAGATTTAAGTATGTTTTTCCCTGCTGTGAGCCTGGAATAAAGTCTTCACAGATAGCCAAAGCAGGCTCAGTGAATCACTCTGGCTTTCCGGTGCTCCTCGTTCCTCTGCACGGAGGACACACCCTGATTTAGTAAGTGTCACTCTCACCTTCCATTCATCACCAGCCTTAGACACACTGCCGGGTGGTGAAACTCAGTTGCGGATGTTCCTTTCAGCCCATTACATGAGCAGAGAGACTTTTCACAACGTAGCTTTTCAAATAGGAGATTGCCCTTCTTCAAGAGACAGGATTGCAATGTGCCAGGGTCACTGTGTGGCCTAACAAGCCAGTGATTCCTGGGTCCAATTCTGAAGCATCAGCTCTGGAAAAACTCCGTGTTAAAGCTTATGGCTTTTGACAGGATATAGAATTTTGTTTACAGAAGTTAAATATACTGGCTTAGGAGTGATCTGGTACAGGTTCGACTCTATGAATTACAGTCTTTGTAGCTTTGGACAAGTTGTTTAACCTCTCTGATCCTCAGTTTGTTCATCTGTAGAACAGCACTTAATTTAGGGGGTTGTTACGTGGTACAATGTACTTAGCTCAGTGCCTGGCACCTAGTGCTCGGTAAAAGTTAGTGGTTTTTAACGCTGTGGTTATTCCTGCTGTGTTAGTGTTATCATTGATGTTATTTGCAACCAGGCTAATGGTTAGCCCAATCCTGTCTTTTCTCTTAGCCTTCCTTTGTGGAGGAACTGAAGGGACAGTGTTTTAGAAAGTGTCATTTTGCTCCCTCTGGGCTGACTGTAAGTGAAAAAGTTAGGATGCTATGGTTTGAATTTGTCCCTTCCAAAATCCAGGTGTTGTCAATGTGATAGTTCTAAGAGGTGGGGCCTTTAAGGGGTGATTAGGTCATGAGGGCTGCTTCCTCGAGAATTTGATTAAGGCCCTTCTAAAAGAGACTTCATGCAGCGTTCAGCAAGCTTGCCCTTCTGCCATGTGAGGACAAAGCCGGAAGGCCCTCTCTAGATCAAATGCTGGCACCTTGATTTGGACTTCCATGCCTCCAGAACAGTAAGAAAACAATTTTCATTTCTTATAAATTACCCAATCTTAGATATTTTGTTGTAGAAGCACAAAACAGACTAAAACATGAAGCGACACATTATGATGTTAAGAAAAGAGACAGCACTGGACTTAGAGTCCCAAAATGTGATGTTAAGTTCATGCTTCTCCACAAACTACTTACTGGAGTTAGGTCAAGTCCCTTAAGCCCTTTTGAGCTTTCCTTTCCTCTCCTCTCACGCCTCCTTCAAATGGTTGCTGTGAGGATTAACAATGATTTCTCACTCTTACTAGTGCAATATCTACGATCTATTGAGTGCAGAGTATAGCTCAGACACTGTGAGCTATACAGCTATACATACAGACATCAACCTAATCATCTCAACAACCCCGTGACCCCAAAGCCCTTATATTTAACCTTCACTGTCTCATAAAATGAGATCATGTGTTTGAAGATAAAAATTCTCAAAATCTTTTTGGTGTCCTGCAATATTAAATCCAGATTCCTTTATGTGCCATTTAGGGGCCATTCAGGTCTCACCCAGACCACAGTTCCATCCAGGTCCTGTCTATAGCTGGGATCTGTGCTTCCTCTACTGCAGCCATAATTCACTTGCCATTTCCCAGAATTTGTATTTCTCAAAAAGACTTCTGAACCTTTGCATATCTGTTCCCTTTGCTGTAATGTCCTTCTGTCTGCTTGCTTACCTGGGAAAATTCTACTACTGTTCTTAGGCTCAGAATAGGTGACCTTTACTATGATTTGTGACTCTGACCTCTCAGGTATTACCTTGTCCTTTGTGTTTTCAGTGCACCCTGCATATGATTTTCACACAGCACATATCACACCCTGCGATGATTATCTATGAGAATCTGTGGTCATTTCTATTCAAAATGCTAAACAGGAATCAAATTGCCAGTACCAAATACAGTACCTGGCACACAGTGCGTGTTTGATACATGCTTATGGAATGAATGAATGGAATGTTCCCAGTTGCCTGGTGAGGTTTGCTCCCTGCTACACTTCTTTGACCTTCTCCAACCTCACCTGTGATGGGGAGATTTTTTTGGCTCGGTAATGTGTTTAACACTATAACATATGCTAGGACTGGAGACCCATATTATTATTATTTTTTAAATTTTACTTTAAGTTCTGGGATATATATATGGAATGTGCAAGTTTGTTACATATGTATACCCATATTATTTAGAGAAGTCTGGTTTGTTTATAGGAGAGCTCAGGTAAATGGCTCTTGGCTAATGCTGGAGCTGGGAAGCCCACTTGGCCTTATATGCATCACAAACACATACTTGGCCCTATCAAGAAATTTATCCTGAGATTGTAATCAGTACTGGTGAGAATATTTTATCTTTTTGATATTCATCATTGTGTTTTATATAATAGCAAATAATTTATGAAAAAATCTAAATGTCGTACAGTGAGGGATTGGTTGAATAAAAGATGGCAGCTCTATATAAAAAAATTAAAGTGGTCCATTAAAAATAATATTGTAGATGAACATTTTGATATGGAAAGAATGTTCCCATACAGAGTAAGAAAAGATCACCAAAGGTTATATACAGCATGATTCCTTATTTATAACAATTTATTATCTGTAATTTTATAATTTTAATTTTTAGTATATAGATAATATAAATGTATCTGTGTGTGTGTTTCTGTGCGTATGCTTGTGTGCATTTGACACAGTTGGGAAACGTTTTGAAAGGTTATACATCAAGGTTTTGACAGAGCTTTCTGTCTGGCTGATGGAATTACAGGCATAGCAATTTTTTAGGGGGTACAAAAATATTCTGAGGTTATATTTAATATTAAAGTATATTTATATTCACAGCAGTGTTCAGTAGAATTTGTTTTCTAAATGCTAATGTTTCCATTACATTAAAACAAAAATTTTCTTCTTCAATGACATAGTGAAATGATGCTGGCTGCAACTGATCAAAGTCTCCTCTCTATGATATGTGACAAACTATTCTGAAAGTGACGTCTTTTGGACAATTCACGATTGGATTGCTGGGGTGAAAAATTATCTTGGTACAGGCAGGAGGAAAGGGTGAATTATAATTGCCTCTTTAAATGGATTTTATGTTGAGAGTTCTAACTGATTGATTTATGGTTTAAATCAGGCTTTCTGTAACTCCCCCAAATATATCAGCCAACAAAAGTCGTTAACCCATTGAGGATCCAGAGATAGTATTATAATGAGACATTTAAAATAGAGATCATGAGAAAGTACTCAATTGCAGGCAAGTTGCCATCTGCAAGGCTAATGTAATTATATAGACCAAATCTCATATAGTTTTTCTTTTCACCAAATTCCTCTGGTACTTAGGTCCTTCCTTCACAATCTGGCCCTTGATTATGTAGGGTCTTATATTCTTCCCTTCTTATTTTTTGGAATAAATTATGTTCACCACATCACACTGTGAATTTCTAAAGGTAAGCATGTGCTGTGTACTTTTTTTCTTTAGCAAATCGACACCCAGCTAGGGATTTGTGAGCAGGGAATAGTGGGTGAGGATCCTTAACCTATTTTTAGTATTTCAGAATATCAGCCAGACATGGTAGATTTTCCCATCCTAAAGCCATTTAGGCTAAAATGTCAATTTTCTTTGCTCTTGGCTGGAAGTATATCAACAGGATGGTTACCTTGGTTATTTTTTGCTTGCTAGATGTGCCAATTGGTTGCTGAAGACATTATAGAAATGTCTGGGATGTGTGTGAAGGATCAGTTATCAGAGCCCCAAGGTTTGATAGTGAAGAATTGCAAACCATTGGCTGAGCTGAACACAATGTTACTGTTTAATATTTGTTAGTTGACTCGAGGGGAAAAACACCTCTATTTCATCAAGACAATTTATTCAATCTGTTTGACCTCAAATCAAGCAGACCCAATAGTTGGCTATTGACTGAAATTTTCAATTCCAACTGTTTTGAGATAGTGATTTCCCATATGTTGCATCAGAATCACCTGGGCAACTTTTTAGAATACAGATTCTCTCACTTCCCCTTTTCCTTCCCTCCAAGGTTCTGATTTAGTAGGTCTGGGGTGAGGCCTGGGGATCTGAATTTTGCAAGCACCCAGGTAATTATTATGCACAGTTAAATTAGCAGCTGCTAACACAGATCAATATTAAATAAATCTAATAATAGGTTTAATTTTTTTAAGCCTATGAAACAAATTATTTTTTCCCCCTATTTAAAACCAAAGGAGATTCCTAGAGCTCTACTCCCCTACTTTCAAGTGTCCTGCCTTGGAGGATCGCTAGAATGTCCCAGATCTTGTTGGCTGTTGTTTCTCCCCCATCTTATCCCTGGTAAGCATCTTCTGTGGGACGTTCCCTTGATGAAATATGAAGACTGCATTACTTGCCATGATGTCAGTGAGAATTCTCTGCTGGGAATAGAGGAACTCGTTTTTCTCCTGATTTCAAGGATGTGGAGGCTCTAAAGGCAATGAAGGAAACACAAGAAATAAGCAGGTGGCTTTAGTATAAATTATTAATTCAGAAAGGAAAAAGGGCATAATTTGCGTCTAGATCATATTCCAAGAGATATACCTGACCTAACTAATATTCTCCTTTCCTTAAAAGATCACTTGTTTTTCCAATAGTATAGGCAAGGCAGACTCTGATCCTGAATGAGTTTGAATTCAGAGTGTTTTTCCAGTTTGGAAGCAGAACCCTGGCACTGTAAATGTTTTATTTAATGTAACAATGCAGTGAGAGGCCCCACTGCTGTTAGGAAAGTTATAAATAGTTATCTAAGTCATCAAACCCAATATATTTTAATAAAAATAATGCCTTGAGTTAAAAATAAACCCATGGAAATCCACATAGAGGAATTTTATGTGTAGTAAACACATTTTGGGGGAAGAATAATAACATTTAAAATGTTCAAAGCACATTGCAAAGTGATAAAAACAAAAAGCATATACTAGCATGAACCAAATTTTGGCAGAAAAACCCAAATAGAAAAAAAATTGGCTAGCAGGAACACTCCAAAAGTACTATCAGTGGTTATTTCTGGATGATAAAATTAATTACAGTAATTTTTATTTATCTTATATCATAATAGTCCCTTTATTTTCTAAACTTACTACACAAAACATAACTTTCTAATCAGAAGACAAACCAATTTATTTTGTAAAGAATATCCACATATATAATACCTTAGGTATTAGTCCATTTTCATACTGCTATGAAGAAATACCTGAGACTAGGTAATTTATAAAGAAAAAGAGGTTTAATGGACTCACAGTTCCACATGGGTGGGGAGGCCTCACAATCATGGCAGAAGGTGAAGGAGGAGCAAAGGCATGTCTTACATGGTGGCAGGTAAGAGAGAGCTTGTACAGGGGGACTGCCCTTTATTAAACAGTCAGATCTCGTGAGACTTATTAACTATCATGAGAACAGCATGGGAAAAACCTGCCTCCATGATTCAATTACCCCCTACCAGGTCCCTTCCATTACACATGGGGATTATGGGAGCTACAATTCAAGATGAGATTTGGGTGGGGACACAGCCAAACCATCTCACCTTAGATATTCACCTAACTTTTATTTATCTATACCCATACAAACGTTTGAATCCTGGATAAAGAATGCAGATAGAAGTTTCTTTAAAGACATGAGGCTGTAGGGTCAAATAAGAAGGAAACTGGGGCCTGGGGTTGCAAGGATGGCAAATGCCTGGCAAGCTTGGGGTCAACTACCACCTTCCATATGAAACCCCTGGCAGATATTATCATTGGCATTGATCCTCTTTCCCATAGAAACTTGGTATCAAATTTCCCCAAATCCCACCAATTACCAGTAGTTGTTTGGAGAAGGCACACAGGGAGCAGCTTACTGGTCTTTGCTGGCTTAATATAGAGTCCCTGCCCCAAGGCCCTATATATAATGAGGAGACACAGCAAATATAAAAAAAGAAAAGCATAGGATTGAATTCCCAAGTCGAAATCACAAGAGAAAGAAGAAATGTCACAAGGCTGTCCATGATTAATTACCAAATGAATGGTGGGAGAAGATCATTTTATTTTGGGTTGGTGAGAACATAAAATATTTTCCGATATGTACCAGCTATGTCTATATGATGTCAAAATTTCCGAAAGAAAAATGTCTGTCTCGGGGCAGCCTCCTTCCCACTCCTGATCAGAGCTGACACGCATCTAGTCAAACAGTGAACTTGTTGCACTTCAGCATGTTGGTTTATCTCTCTGTTTTTTTTTCTTTAAAGTGAGTTGGCAGGCTTTGCTATGAGAGGTTGTGGCAAATGTGATAATATGTAAATATTTTGCAACTGTAGGAGAAAGGCATGAAGGTTATTTAAGTATAGTAAAAATCCACTTTAAAACTGTCTTTTATTTTCATAGACTCAGTTTATTCCAAGTTTCAAATGATAACCTCTCTTCTGCTGTGATAAAGCATTCTTTTCACTGTGTTTGGGATGGTTCACAAAACAGATGAATTGTGACATGATAATTAAACTCTAACCCCCCTCTCCCCTACTTGTAGGGTGTCTGTATTGCTTTTCCTTTGTATGTTGATATAGTTACAGAATAGACTAAAGCATATTGCAGAAGCCATAGGACAGTTATTGAATGAATGAATGCAAGTTTTATTGCTTTCCAATAATGGACTATGACAACTTCACTTTAATTTGTGAAAGCACAGTATTTTGTCATGAGGTTTCATAGCAGCAGAACATTTCATATACATTTTGGGCTGCTTGCCAAATGAGGAAGAACATGAGGGCAGAGATGAATATACCATATAATGCCAATATGTGGGCATTTTCACATATATATTTCACAATACTTTTTCAGGGTTGTACTGGTAGTCAGAAAACCTAGCAGTTAGTCCCAACTTGGCCACTTACTAGTTATAAGTCCTTGGGTATTGTGAACCCCTGTTTTGTTTTATTTTTTTCTACACCCAACTCCCACTTCTCCTTTATTAGGATAATAGTAGCCCAATACTCATTTGAATAACTGCCCTTTTGCTATTCATTGCCCATCTCTGAGGGACTGGCGTACAAATGGACCTGGTCAACCAGAGCAATAATGACTGAGAGATGAGTACGAAATCCAAACTGGGCCACTTAGAGTGACTCCTGAGATATTACTAGAACTTTTAGGAGGAATTATCATTTACATTGGATCTTAAACCTGTAGATATAAAGAAATACCTGAGGCTGGCTAATTTGTAAAGAAAAGAAGTTGATTTGGCTCACAGTTCTGCAGGGTACAAGGCATGGCACCAGCATCTGCTCAGCCTCTGGTGAGGCCTTAGGAAGCTTATAGTCATGGCAGAAGATGAAGGGGGAGCAGGTGTGTCACATGATTGGGGGCTAGAGGGAGGAAGAAGGAGGAGGAAGAGGAGGAGAGGGAGGACGAGGAGGAAGTTCGAGGTTTTTTTTTAGACAATCAGATCTTGCATGAACTCATGGAGTGAGAACACACTCATTGCCATGAGGATGACACCCAGACATTCATAAGGTATCAGCCCCCATGACCAAAACACCTCCCCAGGCCTCACCTCCAACTTTGGAGATCACATTTCAATGTGAGATTTGGAGCAGACAAAACATCCAAATTATAGCAATGGCCATCTCAACACTCTTGGGAGCATCTGCCTAAGAATAAAGCCAAACTAGAAGAAGAGATACAAAAGAAGAGAAAGACATATTCTAGACAAATATGACTTGATTACCAAGACTCAGCCACTACTAAAACTAGAAATACCTCACTGGGCCTCAGAGTCCTGTGAGTCAGTAAGTTAGTTGATTTGCTTAAACTTTGAGTTAGGTTTTTGTGATTTGCAGCCAGGGTTTTAACCAATTGGGCATTATTCCCCTTGTGTGATTCAGGTTTCTTTTCTTTCAAGGGTTAGACATTTTAAAAAATTATTATTTTGCTTTCTAATTAAAAAATCAATATATGCTCATTGTAAAATGATAACATTATAGTGAAGGATTATTAGGTTTTATCTGCACTTATCAGTTATTTATCACTGTGTAACAAATCTCACCCAAATCCAGTGGCTTGAAATAATAAGTGTTTATTATTGCCCATGACTCTAGATGTTAGTTAGGTGGTTCTGTTATTCTGATCCAGGCTTAGCAGATCTAACTGAGGTTGCTTATGTGCCTGTGATCAGCTGGTATATTAGCTGAGTGCTGACTGCCGGGGCAGGGGGAGAATGGGGTGTCCAGACTGTATTTCTCTTATCATCCAGCAGACTAGCTTGAGGCTTGTTCTCATTGAGGTTGAATAGGGCCTTAAAAGAGCAAGTGAAAGACTTTTGAAGCCTAGGTTTGTGACCGACATGCCTTTACTCCTGCTGCTTCTATTGGCCAAAGCAAGTCACAATGCCAGCCCATGTTCAAGGAGAGAGGAAATGGACTCCACATCTCTGTAGGAGGAGTTGCAAAATCACATTGCAAGCAGCAGAGATATGGGAAAGGGAATAACTGAGGCTAGTTTTGTAATTTATATATTACTTCATTCTCTCAGAAATAATCGTTGTTAATATATTAATGTACAGTCTTCTGGATTTCTCCACAATACATATCCTCTACTCTATTTTCTAGAATATATAATATATATACTTCCAAAAAACGTATTTTCTACTTAGTTTTATTTTTGTGGTTATGTTGACAGGCAATTGATAGGTGTATTATCCTGCAATTTACAGTTTTCAACTTGACAATATGTCTTGGAACATATTTCCATGTCTACACACATTAAGCTCTTCTAAGAGATTGAATATAGATGATTTCATTGGCTCTGACCTTCTGGGACTCTGGAATTCTATCGCTCATTATGAACCAAATTCCCAAAATCCTCAAGCTCATATCCTCAGAGTGACAGAAGAACTGCTAGATACCCAAGTAGCTAAAAAGTTGAGCCTATAATCCTGACTGGGCATATGTGTCAATTTCAAGTATTGAGTGATTTTGCCCTGGCTGGTTAGAAAATTACTTAGCATTATTATTATTAATTATAATGATAATTAAAAGATGGTTTCTGTTGAAATCCCAGTAATTGACTCTCATTAGCCCATGAAAGAATGTGCTGATTGTTCCAGATACATTGCTTGTCTTCTGGTTTGCACCAATTCAGCAAATAAGCTAAAATTGGAAGACAGAACAAGCTGCTAAGAATAGGTAACCCAGTTGTAGTAAGTCAAGTGCTCACCAAACGGATCCCACAGCAATCAAGTTAATGAAGGACTGGACTCTGGCTTCTTTCCAGCTACTTGGTTTTGATAAATCAATGAAATCTTTAGGGCTGTTAACGTTTCTTCAAAGCATGCCCTCATAGTTCTTAAGCATCTTCAGCCTCAAGACAGCTTATATTGTAGAAACTGGCTTTGGGAATCTGAAGGATTCTTTTATGTTATGATTAAGATCTTTTTGGAAATTTTAGTTAATAAATGTTAGCTAAAAAATAAGGCAGTTATGGATCCTTTGGTAAGTAATTCATTACTAAAATAATATCCTTTCAATCTCTTTCCTTTCCAAAGTAAACTTTGGTAATGTCATCAGTGACACCGACTGACAATTGATCAGATCAATGTGACATGAGCTCGGCTTCCGTTCCAAGATGGCAGAATAGGAACAGCTCTGGTCTGCAGCTCCCAGCGTGATCGATGCAGAAGATGGGTGATTTCCGCGTTTCCAACTGAGGTACCTGGTTCATCTCACTGGGACTGGTCAGAAAGTGGGTGCAGCCCACGGAGGATGAGCGGAAGCAGGGTGGGGCATTGCCTCACCTGGGAAGCGCAAGGGGTCAGGGGATTTCCCTTTCCTAGCTAAGGGAAGCCATGAGAGACTTTACTGGGAAAATCGGGACACTGCCACCTAAACACCGAGCTTTTCCAATGGTCTTAGCATATGGCACACCAGGAGATTATATCCCACGCCTGGCTCAGCAGGTCCCACACCCATGGTGCCTTGCTCACTGCTAGTCTGAGATCAAACTGCTTGACTGCAAGCCTGGCTGGGGAAAGAGCATCTGCCATTGCTGAGGTTTGAGTAGGTAAACAAAGCAGCCAGAAAGCTCGAACTGGGTGGAACCCACTGCAGCTCATGGAGGCCTCCCTGCCTCTGTAGACTCCACCTCTGGGGGCAGGGCATAGCTGAACAAAAGGCAGCAGAAACTTCTGCAGACTTAAACATCCCTGTCTGAGATTCAAAGAGGAGCTGGTACCATTCCTTCTGAAACTATTCCAATCAATAGAAAAAGAGGGAATCCTCCCTGACTCATTTTATGAGGCCAGCATCATCCAGATACCAAAGCCTGGCGGAGACACAACAAAAAAAGAATTTTAGACCAATATCCCTGATGAACATCGATGCAAAAATCCTCAATAAAATACTGGCAAACTGAATCCAGCAGCACATCAAAAAGCTTATCCACCATGATCAAGTGGGCTTCATCCCTGGGATGCAAGGCTGGTTCAACATATGGAAATCAATAAACGTAATCCATCACATAAACAGAACCAAAGACAAAAACCACATGATTATCTCAATAGATGCAGAAAAGGCCTTTGACAAAATTCAACAGCTCTTCATGCTAAATACTCTCAGTAAACTAGATATTGATGGAACGTATCTCAAAATAATAAGAGCCATTTATGACAAACCCACAGCCAGTATCATACTGAATGGGCAAAAACGGGAAGCATTCCCTTTGAAAACTGGCACAAGACAGGGATGCCCTCTCTCACCACTCCTATTCAACATAGTGTTGGAAGTTCTGGCCAGGGCAATCAGGCAAGAGAAAGAAATAAAGGGTATTCAGTTAGGAAAAGAGGAAGTCAAATTGTCCCTGTTTTCAGATGACATGATTGTAAATTTAGAAAATCCCATCATCTCAGCCCAAAATCTCCTTAAGCTGAGAAGCAACTTCAGCAAAGTCTCAGGATACAAAATCAATGTGCAAAAATCGCAAGCATTCTTATACACCAATGCAGATAAACAGAGAGCCAAATCATGACTGAACTCCCATTCACAATTGCTTCAAAGAGAATAAAATATCTAGGAATCCAACTTACAAGGGATGTGAAGGACCTGTTCAAGGAGAACTACAAACTACTGCTCAATGAAATAAAAGAGAACAAAAACAAATGGAAGAACATTCCATGCTCATGGATAGGAAGAATCAATATCATGAAAATGGCCATACTGCCCAAGGTAATTAATAGATTCAATGTCATCCCCATCAAGCTACCAATGACTTTCTTCACAGAATTGGAGAAAACTACTTTAAAGTTCATATGGAACCAAAAAAGAGCCCGCATTGCCAAGACAATCCTAAGCCAAAAGAACAAAGCTGGAGGCATCACGCTACCTGACTTCAAACTATACTACAAGGCTGCAGTAACCAAAACAGCATGGTACTGGTACCAAAACAGAGATATAGACCAATGGAACAGAACAGAGCCCTCAGAAATAATACCACACATCTACAACCATCTGATCTTTGACAAACCTGACAAAAGCAAGAAATGGGGAAAGGATTCCCTGTTTAATAAATGGTGCTGGGAAAACTGGCTAGCCATACGTAGAAAGCTGAAACTGGATCCCTTCCTTACACCTTATACAAAAATTAATTCAAGATGGATTAAAGACTTAAATGTTAGACCTGAAACCATAAAAACCCTAGAAGAAAACCTAGGCAATACCATTCAGGCCCATAGGCATGGGCAAAGACTTCATGACTAAAACACCAAAAGCAATGGCAACAAAAGCCAAAATTGACAAATGGGATCTAATTAAACTAAAGAGCTTCTGCACAGCAAAAGAAACTACCATTAGAGTGAACAGGCAACCTACGGAATGGGAGAAAGTTTTTGCAATCTACCCATCTGACAAAGGGCTAATATCCAGAATCTACAAAGAACTTAAACGAAATTACAAGAAGAAAATCAAACAACCCCATCAACAAGTGGGCGAAGGATATGAACAGATACTACTCAAAAGAAGACATTTATGCAGCCAAAAGACACATGAAAAAATGCTCATCATCACTGGTCATTAGAGAAATGCAAATCAAAACCACAGTGAGATACCATCTCACACCAGTTAGAATGGCAATCATTAAAAAGTCAGGAAACAACAGGTGCTGCACAGGATGTGGAGACATAGGAACACTTGTACACTGTTGCTGGGACTGTAAACTAGTTCAACCATTGTGGAAGTCAGTGTGGCGATTCCTCAAGGATCTAGAACTAGAAATACCATTTGACCCAGCCATCCCATTACTGGGTATATACCCAAAGGATTATAAATCATGCTGCTATAAAGAAACATGTACACGTATGTTTATTGAGGCACTATTCACAATAGCAAAGACTTGGAACCAACCCAAATGTCCGTCAATGATAGACTGGATTAAGAAAATGTGACACATATACACGATGGAGTACTATGCAGCCATAAAGAAGGATGAGTTCATGTCCTTTGTAGGGACATGGATGAAGCTGGAAACCATCACTCTCAGCAAACTATCGCAAGGACAGAAAACCAAACACCTCATGTTCTCACTTATAGGTGGGAATTGAACAATGGGAACACTTGGACACGGGATGGTTAACATCACACACCAGGACCTGTTGTGGAGTGGGTGGAAGGGGGAGAGATAACATTAGGAGAAATACTTAATGTAAATGATGAGTTAATGGGTGCAGCATAGCAACATGGCACATGTATACATATGTAACAAACCTGCACATTGTGCACATGTACCCTAGAACTTAAAGTATAATAATAATAATAATAAAATGTGGCACATATACACCATGGAATACTATACCAGCCATAAAAAAGGATGAGTTCATGTCCTTTGTAGCGACATGGATGAAGCTGGAAACCATCATCCTCAGCAAACTATCGTAAGGACAGAAAGCCAAACACCGCATGTTCTCACTCATAGGTGGGAATTGAACAATGAGAACGCTTGGACACAGGGCAGGAAACATCACACACCAGGGCCTGTCGTGGGGTGGGGGTTGGGGGAGGGATAGCATTTGGAGAAATACCTAATGTAAATGATGAGTTAATGGGTGTAGCAAACCAACACGGCACATGTATACATATGTAACAAACCTGCACGTTGTGCACATGTACCCTAGAACTTAAAGTATTAAAAAAAAAGTGACATGACCTAAGAGCAGGTGGACTTCTGTATCTTCCGTAAAGCAATTTTTTTCATTCATTCATTTGTTCAATGAAAAAATGTTGAGCATGTGCTGTTTGCTAAGCCTGCATTATGATCTGGGAATATAAAGATGAATAAAACACACTTTTTGTCCTTAGGTCTTACATTTTTGTAGAGGGAGATTGATTCTTACAATGTGATATGAGAGTTCCATGAACAGAAATTGATTTAGTAGTCTAAAAGAAAATTGAGATGGCTTATAAAGATACTTAAAATATGGCCTGAATTACATTACAATAATATAACAGCCCATGCTTATGTAATATTTCTATCCTTCCTAAGCACTTTGTATGAATTAACTTATTTAATTCCCATAAAGCCCTGTAAGTGCCATTATTTTCTTCATTTCACAGAAAATACACATGAGGCATAGAAAGGTTATGTACTGTATTAGTCTGGGTTCTCCAAGGAAACAGAATCAATAGCGTGTGTGTGTGTGTGTGTGTGTGTGTGTGTGTGTGTGTGTGTATGTGTGTGTGTGTATAGGAGCCAGTTTCCTAAATTGGCTCCTGAAATGTGCAGGGCAGGCCGGCAGGCTAGAGACCCAGGGAAGAGATGTGCTTGAGTGTGAAGACAGTCTGGAGGCAGGATTCCTTTTTCCTCAAGGGACTTCAGTCTTTTTCTCTTAAAGCCTTCAACTGATTGGATGAGGGCCACCTCCATTATGGAGAGTAATCTGTTTTTCCCAAAGTCTATTGATTTCTATGTTAATCGCATCTAAAAAATAACCTTCACAACAAAACCTAGACTGATGTTTGACCAAAAATTGGATACTTTGACCTAGCCAACTGGATGCATAAAATTAACCGTCACAGTTCACCCTTTGCTGACTTTGTACCCACACACATCTTCTCAAACCAGACTTACTCCCCAAATAAAGACAATAACAAGGTCGTACTTCTGCTTAACATGATACAAATATCCTGTATACAACTGAAAATCCACTAACCCTTTCCCATTGGGGAAAAGGATGCAATGTCCCTGGGTAGTATTCACTTTTCCTTGATATGATGTAACTTAAATACTATGGTATAAAGTTAACAATACTTAAATACTGTAATACAAAGTCAATACAGCTTATGTTGTATGACAAGGAGATAAAAGGAAGAAAACAAAGATATTTGAATATGTGTATATATTATGTATATATGTGAGTGTATGTACATCCTCTCATTCTCTAGGGCCTCTCCAAGAGGGCTCTCTTCCACCAAGCTAGCCTGCACATATTTCTACACACACACACACACACACACACACACACACACATATATATATACACAATATATATATACATACACAGCTAGGTACACACACACACACACACATTCATAATAAAATGAGGAAATGCTTATAACAATTACAGGCCTCTTTTCTGCAGTAAGTCAGATAGTCATAGCTGGTCTTTACCTTCTTTCATTACGCTTTCCATATTCCCTTTGCTTGCCCTCAGCAAACACCTCAGCTTGTCATGATTCTATTATTAAAGATTAGAATAAATTTACAATTCCATTACTGAAGGATATGGGACGTTAGTAGTCCTGCCTGAATTGGGTTGGTATAGTTTTCCATTGTCTTTAATCACAGGGGATGGTAGTGTTAGGAGACACCCTAAGAGAGCTCCTGTACTCCAGCCATACCCTTTCTTACCTTCAAAGTGGAGTAGCAGTCCAATTTCTCCCTGGTGATCAGGATCAATCACCCCAGCCATCAGAGCCACTCTCTTCTTTGCTCGTTGATTCAGAGGCATGAGGAGCCCAAAGTGTCAGAGCAGCGGTCTTAAATTCCAGGTCAGTGGATTAATTTTTGTTTCTCCTGGTGGAAGTATTCCTCCTTTTAGGATAAGGCCTCTAGATTGGCAGAGAATAAGGTCTCAGGGACAGAAAATGAAACTTTTGGTAGTGGATCACTAGGGGTCTATGCCAGTAGACCACCCCTTGATTCCTGGACCCATGAATGCTAGCTATGGGAGAAGTAACACCATATACTGGATACTGATTCAGAGCATTTACTGCCTCCTGGAGCACTTTGTCCCAGACCTTCACTGTAGCTGGCACTGTAACTGAGTCTTCGAAAGGCTATTCCGTCATTCTATCAAGCCAGCTGCTTCAGGATGGTGAAGAATATGGTAAGATTAGTGAATCCCATGAGCCCCACTTCATTTGCTGTGAAGTGAGTTGCTTGATCAGAAGCAATTGTAGAATGCCATGAGGGTGGATAAGTATTCCGCTAGTCTACAGATGGTAGTTCTGGCAGAAGCATTACATTTAGGGAAGGCAAATGTGTATCCAGAATAAGTGTCTATCCCAGTAAGGACAAAATGCTGCTCTTTCTATGGTGGAAGGGGTCCACTGCAATCACCCTGCCACCAAGTAGCTGGTTGATCACCGAGGGAAAAATGCTGCCATCTTGGGGACTTAGTGGTTATCTCTGTTGCTGGCAGAGGTTTCAGTCACACAGGTAGTAAGGGAATGTGCTTCCAAAATCATGTCTTAACTGTTTTGCCTTAGCTGACCTGTTACAGTGAGAAGTGATCCAAAAAGCAGGCACAAAAAATAAAGTCCCCTCTCTAAAATTCCATGTGTTGAAGATGAAGTACTGAATAAGATTGAGGAAACCTGACTTTGATTACAAGTCAGTCAGAAACTTCTTATACTTCTTGGGAAGCTTCCTTTCTCCTTCTGTGCCTCATCTGTAAAATAATGGTCTTCATTTAAATCATGGATCTTGCACTAGAAATACCATTTGACCCAGCAATCCCATTACTGGGTATATACCCAAAGGATTATAAATCATTCTACTATAAAGACACATGCACACGCATGTTTATTGCAGCACTGTTCACAATAGCAAAGATTTGGAACCAACTCAAATGCCCATCAATGATAGACTGGATAAAGAAAATGTGGCACATATACACCATGGAATACTATGCAGCCACAAAAAAGGATGAGTTCATGTCCTTTGTAGGGACATGGATGAAGCTGAAAACCATCATTCTCAGCAAACTACCACAGGAACAGAAAACTAAACACTGTGTGTTCTCACTCATAAATGGGAGTTGAACAATGAGAACACATGGACATAGGGAGGGGAACATCACACACCAGGGCCTGTCGAGGGGTGGGGGGATAGGGGAGGGATAGCATTAAGAGAAATACTTAATGTAGATGACGTGTTGATGGGTGCAGCAAACCACCATGGCACGTGTATAATGTATACCTTGTAACAAACCTGCACGTTCTGCACATGTATCCCAGAACTTAAAGTAAAAAACAAACAAACAAACAAACAAACAAAACAAGCTAACTTAAAAAAAGAGAAAGAATGATTTACAGAGGCCAAACAGGTGAATTTCTGAGTGCCCTCCCCTGGCCATCCCACCAAGAGAAACTTAACTTTTATCTAGTTTCATCTATTATAGTTTGAAGATCTCTAGACTAGAAGATTGAGACCTTTTGTTTTTTAACATTATAGAGGAATGAGACTGAGATTTGGCCAACATTACTATATTAGAAGTTCCTCTCCTTATGAGCGTTCAACCTAAAAATTGCTTTCGGTTACTTATGACTTAGTGGCTTAACACAACCATGTATTTTCTTACAATTCTCTCAGTTGACTAGGGGGTCTTTTCCCCAACATGGTGTTGGCTGGGATACCTCATGAAGTTACAGTCAGCTGGTGGCTAGGCTCGGCTGTGATCCTCAAGCCCTTCCCTCACATATCTGAGGTCTCAGTGCTTGCTGATTAGGAAGGCTTTGTTTTTCACCTCCTGTTCTCTCATCTTCCAGGGCCTCTCCCTGAGCCCCCTCTTTCACCAGGCTAGCCTGTACTTGGGTAGCATGATGAACTCTTTAGGTAGCATTTCTGCCATATTTGATTGGTCAGTGAAAATCACAACAATCCAGATTCAAAGAGAAAAGAGATAGACCCCCACCTCTTGGTGGAAGAAGCTGCATGTGTGTACACGGAGGAGAGGAATTATTGGTGGCTTCACTTTGTTTCCATTGATTTTTCTCTATTGTTTCTCTCTTCTCTGTTTCATTAATTTCTGCTCAAATCTTTGCTATTAATATTTCCTTTGTTCTATTCACTTGGAATTAGCTTACTCTTCTTTTTCTAGTATCTTAAGGTTGAAGGTTATGTTATCAAGATCAAGACTTTCTTCTCTTTTAATGTAGGCATTTACAGCTATAAATTTCCCTCCAAGCACTATTTTATTACCTGCATCCTGTGAGTTTTGATGTGTTGTGTTTTCATTGTTATTCATCACAAAGAATTTTCTAATTTCCCTTGTGATTTCTTTGATCTATTGGTTATTTAGATATGTGTTGTCTAATTTTCACATATTTGTGAATTCCCCAAATTTCTTTTCGTTAATGATTTCTCATTTTATTTCATTGTGGTTACAGAATATACTTAGTATGACTTCAGTCGTTTTACATTTTTTGAGAATTGTTTTATGGCCTAGATATGGCCTATCCTGGAGACTGTTCCATGTGTAATTGAGAAGAATGTGTATTCTGCTATTGTTGGTGGAATGTTTTGTAGATTTCTGTTAGGTCTAATTGGTTGATAGTATTGTTCAAGTTTTCTTTTTCCTTGTTGATCTCCTGTCTAGTTGTTCTATACATTATTGAAAGTAGAGTATTAAAGTCTTTATTATTGCTGAATTGTCTATTTCTTCCTTCACTTCTGTTAGTTTTACTTCTTATATTTTGAGGCTCAGTTTTAGATGAATAAATGTTTATCTTTCTGTATGACTGGCCCTTTTGCCATCATAAAATATCCCTTTTTATCTCATAACTTTTTATTTTTTTTTTGAGATGGAGTCTTGCTTTGTCCCTCAAGCTGGAGTGCAGTGGCGCGATCTTAGCTCACTGCAACCTCCACCTCCTGGGTTCAAGTGATTCTCCTGCCTCAGCCTCCTGAGTAGCTGGGATTACAGGTGCCCGACACCATACCCCGCTAATTTTTATGTGTGTGTATTTTTAGTAGAGACAGGGTTTCACCATGTTGGTCAGGCTGGTCTCAAACTCCTGACCTCAAGTGATCCACCTGCCTTGGCCTCCCAAAATGCTGGGATTACAGATGTGAGCCACCATTCCCGGCCTCTCAAAACTTTTTATTTTAAAGTTTATCTTAACACTTTTTGTTCCAAAGTGTATTTCTCTAATATTAATGCAGTTTTAAAAATGGTTGCTCTTTAAATAATATGTCTTTTTCTATCCTTTTACTTTCTCTGTATTGTGTCTTTGAATTTAAAGCATGTCTCTTATAGAGGTATATAGTTGGATCTTGTTTTTTTTATCTATCTCTGCCTTTCAACTGAATTGCTTAATGCATTCACATTTACTATTATTACTGTCTAGTTGGATTTATGTCTGCCATTTTGCTTTTTACTTTCTATAGGGCTCATGTCTTTTTTGTTCCTCTATTCTTCCTTTACTGCTTTCTTTTGCATTAAGTATTTTCTAATAAAACACTTTAATTCCTTTAATGATATTCTCACTTTTTATTTTTAAGTTATTTTCTTAGTAGTTGATCTAGGGTTTACCACACACATTTGAAATAATCAGAATTGACTTAGATTTATACCAACTGAATTCCAGTGAGATACAGAAACACTACTTTGATATAGTTCTATTCTGTTTTTCCCCTTTTAAGTCATTATTATTATATGTATTATGTTCATATATGTTGCAAACTGTATTTTTTGTAATTATTGCTTTATATAATTTTATGTCTATTAAGGAAACTGAGCCTGGGCAACATAGCAAGTTATCATCTCTACAAAAACAAACAAACAACCATCAGAAAAATTAGCCATGCAAGGTGGCACATGCTTGTGGTCCCAACTACCTGGGAGACTGAGGTGGGAGGATCACGTGAGCCCAGGAGGTCAAGGCTGTATTGAGCCATGTTCATGCCACTGCACTCCAACCTAGGCAACAGAGCAAGCTCCTGTCTCAAAAAATAAAATAAAATAAAAAATAAAGAAAGAAAGAAAAGAAAAAGAAAACAGAGAAGACAGGAGAGTACATACATGTTTGTAGAGTTTTTTTTTTAATATTAATCATCCTATCTGCCATTTCTGTTTCTTTTCATTTATTTCTGTGGATTCAAGTTACTGTTTGGTGTCATTCCTTTTCTTCAATACAGCTTTGCCCTTACCCACCATCTTTGTGTTCTTATTGTCAAATATTCTGTACTTCTGTGTGTTACAAGCCTATAGCAATACAATTATATACATATGTTTTATACAGGTGCTTTGTAAATCAGTTATTACAAGAGGAGAAAGGAGAAGAAATTCATACTATCTTTTATAATAACATAATTACTTTTACCAGTGTACTTGTTTTTTATTTTGTTTTTCATGTGGATTTGAATTAGCATCTGGGATTACTTCGTTTCAGCCTAAAGAACTTCCATTAGTATTTCCTGTAAGGGGAATTTGTGACAATCTTTGGGGAAAATCTATGTCAAATAGTTTCAGAATTCAATAAAGCCACACACTGGACTAGAAGCATATCAACTGTACCCACCACCAACAGATGGCATTAGAGGTTCCATCAATAGCATCATCAGTACACTTATGATGACCTTCCTTGCAGCCATAACTGTAAGTAGAGGGAATTTCAATGATGCTGAGGCGAGTGCAAAGCAATCCTTCTGGGAAGAGACCCTAGGAAGGTCAGAGGAAGGGAAACTCTCAAGCATGGGCCAGGGCTGCAGAGCTGTCAAAGTGTCTCCCTTGGTTGATATGATCCACAAAGCAGAGGAAAGGAGGCTTACAGCTCTGGCTCCTTCCCAAGACAAAGAAAATATTCCCAATTATACTGTGGCAGCTTGAAAATAGGTCATATCTACTGTCTCAGTTATTTTGCAGTGACCCTGTAATCTAAACCAGCTTCCTTGCTCTGTATTTAATTTGGAAAAATCATTAAAACAAAACAGAACAAGAGCCCAATTAGGAAAGACCTGCTGCATAACAGATAATTATTGCTTTTCCAGAAAATGAGTATCTTTGGCTATACCTGGATTGGGAGAGGCAGTGCCAAACACCCTGGGTCTGGTACTGTGCTGGACATCATCAACAATTTCTCACTAATGTCTCATGAAAACAATGCTGTGAGTCAGATGTTATTATCTTCTGTTTATAGAAGCAGAATCTGGAGCCCTGAGAATTTAAGTAACTGAAATGTGGGTCCTTGTGTCCCAGATCTCGTGACAGTTGTAAGGGTCAAAACGGTAAATTTTAGATTGTGAAAGCACTTTTTAGCCCTTCTGGTTTAGCTAGGACCATTTTTCTTAATCAACATCCCATCTTTCTGCTTGCACCCAGTTTATGTTCTGTAGTTAACTCTTTTGTGTGTAGACTGATACCCTAATGTAAGTACATTCTATTGATTCAATGGTTTGCAAATTTTAGCAAAATAATGATTGCTTTCTAGTCTTCTCACTGATGCAAAGGAATGCATGGTGCCACATTTTTCTTCTCAGTAGTTAAAGCTTTAACTAGGATTTGTTTGTGTGTAAAGTTGTCTTGCAGCTCATGATACACTGAATGCTTTCATGGGAGCATTATAATAGAAGCTAATTAGATACCTGGTTGCTGGGTTAAAAAAATGCCAGTCTGGCTGCCAGGAGATCTTTGTTGCATTTCTATTTGTACCATGAACCATTGCATGACCTAGAGCAAGTCATTTCTCCATCTGGAAAAAGAGAGGGTTGTATTTGATACTACTAAGTTTCCATTGCCTCAGTACTAAGACTCTGTTGTGGCCTCATCAGATCCCTAGGGGTTGGGAGAAGAGCAACTTGACAGACCTGGAAGCTTGTTACTTGTCCCACCATCTCTGCAGCCACAGGACACACAAGCCAATTGCCTAGACACTTGCCTGTCTAACTTCTTCTTTCCCACCCAACTTGTCCATTTCCATTTGAAGCCTCATATATTGTTACTCTCTGAGTCCTTTGGTTTCTGAATTCATAAAGTCACTTTTTTGGCACCACTTTTCCCCCGAAACATTAATACAGTGGTCACACTTGCTGCCTTGTGTTGAGCCCCACTATATCCCTGTTATGTTCTGAATGCCTACTATATGCACTGCTAAAACCATTTTGCGTGGACAGTCTCATTTAACCCCCACAACATGCCCTTAAGGAGGGGTACCATTATAATCCCCATTGTAGAAATGAAGAAAATGAAGGCTGGAGAAGGTAAGAGGCAGAACTAACATTGGAACTTAGGATCTAACACCAGCACCTGTGCTGTTAGCCTTCAGGGCACCCCGCCCCCCCTGATAAGTGAAAGACCGGAAAGCGTCAGCACCGCTCACCTGGAGTGGGAGTTTTGAGGGTGAGGCTCTTCTTCCCAAACTGTGTGTCTACTTTGCTATGGGGGAGGAATTAAGTGAATATTAGAAAATCACAACAATGTCCAGTCTAAAGGTTTTGGGTAAAATTGCTAAAAATAATTTGTGTCCATACAGGAAGTTATCAGTAGTTCGTAACTAAGAGCTATTTAGGAAGGCAGGGGGCCAGAGCATAGAAAAGGTGACTTTGGTGTTTCCAAAGGCAGGTAGGAAAGATAGGACCTTCCCACTGAGTTGGAGGATCTGAGAATTAAGATCGACAGTTCAAGCTTTTGGCTATCATATCTCCTGTCACAATTACACCCAGCTGAATTATATATCCAAGCAAGTCCCTTCAAAATGGCTTCAAGGACTATTCCATCTTGGGAGTTCCCGGCGTTGTGGACCTCTGGCGTCATCCCTTTGGCCACAAGACCTGAGAGCTGCTCCAGCGAGCTCAGACCACCCCCCAGCCCGCCACCCAACATGAGATGCTTCTCATGGAAAATACTGAGTGAGGTAACAGAGGGGAGACACTTGTCCCTTCTTACCTTGCTTCCATTCTTTCAGTTGAAGGGATTTTAGGAAGAGGGAGGAGCATTACTCACAGAAAACTCCAAGCGTTAGACTTTGTGCTCAGGTTGTTCATAATTAGCTTGGGAATTAACATTAAGGAAGATTTATTACAATTTTGAAGATCAGGACCACTGATGTGCAATTGAAAAAGCATGAATTTTTCTATTGTTATTTTGGTGATGGAAAGAAGTTTTGTAGCAGAGCTCTCTGCTGACATATAATATTTCTCTGTACATCACATATCCTGGCTTAATATCTAGATGGCAGGTTATGTGTTGTGTTTGAGTGAACTTGGCACATACACAACTTGAATCAAGCTGAGCAAATTCTCATGTTGCCAAAACCAATCCCCTATTGGTGATTTACTCTCCACTTCTGCGTTGGTCCTCCACCTGGGAAACATGCACGTGAAGGAGATCTTCAGGCTACTTGCCAGTGCCTATTGTTCTCCAGGGACAATCTGACATTGTCTTTTATATGGAAAGGAAAATAGAGGTACTTATTTGAGAGTAAATAGCAAACATGCAAAATCTAGATTGTACCCCTCTATGTAGTGGAAAAAAGGCCCTAAAACATAATAAATAATAGTTCCTTCTATAGATACTTCTCAAAAAAAAGTGAAACTATTTTTTAGAATAAAGCACCTTGGGGTATAAACCTTTTAAGATTCTAATTTCAATAATATCTATGCAAATGATTTTATTTTTATTCCTTGTGCCAAATACAAATAATGATAGTCCGTTCCTAAAGCTTAACAAAGAGCTGTTCTAATGGTGTTGTTTTGGTTTTATGGATTCATTTAGCTAGAGGCACATGTTTACAATAGCCAAACAGGATTTTATGGAGTAATTAGTGGTTAGAAAGAAGCAAACATAAACATTTTTCAAAACAGAGGGGACCCAAGTGCTTCTGATAAGCAGATAGCTTGCAATGTTTTTCCCATTCCACAACAGTTGTCTACTCTGAACACTAGCTATAATTCCTACAGGTTCAAAGGCACTTATGTTCCTAAGCAGTGGTGCCAGGTAAGAGTGCCCTCATTGGCTTGGATAGGAAGACCTGGGTCTAAGATCAATCTTCCTTTAGACAAAGAAAGGTGTGGCTTTTGTGTTACGATTCAAAAAGTTCTGATGCTGGCACACATGCGGCTTGGAAAAGATCTAATGACATCATAATGTCCTTTTACTATACCTACCCCTCAATAGCTCATCAACAAGCTAAGTAAAAAGAATGTGCTTCCTAGGTAAATGCAACTTTAAGACAAATCAAGTTTTCACCCTCTAAAGACTGTTGACCACAATCCCCTAATATATGAAAATTCTGGAGCTAACTAGGTTTTGGAAAACCCTTCCCTCCCTAAAGGGATTTAACTGCATCATCAGTTTCTGTACTTATAACTCTGTCATAAGACAGTCTGGCTTTAAGTTTGGTCTCTGAACACATAGAAGCCCCTGTGAAGTGAGGATACTCCTTGAAGGATGCTTGGCTTTTAATGGTCCCTGCATCTTGCCTTCATGGTCTTGTGTAATCCTCTTCTCTTAGGAAGGATGGACCTAGTAACTTGCTTCTAAGGGATAGAATAGGGCAAAGTGATGGGATATCGCTTCTGGGATTGGGTTTTCAAAGTCTGTGATTTCTGTTTTGCTCTCAATCCCTCACTCTTTCTCATTTGCTTGTCCTGATGGTAGCCAGCTGCCATGTTCTTAACTGCCCTTCAGAGAAGTCCATGTAGCAAGAAGTGGAGGGAGTCCTTTTGCCAACACCCAGTGAGAAACTGAGACTCTCATTCTATAGCCTATGGGGATATGAAACCTGCCAACAATCATGTCAGTGAGCTTAGAAGTGGATCCTTCCCCAGTTGAGCTTTCAGATGAGACCCCAGCCCCAGAGAGACACCTTGATGGCAGCTTGAGAGATACTGAGACAGAGGCCCCTGTACACTGCTCCTGCATACCTGACCCAAAAAAACTCTGAGATAAAAAATGTTTTAAACCATTGAGTTTTAGGTCTCAAAGTAAAATGTCCAGCCTAAAGTAATATAATTATTAAAGCTGATTTCAATCTTTATCCTGAACCTTCAATTTTGTACTTTTTATTTCTTTGTCTTCCTTTGTTATATTCATAAAAATAAATGGCATATTTTGTTTTTTCACACAGGCATGTAGCATTTATTTGAATAATTATAATTTATTTCTGGCTAAAATTATATATACCTCTTTGGATCTTTCCTGGACCTTTTTTTCTAAAATCATATTGAATTCTTAAATATGAAAGAACCCTCTTTGCAAATAAAAGAAACCAAACTCAAGTTAAAGGAAGAAGAGACTTTATTAGCTCATGTGTCTGAAAAGTCCAGGACAGCGAATCCTGGCTTCAGTATGACTAGACGCAGGAGTTCAAATGTTGCCATCATGATTTAATCACTCTCTCTGTTTCTCCACTATCCTCAATCCCTGCTTTCCACACCTCTATCTCTGTATTCTGCCTTCTCTTATCCTGTCTTTATTCCCAGGGCAACTCTCTCTCTCCTGTTAGCTGAGATACCACTCCAAAGCTAGAAAATCCAGAGAAAAGGACATCATCTCTTTTCTCCAGAGTGGGCATTGATCTCCCTGGAGGTCTCTGATTGGCTCTGCTGAATCATATGTCATGTTCCTTGAACCAATCACTGTATCCAGGATATTCTGATGGGCCAGGTTGGACCACATATCTGGCCACGACACAGAAGACTCCAAGTTGCCTAGTAGATAACCCAGAAAAATCATGTGGCATTGGGAAGGAAAGAGTTCCTAAAAGGGAAAAAGAGTCCCAAGCAGTCAAAAGGTACCATAAGTACACTAAGTAGAAAGATAATTTATTAGAAAGAAATTGTTATTTGTTGCTACATACAATCACCGCAAACATAATGGCACAAAACAACAATAGTCATTTTTTATTATTGCTGATAGTCTTCTGGGCTGAATAGACTTAACTAGATGATTCTCACATGGGGTCATTAAAACAGTTGCAATGAAATGGTAGCTGAGCTGGTGTCACCTTGAAGGCATCCTCACTCATGTATTTGGTGCCTGGACTAGGATCACTCAAACAACTGTAATTCCTTTCTCTCTCTCTTCCTCTCTCTGTGGTCTCCCTATATGGTCTTTCCAGTATGGTGGTTATAGGTGGCCAGACTTCTTACATGGTGGCTCAGGGCTCCAGAGGCCTATGTCCCAAGAGGAGAGACAGCCCGGCGCCTTTTATGGATCTAGCCTCAGTAGTCACACACCACCACTTCCTCTGCCTTCTCTTTGTCAGAAGTGAGCCACGTTCAATGGGAGTGAAATAAGATTCCATTCTTGATGAAATACACATCCAATAATTTGTGGACACATTTTAAAACTATCACATTCAGATTTTAAAAACTGTTTTCTTTCTTTCTAGACCAGCATATAATTATGAATTATTCCCTGGTGAGGTCAAGATTTGACTGAGACCCAAGTGTGGTCGATAGAGGAAGGTGATAAAGTCATCAAATCCAAGGATTGAGGTTTCTAATTTCTGAACTAGAAAAAAAATTAAATTTATATTCTTAATCAGCACTTATAATCCTAATGAAACATGATTTAATACACAGAATGTATACACATGCAGATATGTGTTTGTTCGTTTGTTTATTGTCTTCAGCAATCCTCATGGTGAAGGGCGGCCAGGGCATGTGCTCATTTATAAGCCATTGTATTTCTCATGCATATGGAGGATTCTGGACATGTTCAGGGGTTTCTTTTCTTGTACAGATAATCATTTTTATTAAGGAAAGATATTCCAAGCAGTAGAATTGCTTTTTGCTCTGTGAATTTGTCTGCTCTCTGCATTCCACTATTTGTAATATATTTCCCAAGGTTTTCTATACTTACAGTTCTCTGTGTGTGTAAATAAATGATTTAAAATGTTTGATTAGTAAAACCAAGGGAAGTGGTCCTTCTTTTCTCTGTGAAAGAAACTTTAACGATTGGTCTTATCAACTGTATTTGCAACAAACTGGGATTGTGATGTTGGGTAAGTCATGTCATCTTTATGTGCCTCAGTTTGTTTGTTGGTTTACATTGGACATGGAGTTTAATGCATTCAGCTTATTGCACATATCTAAATACACAAACTTTACAACCTGAGGTTCAGCATGAAACAAACACAAAACAAAAGCCCTCCTGTCTGTGTACGTCACCAAATTCCTTCTAGATGTGCTTCAACCCCACAAATTTTAAAGTAGACATGCTCAGTCTCCCAGTAATTCTCTGCTGCCTCTGGGCCACTGCCATTTACTTTGATTCCTCCCCTGCTGACAAGATACAGGAAGAGATGAGGTGGCAAAATGGATTTTCTAATACCATTATTTCCCTACTGGTAAGATACAGGGAAAAGAGGAAAAACAACATGCATTTCACGGTATCATTTGGGGTTACTTGCTATGGTGTGAGCTGTGAATACAGCTGAGTCTCCTGATATTACAGTAATTGAGCTCATAAATGCAGGCAGAGTAACAAACCAGGCTGACTCTTAGGAAGGGAATCCTCTTAATATCTTTTATCTGTAAACAAGGTCCAAACTAGGGGAACATTGAAGGTCTGGTCAGCAGTAAGCCCTTGCTTTCAGAACCTTATTTACCCACTGCCTAGTACATAGTGGGAGTTCAATAAATATTCATTAAGTTAATTTATCCAAGTAGCAAATTCTGTGGAAAGAGTATAGCTGTTGAATGCAGACAGACTTGAGTTCCATTCTCAGTTCTTCTTTTAACTATTACCTTGGAAGTATTACATGTGGCTTCTGTATCAATCCAGATGCAACTGAAAAAAACAGAAATCACTCAATGTATTTGAAATTGAAGGGATATAGTGCAGATAATTCATTACACAGATGATAGAAGCGAGGCTGAGAAGCCAACAGGAGTCATTGAGGCAACCCAAACAGAAGCAATGGAAGGAAGCTTATCCCATGCCTGGGGTGGGGGTCAAAGAGAGGAGGTAAAATTACTGAAGCTCTGGGCCTGGGGTCAACTGACACGAGGCCACCAGCCAAGAAAATTTTGGTTAAGGTTTCTTTCTGTTTTTTTTTTTTTTTTTTTCTGAGATAAGTTCTCACTCTGTTGCCCAGGCTGGAGTGCAGTGGCACAATTTTGGCTCACTGAAGCCTCTGGCTCCTGGGTTCAAACGATTCTGCTACCTCAGCCTCCCGAGTAGCTGGGATTACACGCACGTGCCACTAGGCCCAGCTGATATTTGTGTTTTTAGTAGAGATGGGGTTTTGCCATGTTGGTCAGGCTGGTCTTGAACTCCCATCTCCTTGGCCTCCCAAAGTTCAGGGACTACAGGTGTGAGCCACCGCGCTCAGCCTGAGCTCTCATTTTTATAGTTTGTATCATGGAACAGAAAATAAAGTAATTAAAAATATGTATTTTTTTCAAAGTACCTGTGTCTCCATCCCAAACCTAAACCTAGTAGTCTCACTTTGTTATGAATTACTGAATAAGACAAATGTAATCAGTGAAGAGAAAGCCTGGTTCATGGCAGATCCTTAATAAGTTTTTCAGCAAAATAAAATTGTAATGGAAACATCTGTGGAGAAGGTAGCGTATTAAGTTGCTGTCACCTTGGGGCAAAATAGTTTATGATATCTTTTCCTGTACATTAGGTGATAGATGGGCCTGGTACCTGCTGTGGCGAAGTCAAAGCTACTTAAAAACATGAGCAACCCAGATCTTTTGGCATAATTGAATTACAAATGTCTGGTCTAAAATCTCCCATCAACCCCAAAGATATTACCTGGTAGATAATTCCTTGCTCTAAGCTAAGCTTTGATATGGGTATCTTATATACATTTTAAGAATTCAAAACAACTCTAATCCCATCTATCCTAATAAAAGAAAAAAGTGCATCCAGTCATACAGAGACTCAGAGTAACCGTGAATTAGCAATTTGTCTTGCTCTTTTTTCACCTCCTTGAGAGAATTAAGCCTTATCCTGTTTTCTCTATAGGACAATCTTTTTGATATTTGTTGAGATGACACTTCATTTGCTTAATCCTGATTTTCTAACAAGGATAGAGATAGACTTAAACTGAAAGAAGGCGTTTTTAAAAGTCCAGATAAGAATCTTCCTGTGAGCTAGAGGAGGGGTGAATTATTAATAGCAGTCTGAGAATTCTTTTTCCCAGAAGTACTGTCTTTCACAATATTTCTACTGGCCCCACGTATCTTTCCATGTCCATGATCAGAGGACATTCTTTTGAATGCAAATCTATAAGAATACAAAGTCTTCATCTAACTATGAAAAATAATAAACTGCATCTGAAAGAGAAGCTTGTTTGTTTTCTGGGAAGAAAACAAGCCAACATTTTAGAATTACTAGAAAATTATTAGAAAACTTTTCCCTTGTTGTTGTACAGAATTGCCAAGCTGGGTCCTGTCTCATGGTCTTTGTGCTTCTGTCCTGGCAGGACTGCTCTTCCTCCAGCTTCATCCCTTGTGTCTTTCAGGGATCACTGAGGTCCCTGCTCATATGTCACCTCTTCAGAGAGGCCTTCCTTGACCACCTGAATGATGAAGTTCCTGCTTCCCAGAGAGTTGACCTTTCAGAGGGGGAATGACAAGCAGATTAATGTTTTATATGACAAGAAACAAATTAAGGGTAAGGGACATCCAGAATAACGGGGTGGGAGGCTGGGAGAGGGCTCTATTGGCTGTCAGCTGAGGCCGCCCTCATGAGTTGACATTTGCACAAAGGGCAGGAGCTTGCTCTGTGCATTCAAAGAAAAGGAATCTAGAGGGCCGAACTGGAGTTACCAAGAGGACAAAAGTGGGAGATGTGATCAGCGAGGTAGCCGATTACAGTCCAGGCCATGGAAGCCAAGATAAAACTTTGGATTTTGCTGAAGGAGATGGAATGTTCTAAGTAAAAAGGTAACATAGCCTAATTTCCTTGTGATCATTCTGTTGCCTTTTGGAAAATGGACTGTAAGAGATTAACAAAGGAAGCAGAGAGACAAGGGTTCCTCCTTTGGCATTTCCTTGGGTAAAGAGATCACATGTACTTTGAACTCCCTTTTGGTTTCTGAACTATGATCCACTGACTGCCGCTCTCTGAACTCCATCAAGGCTGTCATCCTGGACCCCGGGATTTATCTTCTTTCCTTGTGCATCTGGTGTTCGTGGTATGCCAGCTGCAGTGCAAAGAATAGGGACAAAAACCTGGCAACCTGCATTTATTGATAAAACCAAGGGATGGCATAACCTGGAATAAGGAAAAGTTACACGTTTTCAGATGTGCCTGCTTCAGCCAGAGATTTTAGTACGTCTATGAGGCTTATTTAACAGAAGAATGTTTCAAGGGGTGGAGTGGGAGAATTAGCTGCTTTGTTTTTCCTTTCCCTCACTCTCCTACTTGTAAAAATGTTTGTGAGACACGCACATGGCCTGAACATCAGAAGGAAGATTAGCAAGGAAGAGGAAAAAATCAGATTTGTGCTTTGAATCATCTGGCAAGGGCAGAGAGGTCCCAAGCTCAAAGGAGGCTCTTCTGCCTGAAATAACTCATTTTGTCAGTTCAGCTCTGTGGCAGGGAGAGGTTTCAAAGCCAAGCTTGCATCCCGGCTCTAGCTTACTTGAAGGAAACCCCTGGAGTGGATTCTAGCAGGGACACAATGCCATTGGTTCAATTTGGGACCCCAAAGTGCCAGGGGGTGAAGTGTCTATGTGGTGTGAATATTATTTCCAGGCTCCCAGTGGCTGGCAGCCAACCCAGTAGCATCTTGTTACCATGACAACGAGGGGACCACATCTCCTGTGACATCCAGTGATGGCTGCAGGCGAAAGGACCATGAAAAATCATGCTATAAAGCTTTCTGCCGTTGTGTGTAATTTTGAAGAGCCCACTGTCTTGAGCCTTTTTGAAATAGAAAATGAATTGCAGATGGACTTGTATGAGAGCTGCTCTGGAGAAAATGCCTTTGGAATCTTAGAGCATTCCTGTTCCCCCTCCCTCTTTGCTTGGTATCAGCTGGTAATGAAATGGCTTTTATTCATCCTAGGTATCACCTTGAACTGGAGTTGAAAGTGTCTGCAATTCCACCAGGACCAAAACTTGGGGAGATAAGACGATTGGTACGCCAAGATCAACAAATAAATTACATCTGTGTGATAGTTACTCTGTTTTCCTAACATGGCCTGGGCTCAGGTTAACATTCATTACACGGAGCCTCTCTGGGTCTTAATTCTAACTTGAACCTTAACATTCCAAGATTTAAATAACTACCTTTCGTGGCTTATTTTGCCTTGTTTCCTTGGGGGCACCGGGAATTTGCATAATGCTAGGTCAAAAGTCCTTCAAATGTATGATACAGGAACGTTTTGTAGAACAAGAATGATCTTTGTGCTGTGAAGGAAACCAGTTAGTGGCAAGACTTTACACATTGATCTAAAAACTTAACCTCTGCCAATCAATTATTATCTCCATGTCTGTTCTCTTTTTGAGAGATAGGAAATGTAGACCACAACACAGGGCAGACAATAGATCTATCAAGGTGCCTCATAAGGCAGGCATCGCAAGGGACATCAACTGGATGGCTCCTCAGAAGAATGTGAACAGGGGCTATCTGGAATTATGATTTACTGACTTCAGGAGTGGTGTGCACTCCAATCTGGTCAATCTGATGGGTGCATAAATACTCTACAGGAATCTCAAGCTCCTTTGTTCTCCTAGTAGCATCTATTTGCCTATGATTTGACTCATCCTGTGTCTCTATTTTCACTGGGAGGCTTTTGGTAATGGATGGGATGGAGCAGGGCTGCTGCCTTTGCACAGTTCCAGGGCTCCCCATTCTAATTTTAGTCTATGTCACTGAGTTTTAAATGGGGATGATTCCCACCCCCCGAAAAGGAAACATTTGACAATATCTGGAGTCAATTTGGTTGTTGTCACTGGGAGGGGGTTTGCTAGCACATGTAGTGAGTCGAGGCCAGGGATGCTAAACATGTTGCAATCCACAGGACAGACCATCGCCCCTCCATCTCCCTGGTCATCAACGATTATCCTGCCTCAAACATCTCTAGTGAGAGATGGAGAAACACCGCTTTACATAAAAGAGCTGGTCTTCTATACAAATGGCCAAAAAACATATGAAAAAATTGCTCAACATCACTAATGATAGGGAAATGCAAATCAAAACCACAAAGTGATACCATTTTATTCCTGGAAGAATGGTCATAATCAAAAAATCAAAAAAATAATAACTGTTGGCATGGATGCAGTGAAAAGGGAACACTTCTACACTGCTGGTGGGAATGTAAACTAGTACAACCACAATGGAAAACAGTGTAGCGATTCCTTAAAGAAATAAAATTAGAACTACCATTTCATCTGGCAATCCTACTACTGAGTATCTACCCAGAGGAAAAGAAGTCATTATACGAAAAAGATACTTGCACACGTATGTTTACAGCAGTATAATTCACAATTGTAAAAATATGGAATCTGCTTAAATGCTCATCAATCAAGTGGACAAAGAAACTGTGATACACACACACACACACACATATATATACATATGTACGTGTGTATATATATATATATATATACACACATACACACACACACACAGTGGAATACTACTCGGCCATAAAAAGGAATGATGAATTAATGGCATTCGCAGCAACCTCGATGGGATCAGAGACTATTATTCCAAGAGAAGTAACTCAGGAATGGAAAACCAAACATTGTATGTTCTCACTCATAAATGGGAGCTAAGCTATGAGGATGCAAAGGCGTAAGAATGACACAACGGACTTTGGGGACTTTGGGGGAAAAGGGTGGGAAGGGGGTGAGGGATGAAAGGCTACAAATTGGGTTCAGTGTACACTGCTCTGGTGATGGGTGCAGCAAAATCTGACAAATAACCACTAAAGAACTTAGTCATGTAACCAAATACCACCTGTTCCCCAAAAACCTATGGAAAAAAAAAAAAGATCTGATCTTCAACATACTCCCACACCATTCTCCCTCATGCCAGTATCCTTCAAGGTGGCCCTGCAAGGATCCAGGACAGAAAATATGCATGCATTTTATTTTACTTCCAGATTTTAATAGTCTCTGTCCCACTAGGGAATATCACATTGTTATTGAGAGCAAATGGGCTGTGGAGTGAAATAAACTAGGATTGCTTTCTTCAGGTCCGCCTAATACTAGCTGCATGGCCTTCAACTAGTGACATAACTGCTGCTATGAACTCAGTTTCTTTATTTGTAAATGAGGAGAGTATTATCCGTGGTGAGGATTAGAGAAGAAAATGGGTTTAAAACACAGAACACCCTGTCTGCCCCATAGTAACACCGAATAAGTGATAGTTACCCAAAGAAGCTAGGGCTAGACTTCTTAAGCTGAACCTTTTAACAGGCACCATCAGCAAGCAACTGTACTAAGCAGAATGAGTGATTGCTGCATTTATTATTTTTATTGCAGGTAGTTGGGAAAATATATAGCAGTCTCTGTGTCAGATAAAAATCCACTTGACCACCATCCACTCTGTGGGAAACTGGTGCTGTATGTGCAGTGTATGATCTTTGGTACGGAGGTATAAGAAATCAAGATAGAAAATATTTGCAACTACAAACAAAAGCAACTGAGAGAAGAAGAAATGCCAAAGTCATAAAAAATTAAACAGTCTCTTGGATTTTGTTGTGATATCATTTTGGAAAAACTCTAATTAGGAAAAAAAGTGCTCTTTGGGGGAGATACTGCTCTAATCTTGAGCCATTTAGTCTAATGATATTTCCCTGTACCTCCACCCCCAACCTGACTCCCCAGAAATGTTTTGGAGATGTCAGAATTTCCAAGCAAGTTTCGCTGTGTTCTAACAGGATTCTGAGAATGCCTTCAACATGGCTTATGATGGATGTTTGTGATGGAAGGCCCCTGTGGTTTTCATTTTGGACTTGACTTAATCAAAAACAATCATGCTAACAAAAGAGGGGGGAAGGGAGTTTGCTTCTCCCAATTTTTCTATTGTGTGGCCAATTTAATGTCAGGATTTCTCAAGGGGCTTTAAAATACAAGACAGCAGGAAAACAATTTAATATAAAAATGCCAGTGTGGACTAAATCTAAGTAGAATAAATCAAGCATGAAGAGGTAGAGCGTCTTAAGGGTATAGAGTTTTTTTTGTGTGTGTTTTAGATTTTAGTATTCAATAGCCCAGTGCCGTGGTGTTTGAGGTTCCATGCATGAACATAACTGCTCAGAAAAGGCTTTCAACAGATACACACCAGCGGGTACAAGAGCACCTCTCACAGGAATCTTCAGCCAGTGTGATTTCCCTGTTAGTTAAATATGATGAGAATTTACAACACAATGCTGGCATCCCATGCCTAGATGGAAGAAGAAACTGATTACATCATGTGACATCCAAACCGACTGAAAATATTTCTCCCAGTCAACAAGCATACCTGAAATTCCTCTGTAAAATTTTCCTTTGGGTCAAAGCATTGTAGACTCTAGTTAAAGTACAGACATGATATTCTAACTGGCAATAGCAATGCAGTGGCTATCAACCTTGGCTGCACATTAGAATCCCGTGGTGAGTCTTTCACAAAATATTGATGCCAGGCAATATCCACCAGGATGTATAGTTTAATTGGTGTCAGCATGTAAAAATTCTCCCATGTATTTTTCTAATCTGCAACCAGGGTTGAAAACTATTGCAATAACAATTTCAGCTCGGGTCTTTGGATATACTTTTTTCTGCTTCAAAACACCTGTGCATTCCCAGAAAACTTCTGTCACAGTGACTCACTTTGACATTGATTCATGAGACAGAATCTTGGGTTGGAATAGGGAAATAGAGAAACTGGAGAGAATTGCAGGAATGACATACGTAGCTGGAACAAGCTCCATAAGCCGGGCGATGTTAAGGTATTTAATGACCCATATAGCATGGGCCCTGAGCTATCAGAATAGAGGCTACTTAATACTGGGTGTGTTTGTTGATATTCCCCTAACTTTGAGAATCTCAGTATGAAGACGTTGGCACCTGCTGATTCTTTTACACTGTGAATTTGTACTACTGCTAGCAGTCTCCTAGCAAAAACCCAAGTCAGAGGAGGAAAGGAGGCAGTTAAGAGAATTTGGGGACCAAGGGTGCAGCATGTGTGACAGCCATGGCTATCTAGTTGGGGAGGGAAGGGTTAAAAATAGAGCAGTGCTAGACAGAAGGCTAATAGGTTTGGGATAAAAAAACAGATGTTACCTACTTCCCAGGGTTGCCTTGGTTCAGCCATACTCTTGGGTGTTCAGATGTTTTATAAACATAGTGCCCTTTGTAAGAATTCTAGAGATGAACTATAAAAAACTTGGAGTTTTTTTTTTTTTTTAAGGCCTTCTAATGAGAACCAATGGTTCTCAATAAATTCCCACAGGTCACATAACAACCAAACCATAAATTGTAGAGCTTGAGACCGAAGCGAGCGGTCACCGTGATATTGTGCATCATTAAACTGGTGACTCTTGGTGGCCCAGGGAGTCGTGGTGGGGGGAGCTTTCTCCTGCAGATTCAATCATTTCTGTTCCCTGAGAGCCCAAGAATTTCCAGGGAAAAGAGGAGACCTTTTTTTTTTCAACTGTTCCTCCAACCGCATCTTGGCTTCAATCAGCATTTTTTTTCCTCCTGCAACCTTCCCTCTGGCAATCGTGGTCTGTTTGTACAAGGCAAAATTTGAAAATGTAAGTTGGTGTATAATTGAAAGTTCATCCTTAAAAATTGTTGTGTAATTGTCCTCTGACATGGGAAATTTGCCGTGTCACATTAGTCAAAGATGTTCTTTGACATTAGTCCACCTTTAACTAATTTCAAGTTGATCTGGAAAAGTGATAAGAATTGAAATAGGCATCTTCTTGCAGATATTGAGCATGTTCAAGACCTTAAGATAAGAAATCTAAAAATCCATTTATGCCATGTGCCTTCAGACACATTTCTAAGTTGTAGTGATTTATTAAAACATTTGCCAGACACCTTCTCCCCACTTTCTCTACAAATGCTTAACTGCTGGTGGACAAGATTTTCTTTGACAACAATGAAGCATTACATTGCCGAGCTGTTACTTATGTGATTTTTGAGGTCAAGAGGATATTTGATCCCACCATCACTACCACCTTCAAAGACAAGATGAGTTAATCTTATTTCCTAGCAGTTCACTAGTAAGTGAAAAATGTCCCAGTGGCGAAGATGGATTGTTAGTTAAAGGTCATTCCAGCTTTACTGTGGAACACCCTTCATTCCTGATTCAGAATCAGTATTTAATGTTTGTACAAATGATTAATGACAGGTTTTCATAGACAGCCTTGAGACTGTATTCCCAGCCCTGTTGAGACTGTGTCCGTACTCATCTTTTATTCATTTTAAAAAATTTGTTGTTGTGGATCTGTGGCAGAATGGTTTCAGGTTAATTATACTTTCTGTCACATTACATCCTTGTCCAGTGAAAAGATCCTCTTTTGTTCTTTTTGGTCATCGTTCATCCATTTGATTTTCACGTGCTTCACCCCCATTTATGCAGATGATATTATTTGTTATTTTATAGATTTTTTTCTATTTTTTACCATTTCCCCCACTAAGATTTGCAATGCCCAATAGGACATCAACTGCATGATACAGTGTTCTCTTCCAAATAAGTGGAAATGAGCTGGCTGTGATTGGGAGCTCCTCCCCTCTCCCAGTTGGATGGGCTGTATCCAGCCTCAGGTCCCTCGAATTCTCTAGATGCTATAAGCATGAGCATGCAGCTCCTCTGAATAGCCAGCACCCAAGCATAGGCTATTTTGTCCCTGCTTGCAAGGGCTCTCACTAGTCCTATAAAAAAGGGATAGGTTTCTCTCCTGGAGCATAGCCCATGAGACATCTAGCTACCCTCTGGCCTAAGAACACCTCTCCATAGAATGCTGTAATAAAAGGCAACTGAGCATCCAATATCCTGCTGCAGCCCTTCTCCCTAGACCTTCTAGTCTGCCCATTTGAAGTTTCTATAGTGTGTGACAAAGCCCTGCGCTTAACAAAGAACTCCAGTGGGGCCGTGTGTAGCCCTTTGCTTCCCCTGCTGCATAATGCTCTGTGATGTACCTCTACTGCTTACCTAATCTCCTCTCCCAGTAATGGACGTCCAATTTCTTGCCCCCACAAACGTGTACAAAGACCGTACCCCTGCCTTTTCATGAATCTTTGTGAAATTTCCCCTGGAGTAGAAGTCCTAGGTCATAGGAAATATATATATATATATATATATATATATATATATATATATATATATATATATATATATATATATATATATATAGATGTAATTTGCCTGAGTAGTTCCAGATTGCTCTACTATGAAAACTTGCCTCTCTGCACAAAGCTGATTGGCCTCAGGTGGACAGCTGATCCAGGCTGAGTCCGTTGGATTCCCTCTAGAAATTTAGAGTCAGGAAAGGGAGTCTGTCTAATCATTTGACTTGGGGATCTGCGGTCTTGAGAGACAGGGGTGGGGCCTGTTTCTGTCACGCATGCGTAGAGTGACAGAGAAAGCCTTTCTACAAAGAAACGAGTGAAGTGAGCTGTGATGAGGTGAAGAGAGGAGAGACCACCAACGGCAGAATTGGGGAGATCCGGGACTGGCAGTCTTGATTCATTCTGGCTTTCTAGTGCTTGGGTCTCATCCGTACTGAACAGTTTCCTCCGTTCTGAGTTCCATAGTGTGTTCTTGCACATTCCCCACTCCAAAGCAAGACACAATGAATTTCCATTACTTGTGACCAAATGAGCTTTTAATATAAAAGAGATTAATCCCCCTGAAAATCAATAACAAACCCAAATTTGATCTGAATATTTTACGAAGTTTGCTGAAACCTGTGTTCTACAGGTTTTGATAAAGGAAGTTTTGGTTTTGAAGAAACGCTGAGTATTATCCATTGATTTTCTCATGAGAAATGGGATTCTTCTGTCAGATATAGGCAGTAAATATTCATTCTTGAATTTCTATTAAAAGATAAAAAAATAAAACAATAACATATATTAGAAAAATTTTACAGGACCAATACCCTATAGAAATTAGATAGCAACTAGCAAATGTGAAGACAGCTGTTTTAATGTGTGACTTTCAAGTAACCTGGTTGGCATCATGTACAGAGTGTATATATGGTGAGTTGAACTTTTCCTATTTAAATATTTTGTATCATAGTATATATATTGCCCTTCTGCCTTTGGCTGTAAATGTTAGCATAACCTTTAACATTGTAGGCTTTTCTTTTCTTTCTTTCTTTTTTTTTTGTGATGAAGTCTCCCTCCTGTCACACAGGCTAGAGTGCAGTGGTGCAATCTCGGCTCACTGCAACCTCCACCTCCTGGGTTCAAGTGATTCTCCTGCCTCAGTCTCCCACGTAGCTGGGATTGCAGGCGTGTACCACCACGCCTGGCTAATTTTTGTATTTTTAGTAGAGATGGGGTTTTGCCATGTTGGTCAGGCTGGTCTTGAATTCCTGACCTCAGGTGATCCACCTGCCTCATCGTCCCAAAGTGCTAGGATTACCGGCATGAGCCAGCGGCCCAGCCCATTGTAGGCATTTCTTTAGTCAAGTGATTCTTCTCAATCCTGTCCTTTCACTAAAATGTTTGGATGGTTATACTCAGGTTTGGGTGGTCATTAGCTTTTCATAACATCTTTTCATAAGGCTGGTTAAAAAAATGTCTGAGTTGTGTTGGGCCAGATATATGGGAGTAGATGGATTTAGTATCATTGAAAATGGTTGCCCTCTTTTATGACTAAGAAATATATGCAGGCAGTGAAAAGAAATTCTTGATGGCAGGACATAAAAATATGGTTGATAAAATGCCAAGATACCTTTTCTTCTTCTGGGTAGCAACAACACTAAAGGTAAATACTGCTGTTGCTATAGTTTTATGAAGAAAATGGTTTTCTTCATTCTGTTTCATTGGGACTACCCTGTTCACCCTCCTTTATATCCTGTCTGAGGGTTGTTTCATCTTCTGTGTAGTTGTTGCCCAATAATTTTATCTTTTCTTTCCTCCCATTGTATTTTTCTTGGTTCATAGCCCATCAGTTGTGAATCTCAGATAAAATGTAGTAAAAATTCATATTTATGGCTAGGGAAAATCAGAATCAGGTGGTTTGCAGTTAAAGAGAAACAGGTTCATAATGGCAAAAATCTAGCAAAATCACTTGCGAACCTAGAATATATCAAGGCCTCTTTCTAGAAAAAATAAGAAAGATAAGTAAAAATGACCAGGTGCTTTCATTTGAACATTTCTGCATGGTCAATGCATAGATCAGAAAAAAAAAATTGAGGTGGAAGGGAAGCAGTGGCCAAAGGCCTGTGAGTTTACCAAAAAGAAACTTTTTTTTTTTCCAGTTTGTAAGCTCTTGCTTTTCCCAGGAAGATAAAAGGCAGAATTTCAAAGCCACATTTTTTTTTTTTTTTTCTCCCAGGAAATGTTTTTGTGTTCGTATTATTGTTACAAAGTTAAACTTTTTTCTCTTTCTTGAACAAATGAATGGCTGGATTATGCCACATGTTGAAGTTGTTAACCTCTTTTAGTAATTTAAACTTTATGAATCAGAATAAGTGAATGAGGGCATTCTAGTCCTTGGCTTCCAGGTTATGGGACAGCCCCTCTCACTGAACTTGGACTTGTATGGATACTCTCCTTCCTGTGAACAGAACTTGCCTTCTGAAATCAGACGTCTTGGGGGAGAGAATGTGGTGGTCATCTGTTGGCTACCAAGCCTTTCTTCCTGTGAGAGTTGCTTTTAAAATAGGTAGGATTTGGGGGAGTAACTTGCGGGAACAGAAAGCTGCAAAAAAGCCAGCAAAGCTTGGCCAACAACCTAGGGTTTAAAAGAAATGTGAAAATTTCATTGCATGCTCTACAACTCCTTTTTACTAACCCCTAGCATAATTCATGCATTCTTCTGCCTGCTTGGCCCCTATGGGGATTTTGTAATTCCTGGTTTAGAGGATAGACAAATGGCAGCCCAGACTATTCACTCATTCATTCATCCATCAATCCATCCATCCATCCATCTATCCCTTAACAAAAGTTTACTTAGTGCCTTCTCTATGCTAGGCACTGTGTTACATGTTGAAGATGAAACTGCAAGCATTATCAAGTCTCTGTTGTCCAGGAATTTAGAGTCTGGTCCAAAAGATAAGCATTACTCTTAGCAATTCTACTGAGTGGGTGCATAATAAGAAACAATTAGAAACATATTTAAGCCCTGTAAAGGAATGAAACTGGCTCTAGACTGGGAGAAGGAATGTGATAAAAAGATTCTTCCCAGCAGAATAACTGAGCTAGGATCTTAAGAAGAAGCAGGGGTTAATGGGAGAGAGAAGGGTGTGAGAGGACACTGTAGACTACGGAGGCAGTGAGCACAAGGCCATATGACACCAACAGCTTGGTATGGCCCACAGGACAGTCAGAGGGCCAGAGCAGCTGAGCACATGGGGAACTGGCTGCATTTGAGGCAGATGAGCTACATGCACAGTGGGCATCTCTGCGAGGGCCTCACAGACTGATTAGGGCTTTTGCTCATTATCCTAAGAGCCATGGGAAGTCATTGAAGGAACATCAACAGAAGGCAGTGCGGTGACATGGTAGATGTTTCACAAGGGACACTCTGGCTGTTAAGTGGAGAATGGAGGAGAATATAGCAAGAAGGAAGCAGTGAGACAGGAGTAGGCTAGGCTGTCTCTAGGAGAGAATGGTGGCTTTGTCTAGTATGGTGACAGGGAGCTAGGACAGTGGTTGGCAATCAATTGATGGAAAATAACAATAGACAGCCCTAGGTGATAGTTAGGTGTAAGGTGAGGGAAAGACAAGGGCAGGCATCAAGAATGAAAGATTCCGAGATTTTTGCCTATGGAATAGGAGGGATGGTAGTACATGTTGGTGCAGTAGGTTATTATGGAGGGTGAACAGCCCTGCTGTATCTTAGTCACTAGTGTCTGGCAGCCTCCCTCTGTTTGTCTGTGTTTCATTTCCAAGTCAGTCTTCTCTGAGCTGCAATTTGAGACATGATGTAATGCAGAGATTTTGAAAGGTGACCAGTAGCAAAAGGAAGAACAACCTTTTACCAAGCACTTATGTGCCAGGCAGTGAGTTAAGCATTGGGATTCCAGGAGTGAGGAAAATGAGATCACGTTCCTGCCCTCTAGGAGTGTCCAGTCTAACAAGGTAGACAAATAGTAAATAATTATGATAACTTTGTTAGTGATTTTTGTTTCTGTGATACGTACCATGAGAGTATGGCTAAGTGAGCTGATCTGCTCTGGTGGGAGGGGGCAGGGTCAAGGTAGGTGGAGAATTGCAGCTTAAGTGAAGACCTGAATGATTAGTTGGCAATGAGAAGAAAAACAAAACCTTCCAGAAAGAGGAAATAAACATTTTTTAAGGTCTAAACGAATAAAAAATATGAAATGTTTAAAGAACTGGCAGAGATGTCCTTCTATCTGATGAAAGTGGGGGATACAGGAGACAGTGACTTCTGTCAGGAGTGGAGTATAGACAGGTTCTGGCAGATTGGTGCTCCTGGCTTTCACTTACTTGGCATCTGAGAGCTGTTTTTTGCCTCTTCTCCTCATTCCTTAGAACTCAAAGGACACACGAGGAACTGAATTGGGAGAGGCTTGGCACTAACAAAGCAGAAATTGTCAAGGGAAGGGGGAAGAGGAACTATCTACCAGTGAGAGCAAGGAGGGTGGTCTCTGGGAAGAGCTTTTGACTCCCTATTTCTGACTCAAGCCCTGATTCATCCCTTTTATTTTTTGCAATTAGCTTCTTGGTCTGGGATAATTTTATTTGATTACCCTTTAGTTCCCATTAGTTTCTGAGCTTATTTTGACCAGGGTTATAGAAAATGTACCATATGGTAACCAGCTTCTTCAAGTCACCCACAGAAGTGTTTTCTCTTGACTACTTCCCTGGCTGCCTTCTCCAGATGACGTGGCTGTCATTCTTGTCCTGGGTGAGAAAGGAGATTAAGATGGTTTATGAGAAATAAGAAGTCACAGTGAAATAGTCTCAAGGCACCATGTACCTTGCCAGTTTTCTGTTCTAACATGTATTATTTGGTATAAGGATACCCTATAATTCTTAATTTTTTATTTAAAAATTTTTCTCCAGTCTCTTTTCTCAGCTTTAACCTCTTTGACCCACCCAACAGAGCACTCTTTTATTGTGTTTTAAGTTCCTTCTGTGGACTACAAGAAAAATAGGCCTTATGAAGAGCTCTGCCTCATAGAATAACTTACTTGAAAGGAAGAAAAGTGTCAGGGAGCATTTTAACCTTTCTCATTTTCTAGATACACTCAGCTGAACATTAATTTGAGGTACCTCTTTAGGAAGGAGATCATGCATGTCTTATCTCAACGGCTTTTCTGATAATTCGAGCCGTGTGCCTGTTCCGAGATTGGGAGTTTCTTCTTGGGCGGTTCTGGGGACAGCATGATTGGTTATATGTTGGAAATGAAATAATCTCCCACTTGTACAGTTTTGCTATCACAGATTTTCAAGCAATTGCTCCTCTGTATGAATACAGAAAAACATAAATAGCTTTTAGGTTTGTTTTGCAACAGATTAGGCACCCTCGATCTTTTTCCTTGGTGTATGCACATGCACGTGCCTTTATGTGTGTGAGTGCGTGTGTGTGAGTGCGTGTGTGTGTGTGTGTGAGGGGGGCAGCAGAGAAAACACATTGCCATGGGAAGAGTGCACAGGACAGGGAATTCGAAATTCCAAATTAGAATCTTGGCTCTGTTTGTCTTCCAGCTATCCATGTAACCCTGAGCAAATCATCCCAATGCCCGAGATTCAATTTCTTCATGTGTAAAATGGAAATAACAATAATAATAATAATTCCCACCTACTTCATCAAAACACTGTATTGAAAATATGAACAAATGCTTTATACATATGAGAAGACAATTATTAGAATTACTGCTTCTCTCTCTCTGGGTAGTCATTCATTCATTGGTCCCTTCATTACCGAAGGTGGGGAGTGGCATGATCTGACTTGCTGGTAGAGCACGGCATGGAGGAGAGCTCAAGTGGAGGTAGGGGTGCAGGACTGTGGTGGCTGCAGTTATCCAGGAAAGAAAGAGCACAGCGGTGACAGAGAGGTTGGAAAAAAGTGGAGAATTGAAGATAAGATAGAGTGGACTGATTAGAATTTTTATGGGGGAGACAAAACTTGAGTTTAAATCATTCAAGAATAAGGTGAGTTCTTGGGGACAAATATGTAGAAAAGTGTGCTCTGGGAAGGAATAGGTCAGCGAGGATTGGGTGGAAACTACTCCTTGTTTTGTTTTTAATGTCCAAAGTCATACATTTAGAAACGCAAAGGAAGAAAGTTGTTTTCCATGTAAAAGATCACAAGCCATCAAACTGATGATTTTTCGTTGTAAGTAACACATGGCATGAATAATTTCTTTATTAACTTCCAATCACTTTGAACTAATTTCTCACAGTATGGCAATGACAACCTCATAACCCCAAAGAAACTTAAACCTTATAGCATAGTTGAAAATGACTTTTATGTTTTATTGAACAAAAGGATCACTTAAGGGAGAAACACAATGTCCATGGAATACAATAAAACACAGGCTCACATTGGCTGGTACACGCTCATTGTTAATAGAATCAGAATAAACACATCAATACCAAACTATGCAATAAAACCTGCATTATTAATCTACAGAATGGTAATAGAGCTATTACCTGATTTACTTATTCTTTTTTTAAAAAAATATTGCTGAGTGGCAAATGTACAGCATGTGGATATGAGTCAGGTGTTTTGAAATACCACAGCAGCAGACAGTACGTTTTGGAGACTGTGATTGAATTGAATGAACTACAATAAGTAGGTCTACTTTCATTACATTCTCTACTTCTAGATCTGCTAGTAGATATTTTTTATGAGAGGAGTTAGTACACCATTATTATTCCATTGAAATAAATGAAGGACACATGTATATATCACTTTTCATTAGCAAATTATTGTATATTATCTAGCTATATTTGGGAGAAAATATTTTTTAAATTTCCTAATTATTCTTGCATTTGGTAGGCATTTGTTTTACCATATGGGAGACATTGTTCCAGGCATGGAAATTCACGGAGGACAGGCAGATATTATTTCTGACCTTCTGAATGGGAAGACTGACACATACCCCAAAATGAAACATGCCAATTAGTAAAATAACTGCAAGTTGTAACATTATGCAGGGCCTAGTATATGTGAGAGGGCTTTGGGCTTTAGTCTGAGTATGATGGGTAGGTTATGTAAAGTTCTGGGCAAGGGAATGTTGAGATCAGGTATAGTTTAAAGACTATAATTTTGCTACCTGGTAAAGAATAGATTGGGCAGAATAGAATAGCCAGTAAGTGAAATACAAGAGGCTCAACATCATTAGTCATTAGAGAATGCACATCGAAACTATAATGAGATACCACAGTGAGATATCACTTCACATCCACTAGGAAGACTGTAATCAAAATGACAGGTGTAGTAAGTGTTGGCAAGGGTGTGGAGGAATTGCTAGTGAGAATGTAAAATAGTGCAGTCACTTTGGAAAACAGGCAATTCATCAAAACGGTAAACACAGAGTTAACCATATGACCTACCAATTCTACTCCTATGTATATATCCAGGACAATTAAAAATATGTGTCCACAGAAACACTTGCACATGAATGCTAATAGCAGCATTATTCAAAGCAGCTAAAAAGTAGAAGTAAACTAAATGTTTATCAGCTGATAAATGGATAAATAAAATGTGGTATATCTACACAATGGAATATTATTCAGTCATAAAAAGGAATGAAGTTCTGATATATATCACAACTTGGATGAACCTTAAAAACGTTATACTAACTAAAATAAGCCAATCAGAAAAGACCACATAATACAGGACTCCTTTTATATGAAATGTCCAGAATATGCAAATTCATAGAAACAAAAGGTTGATTAGAGTTTGTCAGGGGTTTGGGGGTGGGGATGAGGGATGACTGACAATGGGTACAGGTTTTTTCGGGGGAGCAATGATAATGCTCTGGAATTAGTGTTGATGTTTGCAAAACTCTACAAATATACTAAAATGAATCATATATTTAAGTGGATGAATTGGATGGTATGTGAATTGTATCTCATTACAGATGTTGAGAAGAAGAGAAAGATAAATGAAAGGGGAGACCAATGAGAACATGTGTTACGTGACTGCCCTCTCTTCTTGCTTTAGGTCAGAACTGGCCAGGCCATGGAACTGCTCTAGGGGAATGAATGTGCCAAATATATAAGTACTAGCAGTCAGGATTCCCTCCATGTCTCCTTCTGTACCTCATGTACCAGCCCCACAAAATGACTTGCCATTTCTCTGAGCGAGCCATGCACTTTCTTTCTACTTACCTTTGCTGAGGTGTGACTATGCTTTCTTTTCTTTTTCTCTCTACTAGGAAAAAAAATCACCAGTTCTACAAGCTTAGTTCATATTCCCCCTTGAAACTCTCCTTGGTTGCCTGGCCCTATAATACGTCATTCCAATTTTCTGTAAGCCCTTGACATGTGGCTTGTGCCTCTGCAAGATCTCAGCCATATAGCATTTCAAAGACTCGCTTTGAATTCTCTCTTTCTCTATCTCCTTCTCTCCCTTCCTCCCTTTTATCTTTCTTGCTTTCCTTTCTCTCTTTCTCTCCAACTCCTGTCTCTGTCTCCATCCACGCATTTTTTCACAACCAAAAGGAGTTTCTTTGCCACTTTAAAGTCCCTACACTTCTCTCCTGTTATCCAGTATCCATAGTTCTGTTCACCATTGGTTTCCTAAGTAAGGCTATATGTATAACAGACATTCATTCTTCTTACAGAGGTCCACCTTATTCTCATTACAACACTTCCCTTCCTTCTTACAGAACTTGAGTTCTGTTGGAGATTTTCAGCAGGATATAATAAGTAAATTTTTCATAATTCATTCAACAAAAGTTTTCAGTAAGTATTTATGGAGCACTTACGACGTGCCGGGCACTAGTTCCTAGGAATACAGCTGGGAAGAAAACAGTCCAAGGATTTCGGTAATATATAAGATCAGAGCATGGCAAGTGCACTGCAAAGACTTATATTGAGTGATGTTAGAAAGGATGAGTGAGAGGCAGCTTAAGTTTGTGTGGGCAAGCAAGGATGGTGAGGAGGTAGCATTCGAATGTGATCTGAATGACAAGGAGGAGCACAGAAGCCTTTCTGGTAGCGGGAACAGCTCAGGAATAGCCTAGTGTCAGAAGGCACTTGGAATGTTCAATGAACTGCATAATGTTTAGCATAACTGTAATTTGGTACGCAAAGGAGAGAGAGAAGCATAGACACAGTTGAAGAGTTAGGCAGGGGCTAGATCTTATGTTTGAATGTTGGGGTAAGGCATTGAGATTGCTTTTAACCGCAAGGGGACACCATAAGAAATTGACACATGCACCAGTCTTTAAATGGGTTGGAGTTTAGAGATTTCATGTGTTTATTTTTATTTTTTGCCTATAAAGAAAGTAACACACTAGTCCAGAATGTGAAAAAAAAAAAGTAGAGAAATGGGCAAGAGGAGAAATGAAGCTGTTTACTCTACCTGAGCATCCAAAATGAAATACACAAAATATTGATCTCCAAGTGAACAAAAGATAACCCCTAGGGATGCTATTGCCAGAGGTGGCGCAATAAGTATTGTGGATTTCATATATTTGCATAATTCAATTCCAGCTCAAAGACAACAGGAAAGAATTCTTTTTTTTTAATCAGGGAGAGTTTTAAAAGCCTTTCTATTGCTACACAGAAGACAATGTACATCTTTTAAAAAAATTTTTTTTATGTGGAATCTCACTCTGCCAGCAGGCTGGAGTGCAATGGTGTGATCTTTGCTCACTACAACCTCTGCCTCCTGGATTCAAGCGATTCTCCTGCCTCAGCCTCCCAAGTAGCTGGGACTACAGGCATGCACCATCATGCCCAGGTAATTTTTGTATTTTTAGTAGAGACAAGGTTTCATCATGTTGGCCAGGATGGTCTCAATCTCCTGACCTCGTGATCTACCTGCCTCGGCCTCCCAAAGAGCTGGGATTATATGCAGGAGCCACCGCGCCCGACCGAGAATGTACATCTTATGGGGGAACTGATGAGAGATCCTATTGCTTAGAGAGAGAAAGAACCATAGCATCACATATTTCCAACCAGAATTTGAAAGAGCATTTTAGGGGAAGCAATGTATCCCAACAGAAACCCATTAAATAGATCAGAAGCTTCAGTAATGTTTATTCCTTTTGGGTATCACAAATTCCACTCCCAGGAATTTATCTTAAAGAAAAGATCACAGACTTGCACAAACATGAGGGGATGTTCAACCATTTTTTTTTTAAATAGTAAAATTTGGAAACCTAAATAGCCAGTAATAGAGGAATAGTTAAAGAAATACTCCTACGCAATGTAGTATTCTGCATAAGGCACAATAATGTTTCGAAGAATATATAATGACAAAGATTTTTCCCATGAAGTATGATTAAGTAAAAAATATGACATCCCCCCTTACCCCATAATTGGTGGTTAGATGGGAAAAAATTAGGTTATAAAATATCATATACACTTTGGTATTAATTGTACAATTGTATATTTTAGAAGAGAACTTTTTCAAAATGTTTAAAGTGGCCATTTCGAGATATTCCATAGCAGAAGTTTTGAAACTTTCTCCCCTCCACTGTTTTCTGAAATTTCTAAAGTGAATATAAGTAAAAAATTAATAATTTATAATGATTAAAAATTAGTAAAACTAGCTAAACATTTGCCTGCTGTGTGCCAGGCACTAAGTGGTTTACCTTATCATCAATAAATTTATTTATGATAAATGATTACAACCATATTCTGACACAGGTACTATTATCAATCCCATTTACTTTTGATAAGATTGAAGCAAAAATAGATACTAACAATGGGCCTGGCGCGGTGGCTCACGCCTGTAATCCCAGCACTTTGGGAGGTCGAGGCGGGCGGATCACGAACTCAGGAGATAGAGATCATCCTGGGCAACATGGTGAAACCCCATCTCTACTGAAAATACAAAAATTAGCTGGGCATGGTGGTGCTTTCCTGTAATCCCAGCTACTCAGGAGGCTGAGGCAGGAGAATTGCTTGAACCAGGGAGTTGGAGGTTGCAGTGAGCCAAGGTTGCACCACTGCACTCCAGCCTGGTGACAGAGTGAGGCTCCATCTCAAAAAAAAAAAAAAAATTGTTAATAATGTACCTAAGTTGCTCACCTATCAAATATTGGCACTGGGTTTAGCACTGCAGGCAGTCTGACATCACAGTCCACCCCGTCAATGGTGGCATTATACTTCTATTAATAGCAAATGCTTAAGCAGAAAGTAAAGTCTCTCTGTGACCAGACAGTGTGAAACTGTTTTGCTCAAAGTCATTGTTAAGAGATGATCACCAATTCCTCAGTGAGGAATGGCTAGAGACTACGCGTCATTTATTACAAATTTTATACAATGTAGATTTCCTTATAGAATTAAGATTCCATTGTTTTCCACGAGCCTCTCAGGTTTTATGATTAAATAACATATCAGGGTATTCTCATATGTAGGTCCTTGGACAAGTGAACCATACCAGACTTTATGAGTCAAGATTCTGATGTCTCCACAGTGGGAAAAATCAGACAAGCTGACTTTACACAATTCTCACTTACCTGGGCTTCATTCTGTCTGGGTTTGCAGTGTACTCTACCACCTTCACTTAACGGTGGCCTTATTGTGCCTGTTGGCTTGGGTTAGATCTTGTTATGTACACTTTTTATAGAGCTAGACACTATCTTTGAAACAAGAGCATGCAATACGAGGCATGAAAAGAAGACTTTGTAGCTGGGGTGAGACTGGAATGAAATTTAGAAAGAGGCTGTAGTGAGAATTGTCCATAACTGTGACAACAGCATGGATCACGTGATATATATTATTGAGTGCCTGGTACTTGCCAGGCATTGCACCAAGTGCACATAATATATGTTATCTGCATTTACTCCTCACAATAGTCTGTGAGATGGGTATTATTCTCCCCACCTTATGCATGAGGAAGCTGATGTATACAGAGGTAAATTGTCCACGGTCATGCAGCCAGTACTAGTGTTTCTGATCACAAAGCTATTTTTGCTTCCACAATGGCAAATGGCATCTTTCACAGCCACTAGCATGTCTCTGTTCCTTCCTCAAAAATAAATCCTTAAATTATTGTTTCAATTATCATTTTACTTATACTACGTGATAAAGAAATTAAATTTTTTTCTTTTTGTGAGCTTTCAGACTCCTTTGGAGAGAAAGAATCTTTTCCCTCTTATTATAAAAACTCTTCGTTGAAATGTCTGTGTTCCTTCAGCTGCCCCTGGGGATTCATGTTCCTGAGTTGGACTGGCAGAGAATGTGATGTTTCTCCACGAGGGACTCTGGGAGTAGTCTGATCATTGTGAAATGATTTCAGTAGTCACTGAAACAGAGTGGCTGGAAGACTTTGGAATCTGACAAATTCACACCCTTTTTTATTTACCTGCCACTGTGGCTTACTCTGGGTATTCCCAGGCAACATGGCTGATGTCCCGGTTACTCTGGTAACTGTAAGGAACTGAGAGGCTTTCTTGCTTTGTGTCTTTCTAGCCTGTCCTTCAGGCAGCATCGGCGGCTACCACTACAGGAAGAGCTAGTCTTTGTCAGAGAACTGGGCTCTTTTTTGGCCTTGTAAGAAATCACAGCCATGTTACTGGGACAGCCCCTCTGTCTTTGCCTGCGTCTTGCCAGAAATTCCTAACTGATTGTCAGCAGTTATGCTGTGTTCCTTCCAACTGGACATTCCCATTTAAATGTATTGTCACTGCAGCCAGGGTCATTTGCAGCTTGTTTTTAGCATGGTACCTTTCCCCCATGGGTCTTCTATACCCCTTGTCCACTCTCATGTTGGTCCTGAGAAAGTTACCCTTTTTCACTCTGATGTTTAACACACACTCTCAGGGATTACGGTGTTTACAATGTCACTTTCAGCACTGCATTTTTCTTTTAGTTTATTCCTCAATGAATGATAATGCATTTTTAAAAAAATCACTCTTTTTCTTACACAAATAATAATAATGTTAATTTTAGAAAATCAAATAGAAAAAAATTAAAATTGCCTACAATTAAAGTGGCCAGAGATTACTAGCGTCAACATGCTGGTGTCTTCTCTTCCTATTGGCATGCGTTCTGTATTTTATGGGTAGAGGTACACATACAGCTATGTAGTTATGAACACTTATTTTCAAAATTTGGGAAGAAACACAGCACATTTAAAAATTTTGGCCTGGCATGGTGGCTCATACCTGCAATCCCAGCACTTTGCGAGGGCTAGGTGGGAGGATCGCTTGAGGCCAGGAGCTTGAGACCAGCTTGGGCAACATAGGAAGACTCTGTGTCTACAAAATATTTAAAAGTTAGCTGGATGTGGTGATGTGAACCTGTGGTCCCAGCTAGTCAGGAGGCTGAAGAGGGAGGATTGCTTAAGCCTGGGAGGTTCAGGCTACAGTGAGACATGATTGTACCACTGTACTCCAGTCTGGGTGACAGAGCAAGACCCTGTCTCTCAAAAAAACAAAAAACAAAACAAAACAAAACAAAACAAAAACAAACAAACAAAAAAAACCCCGAATCCCCCAAACTGGCTGTGGTTTTAGCTGATCTTCCAAGGAAGATGAATACATTTCTGTTTGAGGTAATTGTTGTTTTGTTTGGGCCAACACTTATGTTTCCCTTGATAAAAAGCTATAATGTGTATATATTATAGTATACAAATATTAGTGTAGAATTTGAGAAATTCTTACATATGTATATACACCTATATAACCACAACCAAGATCAAGATATAGAATATATTCAGACCCTATCCCTAGAAGGTTCCCTCATGACCCTTCCCAGTCAGTAACCCCTTTTCCCTAAGAGGAAACCACTGTTATAACTTCTATCACCATAGATTAGTTTTGTTAGCTCTTGAACTTCAGGTACATGGAATCACACATTCTTTTGTGTCTGATGCTTTTGCTTAATATTGTGTCTGTGAAAGTCACCCTTGTTGTTGAGCTTAATGGTAGCCCTTTTTTTTTTATTACTGCATAGTATTCCTTGTCTCAGTATACTACAGTTTATTTTGTTGATGGAGATTTGAATTGTTTCCTGTTTTAGGCTCTTACCTACAAGAATGACGTTCTAAGGCTGAGGCCTTTGCTGTGATTGCATCGTCTCCCAACTTCTTCCTCTGGCCTTCCCTTTCCCCACCACTGTCAATCTTGAAGAACTCCCTAATAATCTTTTCTCATGCTAATAATCTCCATCTCACAGTCTACTTCTTGACCTGACCTGCAACAACAGCCCTGATGGATTTATTTTATCAAATTGGCTATGGTGTTTTACTTTGCTCTAAGACTTAGAAATTCTGAACCTTATGAGTCAAGTTTTCGTAAGGCCCTGAACACAAAAGAGATAAAAACTGGCATGCTAGGTGCACTGTCAGAGTGAATGTCATAATCAAAGGTGATTTTCTAAACATGAATGAACATTTTGTAGGTTTCTAGGCAAAAATTTCATGTAAAATGAGAAAAGTGGTGTATTAGGAGGTATAATCTGGCTTTGTATGTACGAAATGAATTGGAGAAGAAACCTGTTAGACAAGTACAATTGTTCCAACATAAGGAAACAATAAGGAAGAAGGGATGCGAGAGCCTTGGTGGAGAGAGGAGGAACAGGTTGAGGGCACTGTGGCTGTGTGTGGAATTGTCAGTGTGGAAAGTGGAGAAGTTAATGATAACACCAATGCTCTGAATCCAGATGGCCAATGTAGCATTTCTCATTCCATTCATTTGAGCTTTGGGGAAGAAGAAAAGAGTGTAAAGGAGCAAACTTTTGAAAAATATAGATGTCAGGAGGAAATACTGGTGTGTGGTTAAGGAGATGCAGAGTTCAGTTTTAGAGCTGGTGGAATGATAAGAAAAGGATGCATCAAAGAATAGGAGAGGTGAGCCTTTTGTGTAAGGAAGGAATTAAAACAAAAGAGATAAAGATTGGGGCAGCAGGGTTATATCTTGTATTAGTTATCTATTGCTGTACAACCAATTACCCTAAAATGTAGCAACTTAAAATGACTACATATTTACGATTTCACAGATTCTGTGGATCAGGAAACCAGGTGCCACGTATAGCTGGGTCCTCTAGCTTTGGGTCTCTCACAGGGCTATAGTCATCTCAAGGCTTGCCTGGGGAGGATTCGCTTCTAAGAACACTCATGTGTTTGTTGGCAGGCTTCCAATCCTTGTGGGTTGTTGGAGTGAGTTTCAGCTCCTCATAAGCTGTAAACCACCCTTGGTTTCTTGCCACGTGGGCATCTCCATCGGGCAACTCACAACATGGCAGCAAGCAAGCAAGAGGGTAAGAGAGACTGCCAGCAACAGAGACAGAAAGCCAGCGAGATGCAGGTAAGACTGCAACCACATCATGGAAATGACATCTCATCACCTGTGCTATGTTCCGTTTGTTAAAACTGAGTCAGTAGGTTCTGTGCACAAAGGAAGGGGATTCCACAGGTGCCTGCGTACCAGGAGGCAGAGGTCGCTAGGAGCCCTGTCAGAGCTGCCGACCACATCTACATAAAGTAATATTCGAGGACATGGTGCTACTTCACTACGGAAAAGCTCTCTAAGCATTTTTTGCCTCCTACAGCCTTGCTGTTAGAAACTTCCATAAAGTATTAGAAATGTTTTCCTTCGATAGAAGACCATATGTCAGTGGAGATGTTTTTGTCATTTACTAATGCACTCAGTAACTTGATTAGAAAAGTGAACTGTGCAATACTGTATAATTTCAAATGCTTTTCTAGCAAAAATGTATTACCTTTAATTAGACTGATTTAAAGCTGTTAAGATTCTTGTCAGAAATAATTTTTAAGTGGATGTGTCAAGATAACAGCAGTTGTCAAGTGAAGCAAATGGTAATTTGTGCATGTGCTGTCTGGCTTATGAGCAACTGGGTCTTTAAATACTAGCTGAGTGTTTGTGCTTACAATCCCTTTTATAGCAGCCACTCTGGCAGTTAAGGATTCAAACTGTTGAAATGCTATTGTTTGTGGTAAATATTTGTCCTATGACTACGGAATTAAATTTGCTTCCTGCCCTGTAATACAGACAAAAGCACCACTAAGAAGGGAATGCATTTAAGCAATTCAATTTACCAATTGGTCCAGCACAGAACATAAGCAAAGCATTCTGGGTGATTACAGTGGAATAATGATAATCATAAAGACCATTCTTTGATGAAAGCAAACCAGGTGACTTGAAGCATTTGAAAAAACTTGAATTCTATCTTGCAATCTTTTTAGGTTATTCATTTCTTTAGCAAGCTTTTGTTATTGGGCAGTGGAAAGGCGGGCTTTTTCTTGACTTTGTGGCGGGGTTTCTTAGTAGTGTCACTATTGACTTTGGGGACATATAATTCTTTGTTGGAGGCAGGGGTTCTGTCCTGTGCACTGTAAGTTGTTTAGCACCATTTCTGGCTTCAACCCTCTGGATGCCAGTAGCTCTGTTCTTCCCCACCCCAACCCCAGTTTTGATAAATAAATATATTTCCAGACAATGCCAGACATACTCAAAGGTAGGGGGAAGAAGGGAAAATCACCATGCTATGGGAATCAACATAGCTTTTTGATATGGTTTGGCTTTGTGCCCCCACTGAAATCTTATCCTGAATTTGTAATCTCCAGGTGTTGAGGAAGAGACTTGGTGGGAAGTTATTGGATTATGGGGGCTGTTGCTTTCATGCTGTTCTCGTGATAGTGGGTAGATTCTCACGAGATCTGATGGTTTTATAAATGGTAGTTTTTCCTGAGAAGCTCTCACAGGCTCTTCTCTCTCCTGCCACCATGTGAAGAAGGTCCTTGCTTCCCCTTCCATCATGATTGTGTTTCTTGGGGCTTCCTCAGCCATGTGGGACTGTGAGTCAGTTAAACTTCTTTTCTTTATAAATTACTCAGTCTCGGGCAGTTCTTTATAGCAGTGTGAGAACGGACTAATACACTTTTGGCTTAGGAAATTCGAAATTAACAGGATTTAATATGTTAAATTTATAAATATTTTGTCTTTTCTGTTAGTCCTCCAAAGCATCCACATGCTATATAAGATTATATATTCTCTTATTGATTCAGTTAATAGGCATTTGTTAAGTGCTTACTACCTGCAAAAGACGTTACCCAGGTATTAGGGAGATAAGGAGAAAAACAGATATAGATTTTTGTTTTGTCTTGAAGAAGCTTGAGATGTGTGGCAGTGGGGCAGGGACTTAGGTCATTCATACACATAACAGTAATGCAAGTAGAAAGCACCAAGTTTGACCAAAGAGCTAAAATTTTCTGAAATGTAGATTTCAGAAATAATCTAATGTAATTATTTATAATGTAAATTATTTCCTTCTATTTCAGAAATTTCAGAAATAATGTAAATAGAAGGAAAGGAACTTCTATTTTTCTCTTGCAGGCAAGTGGTGGGTTAAAAGCTCAACCCTGAGCTGAATTTAATAGGGTGAGGTTGACCTGTAGTTTAGGCATATGAGAGTAGGTTTTGGGTTGGGACTGAAACTCCGGAATATAACATCAAGTCTAATGGGGCAAGGCAGGGAGATGGAAACCCAGCCTGAAGCCCATGGTTCTCAATTACAAGTAGCAAAATGGAGGCAGCACATTCAAGGGGACCAACAGAGACAGGCACTGGAGAAGGTCCCAGAAACACAGACAGCACCTGGTGCCTTTGGTAGGAAAACTGCTCATAGCTCCCTGGAGCAATGAGAGATGTAAAAGGGCTACACTAGTTTGATGAAAAGAGAGGCCTTTCAGTGGAACCAAAATGATTATTCTCCAATGTATAGTGCTCAGAAACTCAGCAGTGGTGTATGGAGAGCAAGTCCAAACCAAATAGAGGCCGCAGAAGACGAGATATCAAAAGGTTCTCTTTCCCAGTACCTACCACAGGCTGGCTGCTTGCCCAACATCTCCATCAGTAGAGTTCTGACGTTTGAGCCAGCCTTCTGAAAAAAGCAAAAATTCTCCCGGAGATGGTATTAGTAGCCACAAATCTCTTGGTGGTACAATTCTTGAAGTATATTCCTAAGACTTTTAATGGGTGTTATTGTGAAGAGTTCTATTCACAAGTGTGTTTTTGGAATGACAGGTAAAACAAGAGAAACATCTGCCTTCACTGTAAAAATTGTCAGTCTTTCAGGTACACTATAAACCTCAAATCGAGGGATATGATGGGAAGCCTTTCCCAGATTTATTTGACTACAAAGCTATTTCACTGTGTAGCATCTGTGCTTTGGTAACCCTGCCTTGTTGTGAATGAGTTTGTGAAATAAGTGGCTTTTGCCAACTCTCTGAACTTTAAGTGAATAGGGAGATTGCAGGGAAAATACATCAGCATGTGAGTATGCACAGACCCCTCCCTCCCTCACCTGCTATGAAAAACCTGACTTTGCCTGCCTGGCCCACCATTTCTCCTGCTCCACCTAATAGGTCGCTGGCTTGATCACCAACTTCTTGGTTTTTATTATTACAATCACTGTAAGTGGTGAGGTCTGGAAATTCTAGCTCATTACTCTAGAAAGGTCAAAGAGTAAATGGTAGGAGAAAATAAATAGAACTATTTAAGGGGAAATTAAAAGTGGGACTGTTTGGAGGGGGCGGGTGTCAGTATCTGAGCAGGCAGGTGAGTGGCCTTGAGAGCAGCCTTTGTGCATCTTGGAACTTTCGAAAGGAGGAATGGTTGGTAATTGAATGTTTTTTTGAGTTCTACAAAAGTAATTCTGAAGTTTTTTTTAAAACCAAACTGTAGTAAACACAAAGTGTTTTTTATTTACTTATGACTTCTAGGATGGATTTCTTTAAATGTGAAAATGAGATCAAGTGGGATTTTAAGGCAGGATTTAAAAGGTCTATGTTTATAAGAATTATTCCAGAAAATATTTAATGGGAAGCAGAGGTCATGGGTTAAAGTGAAAGAGGGTCAGAGGATGTGTGTATTCTGGTAATAAAGACAGAATGGGATGATATGGTAAATAACTGTCATTTTTTTGTCTTTTCTACTTACCTCTCAGAATAACAAGCACCCTATTTCTAGGAACAGCTCTTCCACTCCATGTGGTTCTGAGGAGCTGCCAATCACAGGACATGGCCCTGCAGCCGTAGGAATGGACATAAAAAGTAGGCCTGGCCAATCATAGTAACTGGTTTCCATGGCCACAGGGATGAGCACATGACCCAATTTAGGCCAATCAGAGTCCTTCCCTGCAGTTTCATAGAGAGAGATAATGGAATAGAGAAGCTCTGGTGTTACTAAGCAGGAAATGAAAGCCCAGAGTTGTCTGCATCCACACCTCTTTTACCATTTCCTCATTCAACCTGGCCACGAGGAAGAAGCCAATCTATAGAAAAGGAAGAAGACAACATGTAGAACCTGAGCTTGGAGATGGAGGGAGATGGTAAAATGTAATCACATTGTCTAAGTCACTGGGCTTCCTGGGGCCAGCTTACTCCTGGACTTCCCTGCTATTTGAACCCATCATTCCAGTTTGGCTTAACTCAGTAAGTTTAGTTTCTGACACTTGTAACCAAAGGAGTCCGGGTGAATCAATGTTCTGAGTGCCTGGAGGACAGAAAGCTGTCAGTGGCTGCAATGAGGAAGAAAGGCCACGCTGATGGGGTGAGAAGGTGTTGCTGTCAACTTCCCATGAGCCCTATTTGCTTAGAGCAGGTCCTCATGGTATAAAGAGGGAGTGGGAATCATATAGGGGTGAGAACTGAGAAATTAATGTCCTCTTTTGCCTTGAGTTGGCTGCCTTCCTGGGGTGATGTGGCAAGAAGAGTTGGGTTCCTTGAATGGTAGTTTGGTTTTGTGTTACCAAAATTTATGCTATAAATATTGATCTGTTTTCTCTCTTATCTGTTTCATTGCTGTAGTTGCTATGCTACATTTCAGTTAAAAAATACATGTCCACAATTTTTATTTGTTGCTTGTTTTAATTATTTCTTTATGGTTAGATGAGGCTGTATATGCAAAGAAACATGTGATGCTTCTTTAAGGTCATCTGGCATGGTCTACAGACATGATGAAATGAGGCACAGTCTACCCACATTGGCTGAGTGTGATGATTCATAACACCAATGCAGGGAGGCGTGTTTTACTACATTGGCCTCTATAGTTTCTCCTCAAACACACTCCCCATGTATTTCCTTCAGAAATTCAATTCATGCTGCACAAATTAATGTCTCATTTTTGTGTCTTTATGAAAGGCAATAACTTAGATGATACGCTTTGAAGTAGGAAGCATTGGAGTTCTTGAAAGAAAAGACAGACACCGTATTGATTTTTCACTGTGAACCAAAAATGCAAATAAGAGCACTATATGTTTTCTTTTTCTTGTTATTTATGTATTTTTTTCTTTTCTTTTTTTTTTTTTATTTTGAGAAGGAGTCTCGCTCTGTTGCCCAGGCTGGAGTGCAGTGGTGTGATCTTGGTTCACTGCAAACTCTGCCTACCGGGTTCATGCCATTCTCCTGCCTCAGCCTCCAGAGCAGCTGGGACCACAGGCACCCGCCACCACATCTGGCCAATCTCTTGCATTTTTTAATAGAGATGGGGTTTCACTATGTTAGCCAGGATGGTCTCAATCTCCTGACCTTGTGATCTGCATGCCTCGGCCTCCCAAAGTGCTGGGATTACAGGCATGAGCCACCGCACCCGGCCATTATTTTCTTTTTTGTTAAACAAAAAATCCTTTTGCAACTGTCCTGGGTCTTAGACTGTCTCCTCCTCCTCTTCTATTCCTATAGTGTTGATGTAGTATAGACTCAAGCTGGATTAGAAGTCCAACTCTAAAAGTAACTGAACTGGGAAATTCACTTATTCTTTGGTGTGTGTACATGGGCATTAGGTGTGGGCCTGGTTTGGTGGGAGGAGATGTGGCAATCAACTTGTGGTCCTAGTCAGTAAACCCCCATAACTTGGCAGCAGAGCTAGGGAACTTCTTATGATAATCCAAGACTTCTCCCTAGATAAAAGGGCATTAGGCTATATGTCCTGGGGGGACTATTAAATGTTAACTGATTTTTAAATAGTTAATGCTATTCTGCATTTGTTGAAGAAACTCAGGATGTGTAGCCAAGTGAATGGAAAGGCATGTGGTGAAAGTGATGATGATGATGATGGCTAATACTTACTGAACACTTACTACATTTAGGGCACTGTTAGGAGTACTCTGCACCTGTTCTCACTTAATTGCTACAACTTCATCAGGTTACCCATTTCTCAGATGAGGAAACTGAGGCTTTGACATTGACTCACACAGCCAGTGTGCATGGACCCAAATCTCCATGACTTCTGATCCCAAGTTATAAAGGAGCTGATTGGGACTCAGCTAGGGAATGATAATTTGATGTGCTTGTCAAGAGAACGGCTATTCTGCCAGGCTATTCCTGGGCATGTTCAAGCCTAGGTTGGAGGACTATTGTCAGGGAAGTTGTGAAGGGAATTCTCATACATTGGGTAAAGAGATGAGGGTGCAGACTGAGAGGGGAAATGCGGCATGTTGGGGAGTGACCCGAGCAGAGGTTGGACAAGTAAGCCGGGGTCATATGTTATTATAAGGATTTGTTATTTTAATCCTAAAGGCCTTGGGAAGCATTTGAAAGGCTTAAAGCCAAGAGGAACTTACATTTTTTGTAAGATTAAATTGGCTTCACTTTAAAAAACAGATCCAAATGGTTGGCCGGGTGCAGCAGGACCTTTTAGGAGGTCATTCCACTTATACCATTGACATGGGAGAGCTAATGATGGCTTGAACTAAGCCACTTGATTAAAAGAAATTAACCAATTTAGACAATATCATCCCCAAATGTCTAGTCCGCCAAACTCTCATTCATTCCTCCTGCCTTGTAAATTATCTCCATTGCTCATCACTTTCAGCTGGTCAAGAAAACTTGGGGCGGTTTCTAAAGAAGCCATTCAGCAAATATTGACAGGCAGGGAGGATTAGGGCGCAAATAAGTTATTTATTAAACCCTGTCCTTGGATGCACAGAAGTTTGTGGGTGACAGGATTGTTATCTCTTTAGAGAAGATGGAGAAAGGCAGATACCAAGGGCTAGGTTTGCTGTAGGGAAGAGGTGGAAGAATTGAAGTTACCATTTGTTCCCAAGTCAGGCATCTCAGGGAAGTAGAAAAAGCTATGAACTGAGAATCAGTAGATTCCTCTTTTTAAATTATGGGACCTTGGCCATGTCACTTAACTTCCTCAGTTGCTTTATCTAGAAAGTAGACATTCCTGCCCTGTGTTTCTTATAGGATTACTGGGAGGATTCAATAAAATGGCACATATGGAAATTCTTAAAAAGTCACAAATCATTCTATACACACTAATTGTCATGTTCAGTCATCGAGGTAAGAGGCACTTTACGGGTGCAAAGGGCAACTTTACTGAGAAAGCATGCTCATGTTTTAAAATCTCAGTTTTCTCAGGATCTGAGTATCATTCCTAGTATCTGATTATACTTTCCACTATAAATTGCTACTTAACTTGCACTTCTGTTTTGGGGAAGCAGTGCTATCCAGTGTTAAGAACATGAGCTTTAGAGTCATACAGATATAGAGTTAATTTTCTGCTGTGCAATTTGACATCTTTTTAATATTTAACTTCTCCAACTCAGTTTTCTCTTCTGCAAAATGGGTCTATTAATAGAATGAACTTTATAAGCCTGGTTTGAGGATTAAAAGAAATATTACATGTAAAGTTGTTAACACAGTCGTTAGCCCATGTTAAGAGCTCATCACATGTTAATTATTATTTCTATATCCTTTAAAGTTTTCAGGGTACTTTCTAGCTCCATTTGCTAATTTAATTTTTCTTAACATTATCAATAGGTGGCTGATTATTATCCATCTTCCTTCATTTGTCCACTTAGGTAGGTCTTGCATGGACTACATGAAGGGTCTTCCACCTCCCTCCACCTAAAAATTCCTTGGGAAATTACCTAGGAGAAAGAACCAAATCCAAAAGAGGCAGAGACAGCTGATTTTTCTAAGGGATAGTGAGAGTAAATGACGTTAGGCCAGTTCAAATTATTGACGTCCCCAGGGCCACTGAGCACCCAGAACTATAGTGAAGTTCCCAGCAGTCCTTGCATCATCAGTGGTGTTCCCTCGTTGCAGACCCATGGGAGAGCACGTAGGTGCCATGTTCCTAACGTGATGCTGACGCACAGCTTTGCAAGTTTCCAACCAGTTACCGGGAGGCAGTGGGCTCTGGGCCAAGCTGGGACTCATGACATCACAGAGGAATCTCGGCACTTGAATAGCTGACAGTGTCTGCCTTTGCCAGCTATGCACTGGAAGTTGGAAGGGAATTTGGCCTCCAGAAAGCACATTTTTACTCCAGCCTGGAGCCTGTCAAAATCAACACGAGACTCTTAGCAACTACAGAGTTATTCTGCTAATTGTTGCCGACACTTAAGAAAGTGAGGAAATGTTAAAGGGCTGCCTCCTTGTCCTGAGTAGCAACGCTGATCCTCTCTAAGCAGATGGACCAATAATTATTCCCATCAATAAGGGGCAAGTGCACAGCTCTGCCTTCTGGTATCTGACCTAGGGGTTCTCTGTGTTGTTTGCCAAAGCCGAGGATGAGAATAGAGCAAAAACTGTAGGGGGAGCTATTTTGTTTTGAATGCAGAATGTAATCTGCCTTTTTGAGTAAGCAAAATATTAAAATTCTCAGAGTCTCTTTTGGAGAAAAATTTTACTTTCTGGGATGTTAAGAAAACGCTATAGAAATAAGCCTTGTTCACAAGATAAGAAACATCATATAATATGCATCAATATGAATCTAAATTAGAAAATGAATTCCCCCAGTTATTTCAAGTGATATATGGGCATTTGGTGGTTGAAGTGGTGAGAAAAACAGACTTGGGTTCGGATCCCAGCTCAGCTGTTACTAGCTGAGTGGCCTCGAGCAAATTGCCTCATAGCTCTGTAATATGGAAGTAGACTGCCTTGCCACACCCAGAGTTCTTATTTGGATTTAATTTTACAATGCATTTAAAGCTTGACAAGTAGCAATTGTTCAAAGAATGATTTTTTCCCACCTCCCTTATTTCTCTCAAGTGTGAAATATCATACCCATTCATATCTATCTATGAATTATGGCCAGGTGTGGTGGCTCATGCCTGTAATCCCAGTGCTTTGGGAGGCCGAGGAGAGAGGATCATGTGAGAGGCCAGGAGTTCAAGGCTTCAGTGAGCTATGATTGCAGAACTGCACTCCAGCCTGGGCAATAGAACGAGACCCTATCTCACACAGAACAAAACGAAGGAAATAATTTTGCTTCTCTGATTGGCTTCCTGCTTTTTTTTTTTTTTTTCCGAGACAGAGTCTTGCTCTGTCACCCAGGCTAGAGTGCAGTGGCACCATCTTGGCTCACTGCAATCTCCACCTCCTGGGTTCAAGCAATTCTCCTGCCTCAGCCTCCCGAGTAACTGGGATTACAGGCGCCTGCCACCACGCACATCTAATTTTTGTACTTTTAGTAGAGACAGGGTTTTACCATGTTGGCCAGGCTGGTCTTGAACTCCTGACCTTGTCATCTGCCCGCCTCGGCCTCCCAAAGTGCTGGGATTATAGGCGTGAGCCACCTCACCTGGCTGGCTTCCTGCTTTTTCTATGGACAATGTGATTAGGTATATAAAACAGGGTTTGTAGTCACAATGAGTTCTACCGTGAGGCTGAGTATCCTGCAGTTATTTCTTTGATAGGATGGTTTGAGGATGAAGCCTCTGCAGAACAGTGTTTGATGCTGCTGGACAATGTATTTGTGCCCAAGCCCATGTCAGGATGAAAATCAAGACAGAATGGCATTTGCTTCTTTGGAGAGGCCTGGGTAGTGACTTGAAAAGGATCCTGGAACAAAAGTATATTTCCTGGCATACCAAGGATCTATAGTTGTGGCAGCTCAGGGACTGCTCTGTTCCTTAACCAGACATAATATTCTTCTCAGGTTAAGCCTCCGTCAGAACCCAGAAGGCCACGAGGTACAGCAAGCCAAAATCTCAACTTCCAGTGAAACAAGGATTGCCTTTGGAATCTGTTTTCTAAATCACAAATGGGGGTTACTACAAGGCTAAGAAAACTATTAATATTAGTAGTTAACCAATAAATGGAAACAAGGGAGGAAAAACAATACAGATCTGTGAAAGACCAGCAACATATCACAGGGGAAAACATTTTGCTGCTTCTTCCTCCTTCTGCTGTGCTGGGCCGGGATCTCTTAATAAGAAGCCATATCCTCTCAGGATATTACCTCAGAGACTATCAGAAGCCTTGCTCAGAGGTTGCTCTCTCACATTTTTTTTCTCCAGTCACATTTATACAAGAGAATTCCATATTTGACAGCACACTGGTACTTCCCTTGTTTAACAAAGGCATCTTAATTTTCCATGACGGTAACATTTAAGTTACCATAAGTTCAGTCTTAAAATAATTGTTACACTTAACGGGTATTCTTAGAATAAGGCCGGAAGGAAACAGAAACAATCACTCCAATTCCCTCATTTTATAGGTGACAATCTGGGGGCCCAAGTTTAGTGCCTTTTCAAAGCAACACTATGTCTGGGCTCAGGGCTGGGTTGAGAAGTCAGATTTATATTTCCACACTGACGCTCTCTGACTTTGCCTTGTCATCATTTAGGGGTGGGTAGGTAATAGAAAACTTACAAGTGTTAACAGGGGTTTAAGTATAAGAGAATACTACCAAATAGTCCCACTGTGGAAAATCATGATACACAGAATTTTATGAAGGAGGGATATCATGAGGTTTACACAAAAATCGTGAGGGTTACATTTTACAGTTAAAGAAAATGTGGCAAAGAGAAGTTTAGTGACTTGCCCAAGGCAACATAGCTAATTAATGGAGCCAGGATTTGAACTCATTGTATCTGGCATATTTGGTACAAGTTAGAAATTAAGCTGGAGTTGCTTATAGGCATTTATGTTATTCCTTGAGGTTTACTCATCGTACTTCACTGGTCTGGGGTGAAGCTTGCACTTTGGGAGCACATGGAGAAGGCTGGGATTGGGAATTCTGCCTAGCCTGAATGTGGAGAGTTATCCAATGTTGTCTCCATTTCTGTATCACATGAGTGAATAGGTTGGCATAACAGAAAGACCCTAAAGAATTTTGAGATCTGTTTGTATTATGGTGGGGACTGTGTTATGCTGGGACTGTTTCCTCTTCTGTCTCTCTGCTTTCTCAGAGACCCTGCCTTAATGCCCCAAAGTGGCAATCTTCACAGCTCCTCTGATTGGACTAGGGGTAGACAAAAAATGACTTCTTTCAGAATCTCTCGCCATGGATTTTGAAATTAGCGTGAGTTTGAATTAGTTTCCTTTGGAGAGATGAGTTGGAAAGTCACATAGACTTGTGATCGGAAGTCACCATCTTAGGGATGCTGTGGTCATTGATGTGTTTTTAATCAGAAAGTAACTGCTTAGAGAGAAACAGGAGTAGATGAATGAATGAATGAATGAACGAATGAATGGGTTCAGTCAAATCCAATGAGGCACAATGAAAATCTTGCTTATGCTTCCTCTTCCCCCAGCTATAAAAAGTACTTGAGCCTTGATTTTTCAGGTGTCACTACAAGCTTTAACGTCTCAGGTCCTGACCATAAAATCAACAGAGGAAGACAGAGTGGAGATAAGGAGTAAAAATGAGTCCAATGACATCATTTGGATCCTGAATTCATTTGTGCCCTAAGCCAACATCTACCCTGAACGTTTCTGATAGAGGAGAAAATATCTTCTCTCTCTCAAGTCAATTCAAGTTAAGTTTTCAGCCCCACTCAAGATAAAGAGTTCTGACATATGAACCTCATATCGCCAATACGTTTCTTTGTTTTGCAGGCTGCCCAGCCAAACTTCAAGAAAAAAGGAAAAGAAGTGCTGGGTCAGCTGCCTTTTGATGGTAGTTGTTTCATTTATTATTTTCTGTTTTGTTGTTTTTGTAAAGAACATGTAAGAAACTCTTCAACTGAATTCCACATGGTGCCTAGATCCTAATCCTTCTGAAGCAAAAAATGTTTTTCTGTTCTCTGGGTGGTTCCTGGGATACTGCAGTTCCAAAAGAATAAGACATGGAAAAAGTTGGCCAGAGTTAGAAAAAAAAAAAAAAAAACAACAACCTGAAGAGAGGGAGTAGAAATGATTAAAGCAAAACAAAACAAAAACTAAAAGTGAGTGAAAATGGATATCCATGAATTAAAAGCAGTACACATGGAAACAGAGCATCTCTCTTTCAAGTTAGAGCCCTGGCATTGAATACATTGACTCATTGGCTACAATCAGCCTTGACTGAGCTCCTTTGTTCACCTCTAAACTAATCACTATGGCTCCAGGGATGTGATGCTGTAATTGATCAGGCTTGGATCACCTGACCACATGTGGTGCTGTGGAAATGACAAACACCATCCTACTGAGATTATGGAAGGGGCAGTTCCTCAGGATGCAAAAGACAAGTGAATGAAAGTCAGGCAGATAACAACAGAAAATATCCAGAGTAGAGTTCCCTCTAAAGTAGCCACTATGTAGAATCCAAAATCCTTTAATGACGTATTTCTAAGTGAAACATTTTTGCCTAAGATAAGCATTTCTGTAAGATTTATAAAAAATACAGCTTTTCTGTATGTTGGAAATTTCACACTAACAGGAATAGTTCTGAAACACTGAAAATCTTAGAAACCTGTAGGATATCTGTAATAATACTGAGAAAGTAAGGATTGAATATTATGAGATTGTGAAAATTTCATTTTCAGTTTTTTTGTTATATGTCCTTATTATAGACTCAGGATTTCCTTTGGAGTTCATTAATGTAAATAATTTCAAAATTACATTAATAATTTTTATGAAACTGTAATTTTTGTGAAACTATCAGCCCTGGTCTCTTTTAATTTGTCATATTCTACAACTGTCTCAAAGATGCAGCTATAAAGAAAGAAGAAACTGCTTGGGGTGACTAGTTGACCATCCCAGAATGGTTTCTTTAATTGTTTTGGCCCCTTACAAGAAGTTTCTTTAAAAAAAACAAAAGTATATATTGTGCTGTTTCAGACTAGGGTTGAAAGTGTGATTTTTCTCATCACACTCTTCATAATCCTTTCAGAGAATTTTGATGCAGAAATAACTTATTAATTTGGAAATCTTCCCTCACACCTAGGAAATACATCTCACTCTGAGATGAATATGGATGGTTACAATAAAAATTAAGTGCATGTACGGTAAATGGGCATTGTTGGATAAATGCAGTGATGGAAGAAAATAAGATGGTGGTCATGCCATTTCTACCTGACTTCCTTTTCTCCAACTTGATGATACTCTACCTTCAGAAACAGGTGAACAGGCCATCCATCATATTCTTTTCTTTGTAGTAACTTTTATTGGTTTGAATTACCATATGTTGTTCGCTTGTGCAGTGTTTGAGTTGAAAGAGGCATAAGTAAAATTACATCTTCTTTTTTTTTTAAGGAACCTTTGTTCTTAAACAGAGGAAGTTGTAAACTCTCCAATAGCAAATTTTATTAACTCATAGGCAATACTATAAATGATGGTACTCTATTGAGTCAATGCCTTCAACATGAATCAGGAGATTAACTTTTGCTGCAAACTGTCAATCTTTACTCCCAAATTATGGTAAGTAGTTAAGTTTTTTTGTTTTGGCTTTGAAGTTGAATGATTCTCTTTGCTCAGTTGTGTCAGTCAGAAAAGGGGATTTTTCTTCTCAGCTGAGCTCTGCATGTTTTTCTTTAACAAATTATCATCTCCCCCCCAACCCCCGACTATGTCATTACATTGTTGTTATTAACATTCATCAATTTCTAAATATTTCTCTAAAGTTCTGAGGGATTTGGCAGTTTAAACTGTATGCCATTATTGACAATATTAAATAAAACTTTCTGAAAACCCTTATGCAGGCTTTCATGTGGGTTTCTGTCAGGTTTGCAGTAAAATGTCATAATGTCATATTTGCATGTTTTTTTGAGAGAGAGAGAAAGAGAGGACAAGAGAGATGGTGTTCTGAGTCACTTGCTGAAGCTTTCTATACACATTTTTAGACCAAAAACCATGGTCTAGGAGAGAAAAAAAAATCAATTTCTCAGAAGCATTCTATGATATCCAGTCAACTGGTATATGAGCCTAAGTGCACATGATAGTTGCCCAAGAAAATTCATTGCTGCTTTATTTGCATCAGCTAAAAAACGAAAACAGAAATAACCTAAATTTGTAAATCAATGAAAAGTTAAATAAACCATGACATAATGTAATGTTATGTAGTATTTAAAGTAGATTTACCTGAACTCACTTAAAATGAGGCTTAGGAAAATATTATTAGGAATAAAAAAGCAATTGCACAACGTTTGACATAGTGGAATCATTTTTTCTGTAAAATATATGTCTTCATGTCTTCACATATATGAATGTATACAAACAGTTAACTATAGTTACCTCTGAGTAGTGAGACTGTTGGGTAATGAGTAGGGAGAACTTTGCTGTTATCTTGACATACCCATGTGTTAAAAAAATGATGAACATGTATAACGATTGTAAAATGTACATGCACAAAAGAAAATAGGCTATCAAGCACTTTCATTTTACAAGTGAGAGAACGGAGCATGGAGAAATTAAATGACTTTCTCTGGTAACAGAGCTCATTAGAGTCAGACTTTGAATTCAGAACTTTAGACTTCAACTTCTGTATGATTATTCCTCTACCAGATCAATCCTCTTTAATGTATCAGAAAAAAAAATTTTAATCATGAATGCCTGCATCTTTGAAATACAGTAAAAATAACCCCTCCTGCCCTCAAACCTTGGAATTTAAATTTTAGAAGTTCAGATCTTGCTTTTCCTCAAGATATCTATCTATAAATGCGCTTTTGTATATGACTTGGAATTAAATGTTTCTCTTTAGTTTTCAAATGAGTTTTATTATCATCTGATAAGTAGGGTAACCCTAGTGCAGGGAATAAATATCTTAATTAACTGATGAGTGGTCAAATCAATCTACAAAATTAAGAGGAGGAGGGCAAAGGGGCAGGAGGGAAGGCTGCCTTCTATGCTGCTTTGTGTAATAATCTAATCAACCAACATTAGCAAAAGTCTCCATGGCTCAGCTCTTCCAACAAAGGTGTTCATTGTAGTGATATCCAGGAATCAACCTCACAAAACCATCTATCCAGGTGGGCTTTGAATTGAGCTCTGTTTCTTCTACTTTAACTTGGTCTCATTCATTTCTTCCTCCCTGGCTACCCATAAAAAGTTGCTCTGGAGAAATGCTCTGGCACCTAAACTCACCCTGTGGAGTACTTTATTCATTGTTTTCTTGTAGTCCTCTTTAAATTGCAGACATTCAAACTTATTAAGCTGTGGCATTCTATTTCTATCTGGGGGTGGGATCTGAGTTAACTGAGTGCTGAGGAACAAACATTGTTAGGGATGTAGAAAGGGCATGATCGGAAGAATAGGGAGATTCTGAGCTAAATTTCAATATCAGCTAATATTCAGTATCAGCTTATCATCATCAGTCACCACCAACATCAATATAGACCTTGTTAACTTCAGAGATACCATTTACTGGGCATTGACTAGGAGCCAGGCAGTAGGGTAGGCATTTTACAGGAACTCAGGCCTCATTACAATCTGTTGGGGGCAGATACTGTTATTATTCCCATTTGTATATAAGGAGATTAAAGCCAATAAAGCTTGGACTGGTTCAAGGTCACATTGGCTAAGGACTGCATTGCTTGTTTTACAGGAAAATTGTCTTCTCTCAGAATTCAATCTTTGTGTAGGAAAACAAGCCAGGGGACTATAACAACATACTCAACACAGAAGTGGGATCTTCCAACACTTCTTTCCCCCAGTGGATTCAGCTTGTTAGTATAGAAGGAAACTCTTTGACTTTTTGAAAATACCTATTGATTTCCTTGTGTGGGGAAATTTACAATTTATATGCTTCAGATGCCATTGAACCATTCACTGCTTTGTTGCTTTTTCATGGGCAGGAAAGATGTTTGTGAAAGGAAGGCCAAGTGGCATCCTCATTTGGCCTCATTTGTGCAATAGATAACTGTGATCTTGGCACTGAGAAGGATGCCCCGAAGCCACTTGAAAGATGAAAGGGCCTATCTTGAAATAAGGTTTGCTGGAAGATCACAACCCAAGCATCTAAAATGTTAGTCCAGAAAAAGGATGGCAAAGAACTACCAGAGTCTTCAAATAGGAATTTCTAATTAGAATTTTAACAGCATGAAATTATCCTTGCTCCACCCTTGGAAACTGCCTTTTCTTATAGGAAGTAGATAAAATTTTCCTGTCCCTTGGTTATGGACTTCAAAGATATGCAAGGATCAGTTTTTTTTTTTTTTTGTCATTTTGTGCAGCTTTGGTATCTGGGTGTTCCTGCTGAATTCTATAGTCCAAATTCTTGTCTACAGCTCAAAGCTGATCTTAATATAAATGGCAGGTTTGTCTTACCTCAGATGCTTATTAAAATGTCATTCAGCAATTAGCTGAATCAAGGAAAGGAACATAGTATGCTTTTATTCTGTCTCAAAGCTTGCCCATATCTAAGCTGAGAATCTTGGTTTGCTCCCATCACATTGAAGCAGCTGTTGATTAGGGTGCCTAAGTTATAAATATAGAAGGAGCAAGTGCTGTGCTTTGGAGATATCTGAAGGAAAATAACTTCTGCTACCTTCTGCTAACAGCACCAATCAATTTTGGAAGTGATAAGGATAGATTCCCTGGGGGCCATCAGCTGCTCTGTAACACATCCTGAAATATAAGAATTATATTGAAACGTTGCTATTTCATATAGCACTTTACACACATTTTTAGATTTAACCTTGAAAGTTGGATAGAAAGGGCTATCAAGAAAAAAAAAACTTAGCCCCTACAAAATCCATACTGCATAATGTATGTTATTGATAATATTGGTGAGACTTTTTCTTCCTCCAGTGAATTAGAGGGAATCCCTGAGATATTGACATCACACTAAAGGGTTAAGTTTTTAGGGCAAGCATGAAAGAGTTTAATTTTTCTCAGCACCTTGCTTCATCTCTGGAAGTTGCCACAACATGCCTCACTTTGGTAGCACAGCTATGTTGACATCCTTTGGGCGTAGAAAAAGTAGTAAAAACAGGGAATCTCCCCTTCTCACTCTCACTAGTGAGTATCATGAAGAAACGTAATAATGGATTTGCATGCTTAGTATTCTAAGGACATTACTTCCAATACTATTTGGATCTTAATTGATAGTAAGCAAATAGAAAAGAAACTTATAAAGAATGTGCTGCATCACTTAAAAATATTTCAAGTACTTTAAATTGGCAAATTAATTTTTCTTTGTTTTTTAGAATTGACAACTACTCCATCAATGCCCAATTCTTATTAAGTGCATTTTCTACTGGCTCAAGTTCTATCTTTGATTGCTCTTTTCGGAATTCTGCAGTAAGAATCTCAATAAATAAATAAATAAATAAATAAATAAATAAATAAATGCATTGGGCTGACTTCTAGAATGATTAAGGATCTCTGAAAATTCACTTCTTCAT